>NW_018654717.1:2145394-2446975 GCF_000001405.40 Homo sapiens
TCGCCCGGAAGTGACGCCAACTACCCGGAAGCGGAGGGGGTTCCCTGGCCCACTCCCCCCTCGTTCGTTTGCTCCCCGCTTCCTCCCCGCCCCCTTCCTCTCCATTCGTTTCCCCCCTCCCCGTTCCCTGCCTTCTTCCCCCCCCCCGCCGTCCCTCCCCCCCAACCTCCGGAGCTGGGAAGAGAGTCAAGATGGCGGCGAAATCCGATGGCGGTGGCGTGGGGGTGGGCTTCGCTCAGCTGCACAACCTGGACGAGGCGGTGGGCAGCGGCGGCGAGGAGGACGGGGAGCCCGGGGAGGCGGCTGCGGCGGCGGCGGCGACGGCAGCGAGCCCGGCGAGAGCAGCTCGATGCACATCTGCCACTGCTGCAACACCTCCTCGTGCTACTGGGGCTGCCGCTCCGCCTGCCTGCGCTCCCTCCTGGGCAGGAAGCCGCGCCGCAGCGCCGCCGCCGACGGGGGGGACCAGCCGCTGCAGCCTCCCGCGGCCCCGGCGCCGGCCGCCAACCCCCGACGCCCTCGGCCGCGCGGCCGGAGCCGCCGCCGCCGCAGGTGGAGCGGCCGTGGCTCGACTGCCTGTGGATCGTGCTGGCGCTGCTGGTGTTCTTCGGGGACGTGGGCACCGACCTGTGGCTGGCCCTCGACTACTACCGCAAGGGGGACTACGTCTACTTCGGGCTGACCCTCTTCTTCGTGCTGGTGCCGTCGCTGCTGGTGCAGAGCCTGAGCTTCCGCTGGTTCGTGCAGGACTACACGGGCGGCGGGCTGGGCGCCGTGGAGGGGCTCACCAGCCGGGGCCCCCCCATGATGGGGGCCGGCTACGTCCACGGCGCGGCCCGCGGTGGCCCAGGCGTGAGGGTCTCCCCCACGCCGGGGGCGCAGCGCCTGTGTCGCCTCTCCGTGTGGATCTGGCAGTCGGTCATCCACCTGCTGCAGATGGGGCAGGTGTGGAGGTAAGAGCACTGCGGGGTGGGGGCGGGCCGGCCCTGAGGAGCCCCCTCCGCCCTCCCGGTGCTTCGCGGGGCGGCCCCTCGAAAGGGCCCAGCGCGGGGGGCTCGAAGGAGGGACCGGCCGCGCGCCGCCCCTGGCGTCTCCAAAAGACCGGCGTTTGATCTGGATCCCTGGCCACGCCTTTGGCCCGGGGAGGCCGAGACCTGCCGTTGGCCCGTCCTCGTCCCCGCTTCGCACTCGGCGGGGCTCTTGCCCCAACCTGCCCTCCCCGTCCCCTCTGCAGAGCTCCGTTCCCAAGCGTCCCTTTTCCCTGCCTCCCGAGGTAACCAGCTGCGGGCGCCCTGGGCTGCACCCCAGCTCGCGGCCCCGGGGAGCCTTCCCTCCTCCAGCCGCTGCATTCGGGTTTGTTCCCAGGTGAGACATCCTCCCCTCTTCCCCCGTTCTCCCTCTGCAGTGGCCTGCGTGGGGCCCTGTGGAAAAACCCTTGCTGCCGCCTCCGAGCACTCCTGGATTCCACGCCCCTTCCCCCTCCTGCACTCCCAGCCCCTGTGAATGACTCCAAACCACTGCTTTCCCAGAAGGAAAAAAGACTTTTTTTTTTTTTGGTTTGCTGGATTAGACGTGTCCTTTTCTTAGCGACAGGTAAAAATGGGATAAAATGTGATGGGCGCGAGCGTTTGGTGTTAACTCTCACCTCCAGAAAATCAGTTAAAGCCACCTGGATACCTATTCTGGGGAAACGATGTTTTTGGTAGCCAGGCCAGTGTGTAAGTGATTTATATTTACACAAGACGCAAGCTTGGCTTTGCGGCCCTTTCTCGTTTTGTAAATTTCCCGTGTCCCAGTTCAGTCCCTCACAAACCACTTGCAGGTGTTCTTTCTGCCGTGGCCTTCACTGACTGCCTCACTGGCTAAACTGAGGAAATGAACCCATTCACACCTGGGTACATCTGTGCCCTCTTACTTAAATTAGCTTGTGTGTATTCTGGAAACAGTGAGTTGTAGGTGAGAGCATTTGCAAGAGAAAAAAATCTTACTGAAGATAAATTACACAGGGACAAGCTCTTCAAGTGCATGGCTTCTGTGAGAAGACATTTTGCCTAGGCTGCCCTGACTCCAAGCTTAGTAGGAGATTTTAGGCATTTAGTAGTTCAGGTAACAGATATACCCAGGTTAGCTGAAATAAAGTCTGCTGTCTTTTTAATGGTTTGTCCAGATCTCTATTCAGAATTTATTTAAATAAAAACGTTTCAGAAAACATGGGATTGAATTAAGTCAAATCATGAGAGTAGATGCAATAACTTTGTCTCCTGCTGGATTTACGTGCAAATTCAGGCTAGGGGAAGTGAGGGTGGTTCCGTAGGCCCTGCACCACCCAGAGTTGTTTACTAGCCTTTCTAGGCTGAACCAAACAGCTTTTTTTCTAGCTGCATTTGTCTGCAGATAATTTGTTTCCTGCTGATAAGTTTATAAGAAGTGAGAGAATAAAATAGGAAAATGCCGATTAACTTTTAGCTGTTATAAGCATAGCTTGGGGTCAAATAAAATTCTGAAATACGTTTTAAATTTGAAATCTAAATTCCTAAACACCCACACACTCAAAGTCATATCGAATGAAAGGTAGTGTGTTTGGTATTGGAGATACCTTTTTTTTTTTGGGCGGGGGCTGGGGGGTGTTTTCTGGTTGTTAAGATGCCAGGAATGAAGCAGGGGAGGGACAAAAAGTATGGGGAAGAGAGATTTTAACATACCAGTAGAATTCAGCAGCATGTACTGGTAGGCTTCTGCTGAACAAGCCGAAGTGTGGGCAGTAAAAATGTTGGTGTCAGGTTAAAATTCCTGAGAGAACTGTTTCTAATGGAATCTGTCCTGGACACTTACTAGTAGTAAGCTTTGAGACAGAATGAAATTGGAGTAGAATAAAATCCCACCTCCATTCACCTAAATGTTAATTGTTTCTTGGCAAAGTGGAAGTCCAGATTTTAGGGCAAACTGAAAAGTACATTTAAAATGTCAATTTAGCTTTTGTAGTTGTATGTAGGGTAGTATTTTTTTTTTTTCTGATCTTAACTTTCCTCTGCATTGATATAAAGTGCCTGTGACTTTACTGTCTAGTTTTTTTTTTACATCTTTTTTCAAGATTAGAATATATCTCTAAATATTTCCTAAAGTTAACTTATTAAAAGACATGCTAATTTTAGTAAGTTATTTCTTCTAACATAGCTATACTTCAAAAGCAGTATTTACTGAGGAAGGATTTTATTAAAAAAATTTTTTTTCCCAGTTAGATGGTTTTGCTTGAAATACTGCAGGAACATGGTCTGCTGTTTTAATACCTGCTAGCCATGTTGTTTGCGTTGAAATCATTCATATGTAAAAGCTTTAGAGGAATTCTTGTTTTAATCTTTCGGCAAACAATTGCTTGTCAATGTGTTTGAACATACATCATCTCTGTTTTTATTGAAGATCTTTTGGGGTTATAGTTGTTTCCTTAAACATATTTGCTGTGGAAACTTTGCTATTTCTTATGGTCACATAACATAAAGGTTAAGATCTAATATTTCTATCATTTGGTTTGGGCCGCATCTCTAAGAAAAGATGTCAGTGAAGTTGTACATTGTCAAAACTGATTCCATTAACCCGTGAATACTTGTCTCTTTACATTTTTTAATGTAAAATTATTTGGTTATAGCTTGGACAGAGCACAACACCGATTTAATAAAACTTAGTTTCCCTCGATATTAAAGTGGGGCACTTCTCTGCATCTTGCCATTCCTGTCAAGATGGCAAATACTTGACGTCTTTTATCAAATAACTTTACAGAATGTAAGAAAATATTTTGGCTGGGCTGAAATTGGAGCATGGAAGAATGGTTGTCTGTAGAATGATGTGGCCCCATGAACCTGCTTTGCAGAGCACTAGTGTGTGATTAAGGTCTTTTTCATGCATGCCTTACTCCCACTAATTACTAAACATGTAACAGCGTCTGTACAGCTTGATGTGCTTTATTTTTCAGGTGCTTTTTGTGGGGATAACTGGCATGTGAATCACTTATTCCAGGAGCAGGAGTCACATTGGGCTTCACTTTTGTACAATGTGTTGTTAATAGAGAGTGAGAGCATTTTCTTGGAGGGTTTGGCTTTAGGAGCAGTGTGATTTAGTTTGCCTGTTGCATTGATGTATGCAAGTTTTCCTTTCAGCTATTGTCCTTTCTCTGCTTTTGTGTTACTTTTAGAGGTTGCTTAGTGCATTGTCAGTTCTCTTCAGTCAAGAAGCAACAGTTCTTTGACCAAAATTTCATGGCCACATCATTAATCTCCCATTTAATGGATGTAGTTTTATGTGTGTGTTTGCACCCTTCTATTTCAGAGTAAAAGGAATTTACTTAACTTGTTTATACCACTTGCCATATTTAAGAGGATCGTCAGTGGTTCTTTATCTTGTGAGATGGGATGTGGTAGAGGGTTGCCTTCAGGAGAGTAAAAAGGAAAAGGCATTTTGCATTTTATAATGGCACCATCCAGTTGAGCGGTCTACAGCTCTGTTTTAGCGTTGTTTTCTGATTTGAGACTGGTGGAATTTGGATATGCAGCTCTCTACAAAATCTGCAGTGAATGTTGCTGGGCTGGTGAAGATGCTTTATTATTTTTTTAATCACTCCCCTGCCCTCCTGTCTGCTCCTCTATGTAGGGATACTTAGTTTATTATGGGTCTTTGTTCATGTTGACTATTTTACAAGAGTGGTTCTTAGTTCTGGCTGAGAATAGAATCTGTTGCAGCACTTAAATAGAAAGGCCGAGGCACTGCTGGACCTGCTGAAGAAGACTCCCTGGGGAGGACACAAGAAGTCATAGTTTTAGAAGAACCACAAGTGATCACGTGGGAACCCCACGCTTGAGAACTGGATTTCAGGCTTATTCCACTTGGAGAGGAATATTAGATTTGTGTTCTTAATAAATATGATGGCAGAATTGGGAAAGGAATGATCTGGTACCATTAAGTTTGGCCCCTGGATAATACCATAACAAAATGACTTTACCTTGGAAGCATGAGTGTCTAAAAGTACCTCAGGTGTACTCAAGGGTATGCACTAATGGTACTCCATGTTTTCTGTTTTTTTTGGTTGTTGTTGTTGTTTTTTTTGTTTTGTTTTGTTTTGTTTGTTTTTTGAGCTCAAGTATTAATCTCATTCTGAAAGAATTCGCAAATTCAAAACAGTGTTCAATAAATGTAGCCCACTTCTCTTTGCCTTTTATGGGATACAAATAATGTTTATGTTGCGTGTGAAAGGTATAATAATTCTGTTTAATTCTGAAGTGATTCTATTAAATAGGCTTGAGGAAACATAACTGGGATTATGAGTGGTGTTGGGATAAGTGATCTGTAATGTCCCTCTAATGCTAAGATTTTGTGGTTTAAGAATGGTAATATTCAATATTTAGATACCTACAAATGAGGAGATTCGTTTGTGTGGGGCCAGGGTACCATTATAGACACATTAATAGATTGTATACTTGCATTTGTGGGCTGTGTGGGTGTGTGGGTAGAGAGAGAGTGTACTTTATATGCTTATTAATGGGTGGCAATCTAATTGTAAAAATAGCTTTTTTTTTTTTTCATTTTATCCATAAACTTAATGGAATTCTGGTTTAAAAGAAACTCAGTGGGAGGCCGAGGTGGCGGATCATGAGGTCAGGAGATCGCGACCATCCTGGCTAACATGGTGAAACCCCATCTCTACTAAAAAATACAAAAAAAAATTAGCCGGGCGTGGTGGCGGGCGCCTGTAGTCCCAGCTACTCAGGAGGCCGAGGCAGGAGAATGGCGTCAACCCGGGAGGTGGAGCTTGCAGTGAGCCAAGTTCGCGCCACTGCACTCCAGCCTGGGCGACAGAGCGAGACTCCATCTCAAAAAAAAAAAAAAGAAACTCAGTGGGATTTTTCTGAGGGGAAAGTTGAGTAAAATTGATCTAAGAAAAGTATAAATGTGTTTGAGTAGTCAAAAAAAACTTTGAAGAATGTTGAGACTTACCTGATCAGGAAGTGGATGTGCTATAATGTGTCAATAATTAGACCAATGTGCAGAGAAATTAAGCAGATAGTTCGCAAAGGAGAATAAAGAGTCTGTACATATATTGATATGTTAGTGAGAATTTAGTACATAGTAAAGGTGGCATTGCTAATCAGTGGATAGAAAAAGAATTATTTAACATGATATTAGCAGTTGACTATCCATTTGGAAAAAAAAATGAATCTCTACCTTAGGTAAACAGAAATGCTAAAAGAATGAAAGGTGTAAACATAAAATGTTAAACTGTAAAAACACTAGGGTGATTATTTTTTATAATGTTGCAGTGGGCAAGACCCTTTGGTACCATCAAGGAAAAGAAGGAGCAGATTTAACCACATGAAGTTGCCTCACCTGGTTTCTTCCCTTCTCCCTCCTCCCATCTGAAAAATCCAGAAATACTTGCTTAGCTGTGAGGGTAAGTGGGTTAAATTGAGACAGAGATACTTCCTCCAGGAGAATGAATAAGAAGAGAACATCTCTAAAGATTTATTTCTTGTTTTTGAGTGAACAGTAACCCTAAAAACTTGACATTTATGGTAAATTTTCAAGGGAAGGGGATGAAAAAATGGCATGCTTTGGAGCGAAATTGCAACTGGGGATGCAGCATAGTATTTCCAGAAGGATCCAGAAACAAAGTGTCAAAATCTGTATTGTAAGAAGGCTGGTGCTCCTGAAATCTAGCAGGCAGGTGCTTACTAGAAGTCACAAGTTGTTCATTTCTGTCTTCAACATCATTTGATACTATAGACTTATTCATAAGGTCAATTGCCTAGTCAGGCTTATGCAGTGGATAGATTCTGTAATGTTGGAAAGATTCTGTGGGATGGAAAGATTCTGTGGGATGCAAAAAGAAACTGTGTCTCTGATGTTGCCATTTTCACCCCAGGATGATTTGCTTTACAACGTGCTGTCTGCAAATAAGTTTGTGGTTAAAATTTTAGTTTACTCCCCATGATGTGCTATTCATCTAGTTTCTTCTCATCAGGAATTCTGGATTTCTTATTTGCCTCTTAAAAAGTAAAACTTATAAAAAATTTATGAAAATATAACCTCATTTAACAAGTTCATTGACTTTTGACTAATTGCCTAAAGACAATCCACTGCTTACCGCTATTGGAGATACTTAAGAAAAGCGCAGGACATAGCCTGGTATGAAGGGAATGACTGGTGGAATTAAGAAGTCAGGTTTCTCACTCTGCAAGTTACAAACAACCACTGGCCTCAGTTTCCTCATATTTATCAAACAAGCAGTTAAATGGATTGATCTTTAATGTCCCTTCAGTGTAAAAAAGTTCATTATGCTACAGGTATTTGTGCTTTGAAAATAGCTTTAAAGAGGGAATTTCAGATTCTGGTTTGATCACTTAATCTATTTTTAAAGCAAGTGTGTATGTCTCCTAGGTGCTGATTCGGAGTAGAGTTCTAAGTCCTGCCATGGATTGTTTTGACTTATTAAACAAATTCTCATTTTGTGTCACCTATGTATAGGGACATTTTGGAGATCTCATTAGTTAATGTTAAAATTTATGGCAGACTAAACCTACTGAGAAACTTGTGCTGACTTTATCAGCTAATTTTGTGAATTTGCAATTTCAGCTAAAATTAAACTATATTTTTCAGTAGTCTTTTTTTTGTAATCTGTTTAAAATTTTTAGTGGTAGATTAAGCTAAAGCAATATATGCGTATCTGTTTAAGCCAAGTATTTTGGTGGTTTTTCTGAATTGTTTACCAAGGTTAATTTCTTTTGTGGGGGGGGGGGGGGGTCAGAACCTTAAAATTACCTGCTGTAATTTGTTGTTTGAGATGTGTTCTTTAACTTTGAAAAGTTAGTGTTTGTAAAAAAAAAATTTTTTTAGTGATACCATCAGGTCACTTGAGCTCTTTTAGGAAATAATTCTGTTAAGTGAATTTTTTTGTTTGTTTAGATTAAGGTATAAGTTCTCTTTTGACACTAGTCGAATTTTTAGGAAAGATGGAATTTGCTGAGAGAATTCAGTGGATATTGTTACAGTGACATTAATATAGTTCTACATAAAATTCTACATGAGATTTTTCATTTCTGTATTTCTAATGTGGGTAGATCTTGGTATATTGTATTATTTTAATATAGCTCAAAACATACTACAGCACCCTATGGTATTTTACAGATTTCTAACAAAAAATTTCTTCTCATTGACCTCTTTTACTTTTGAAATATTAAACAAGTGGTTTAAAAAATAATTTTTGTTTTGAATGGAGTGTTTTTGTCTTCTTAGTTTAAATGAGGAAGCAATTTCTGTTTTATCTTGGTCACTGATTTAGAGCATGGACTGTGCTCATCATTCATTTCTAGGAAGAAATTAGAGTATTCATTTCACAGAGAGCTACATATTGTTTTCTTCACCACCCTCTTGGAGGAAAGGTAGGGTTGATAATTACGGTTTGCCCTGGCCACATGCTTTCACTCATGGGTAGGTGAGCTAAAACATTCATATCACCATGATGCTTCCTTTTCTTTCCGTCTTAAATAGACAGGACAAATGAGGAAAGGCAGCAGATTTGAGGAAGATGCCAAACCCATGGCTTGGGAAGCTTGCCAGTGAAGTTGAGCAGGCAGGGCAATCTAGAACTCAGGCCCCTCCAGAGGGCAGGTGCCTGACTTTCTCACTTCAGCTGTGTTTCTTCAAGTGTGGCAGAGACTCCTGTGTTAGGAGAGCCCACGGGGCCATTAACATGCGGATTCCAGGCCTTACTACAGACTCCAGGATCAGAGCCTCAGGGAGTTGGGCCAGGGAGTGTGTATTTTTGCTCAATTTTTATTATTGAAGCTTTGAAGCACACAGGGAAATAGAGCAGTATAATGAACACCTGTTACCATTCACTTGGCTTCAGTAATTTTTTTTCTAAAGAAACAGATTCTCACTCTGTTTCCCAGGCTGGAGTGCAGTGGCGTGAGTATAGCCCCCTGCAGCCTTGAACTTCTAGGCTCAAGCAGTTCCCTTGCCTATGCCTCCTGAGTAGCTGGGGCTTCAGGCGTGTGCCACCATGCTTTACTCGTTTAAAAAGATTTTTGTAGGCCAGGCGCTGTGGCTCACGTCTGTAATCCCAGCACTTTGGAGGCTGAGGTGGATGGATCACGAGGTCAGGAGATCGAGACCATCCTGGCTAACATGGTGTCTCTATTAAAAATACAAAAATTAGCCGGGCGTGGTGGCACGCGCCTGTAGTCCCAGCTACTCAGGAGGCTGAGGCAGCAGAATCGCTTGAACCCGGGAGGCGGAGGTTGCAGTGAGCCCAGATCGTGCCACTGCACTGCAGCCTCAGTGACAGAGCGAGACTCCACCTCACAAAAAAAAAAAATTTTTTTTGTAGAGATGGGGTCTTGCTATATTGCCCAGGCTGGTTTTGAACTCTTGGCCTCAATCAGTCCTCCTGCCTTGTCCTCCCAAGGATTATAGGCGTGAGTCGCTGTGCCTGGCCAGTTGTTAATATAGATATATTTATCTGTATGTGTGTGTATTTAACACATATCCTATCCTGATGTTGCACCTCTAAATACTTCACCTCAAATATGAAATGTTTAGAATCATTCTACAAAGCTACAATATTATTATTGCACCTAAGAAAATTAAGAGTATTTCCATAATTATCCTTAATTCGTAAAATCATCTAATAGCTGTTTTGTACTCAGATTTGCCTAGTTGTCCCCAGCAAATTTGCTTGTGGGTTTTTTCTCCCCTCCAATCAGGGACTTGATAAAAATTTATGAATTATATTGCTGTTTCTTTAGAATAGTCCCTCTCTGTTTTTTTTTTTTTTTTTCTCATGACATTGACTTTTTTCCAGTGTCCTGTCCATTTCTCTTGTCTGCTCATATTTTGCGTTTCCTGAGTGTCTCTTGCAGGTGTCGTTTGCACTCTGTATTTCTAGTAAACTTGAAGTTGCATCTAGGGGCTGAATTACATTCAGGCACAAATTTTTGTCAGAAGTACTGCTTTCTTCATGTTGGCATCATATCAGTAGGCGCCCCATACGTGTTTTGTCCCACTATTAGTGATGCTAAGTTTTATCCCTTGGTTAAGGTTGCGACTGCCAGATTTCTTTATATAAAGGTAGTTTTTCCCTTGGCAATCGGTAGGTAACTTGTGGGGTCATATGTTAGCAAAGTATCAGTGTCTCTTTTCCTAAATACCGTTTACCTTATGGTTTTAGTGTCTTTTGGGAATCCTTGCCGGAATCAATTATTAAGTAGTTGTTGTTGGTGGGTGTATGTGTTTTAAACAGGCTCCCTGGTAATTCTAACCTTTAAGGTTTGATAGCCACTGCTGTCCTATTAATAGAACTAGGAGCTGAGTTATCAGGTCTGTTGAATGGGTTGCCAGTAAACAGTTAATGAGTTTAAGCTTCGTGTTCATTTTAGAGAAACTAAGATCAATAAGGTGCCTCCTAAGGCCCCCTATGTCCTAGTTTAGTTGTTGGAGAGGACATGTGTGTGATACTTGCAGTAAACTTGAGGTGAGCCCTGCTAGTGTGTTAGAATGTATGACAAAAATCCAAGGAGAGTGGAGGAGGCGTAGAGAAATTACTAAGGAGGAAAGGAAACTATATTGAATATTCTGTTTATATATATAGTCTCACTTAATTTTCACAAGCATTTTGTGCCCATTTTACAGATGAAGAAGTGAGCTTAAAGTGATAAAGTAACCTATGGCACTGGTGGAGGAAACTTTTGAAGCCAGAGCTCACAGAGCTGTGGGCGGGACAGAATTAGTTTGCTTTACCTCTGGGACGTTGTTGTCTGGCTTATTGAAGATGGAGGAATGATATTCTTCAACCTCTGGGGCCTCTTGGTATATAAGCTGAGGTTCTTTGAGACCTCTGATGTCTAGTCTAATGTGTTAATATTAAACTCTGCAGAGCTTAGGGTAGGCTTGTAAGTCTTGTAGTTGATTGTAACTGCTGATGAATCAAACAGCTGAGTAATATTAATACCTCTGGGTCTGTGTCTTAGGACACAGTTTTCAGTACCTCACTCCATTCTCTTTCTCAGGGTAGATGCACCTTACAACCCCGTGACTTCCACATTACACAAAGGAATATGTAGGTTTGGCATACCCCACAGGTCCCATGTAAATACTGCACTCAAATATGTTGGTTCTCTGTTGACCTGTTGGAAACATTGAGAACAGCAGTTGTATCCCAAGGATATAAAGAAGCTGTTTTCTTTTCTTTTCTTTTATTTTCCTTTCTTTTCTTTTCCTTTCCTTTCTTTTCTTTTCTTTTTTCTTTTCTCTTTCTTTCTTTCTTTCTTTTCTTTCTTTCTTTCTTTTCTTTCTTTTCTTTCTTTCTTTTTTTTTGGGACAGTTTCACTCTTGTTGCCCAGGCTGGAGTGCGGTGGCGCGATCTCGGCTCACTGCAACCTCTGCCTCCTGAGTTCAAGTGATTCTTCTGCCTCAGCCTCCCACGTAGCTGGGATTACAGGCATGAGCCACCATACCCGTCTAATTTTTGTACTTTTAGTAGAGAAAGTGTTTCACCATGTTGGTCAGGCTGGTCTCGAACTGCTGACCTCAGGTGATCTGCCCTCCTTGGCCTCCCAAAGTGCTGGGATTACAGGCGTGAGCCACTGCACCCGTCCAAAGCAGCTGTTTTCAAACCTTGGCTGTGCATCAGAATCACTTGAGGAGCCAGGTATTTGAGATCTACCATAAGAGACTGTAATCCAAGAGATCTGGGATGGGCCCAAGAATCTATATATTTAAAAAATCTAGGTTTTCAGAAAGTTCCCTAAGCAGTACACAGACAGGGATGAGAAGCATAGTTGTACAGGCTGATTTCTGCCAATATCTATGAGTTAGTTATCAAGGAGAAGGAGCATATGTTAGAATTGCTTGGGAATTTGTTTTTTGTTTTTGGTAAACTTTTTATCACTAGGCATCTTAGATTTAGAGGGGCGGAATGGATAAAAGAAGGTCCTCAGGTGATTCTAATGGATTACCAGTATTTAAACAATCTGAATGGACCTTTTAGCTGGAGTGGCTTGGCAAAAAGTCTGTATTAACCAAAGAGTTGCTGTTGCCATATATTATGCCTGGATTTAGAATGCAGGAAAGACATTTAACATTAAAATTATGACATATAATTGAGGATTCCTTTGATCCAAAAGCTTCTTTCTTTGGAAGTTTGAAGTATTTCAAGGTCATTATTATGAACACAGATGATCCCCATTGGTGCTCAGAAGTGCCAGGTTAGAGGCATTTTATTATGCTTGGAAATTGATATTTCAATCCAGTGAATTTTGTGTCTCAAATTCAGAAATGTTATATTTGTTGTAATCAGTGCCAAGGATAAGATTCCTAAAAAGAAACTGGTGAATGAAAGAGGAGACATGACCTAATAGATACTGAGTGTCATTAGAGACAGGAAAGAAGGGAGCAGAGAAGAAAAATGGCCTACCTACATTTTGCTTGATAGATTCGTGGGGAGAACAGCCAGGAGAGGGGATGAGGGGGAGTTGGATGGTGTTTACTGGTAAGATATTAGTGTGGCACATCAGCAAGCATCCCTGCATCTGTGCACACTCAATACCTTCCCTTTGCACTCCACCTAGAAATGTACATGGGGATGCTGAGAAAATCCGAGAACCTTGTAACGGAGAAGCTCAGGGCCAGAAATCCTAGGAGAGGCTGGGCTGGCAGAGGTGGGGCCTGGGGTCTGTGGACTTGCACAGGGCAGGGAGGGTTAGATCCTCTGCTCGTTGGTGATTCCGCATCAAAATGAGCAGAACTCCAAATCTGTCATTTTGTTTGGTCGTAAGGAAGACAGCTTTTGAGTAGTCAACAGAAGAGTTAATAAATCACCCTACACTGTACATTTAAAAGATGCCACTTTGCCTTCAAAGCTGAAGAAAACTCTGAAGGAAAAGATGATGTCTTCCAAAAAGGAATTCTGTGTTCAAAGTTTAAGCAATCAAGTGGTTTTGGTTGGGCCTAGAGGGTGATGGTATATATGGCTGTGGGTTGGAAGGGAAGAGAAACTACAATAAAGGACTCATTACTCAGTTTGCAGATGAAACAAAAGTTGTCAAAACGAAGCTGAAGTTAGAGACAATCACATGATGAGTTTGGAAAAACAGAATTTGAATGTGTTTGTAGCATTTGTGGACTGTGTTTGGGGCGTCCACTATTTGATAGGAACTGCATACTAATTTTTAGGTAGTTTCTGAGCTGTAATGTGGGAAAGGGTTGGTGTGTACCCAAGCAGGCCTTTATGATTAAATGTGATATGTGTCAGGCATGTTACCTGGTTTTGGATGGGGTCTGATGAGGTTGAAGTGTATTTTTTTGCTTATTGCTTGGCATTTCAACTCACTATCTCAAATTAGCGATGGGCTCATACCTACTGTAATGTGATACACACATTCCTGAAAAACCTCTCATTCTGCAAAATCATACACTAAAAATAACAGGGCTGTAGAAAAAAAAACAGGATTAAGGCCAGACTACTTAAAACTATGTAACTTTGTAAGTGGAACTTTAACAAAAGCAATGACAGTTGAAGTAAAAATACAGGGAGGCTTAACTCTTCCTTGAAACTTGCGCTCAGCATTATACTCAGATGATTGTAGGGGCCTTATTTTATCCTGGGACATGTTCATCCTGGGTTATGTAGATTCATTCTTGGAGATGTTAGTTTATTCTGCAGGCCAGTTTCACTAGAATTAAAGCTCTGTTTCAGAGTGTAGCCTTCATGTGCCCCCACACCATCATTGAGTGATGGAGAGCCCAGCAGATACTGAGGTGACTAAACCAGCCACCCCCATGCCCACTGCTTGCACAAAAGGAAGGTGCTTTGATATGATTGATTTTTCTTAGGGTTGTTTTCTTTTTTGTTGTTTTTTTCTAAGTCTTTCTCATTATTTGTGAAAAAATCTTGGCCCTCAATAGCTTCAAAACGTTAACATGCTGGGAAGAACCACTCGTGAACCAACACTCCTTCTCCATGATACTGTTGTCATTCCCATTTTGCCAGTCATGTGGGAAGGAATCCATGTCCCGGAGACATGTGTTGCAGCAGTTCTGACATGTTTTTGAACCAGCGATGGTGTCACGATGCAGCTTTTGAGAATGTCAAGTTTCAGTTGCATTGGGAAGTTCTTGTTTGGGAGATATCCTATAGTGTTTCAAGGTTAAGTGACATTTCTTACCTTTCTTATGCTTTGTTGGCCCTTGTCTACAATAAAGAACTGAAGTGGAGCTATTTTTGTCCACTTTTACATTCTGCCTCCAAAACCTAGCCATAGGGTGGGATGCTATAATTTCTTGATGCAGCATTGGTATTTGAACAACACACATGAAGCAGGAATGGTTTTACATTTTGGTTCATTTGAAATATGGTTATAGTGAGGTTTTAAATAAATCATCTGAGCTACAGTAAACAAAAAAAGAGCAACACTAGCCAGTTGTCAAGGAAAAGACTGATGGGTAGAATAAACAGACTGCTTTCTGCAGTCTAAACAATCTGTTTTCATGGTTTTTTTCTCTTTCTTTTTGAAGGGTGATTGGGAGAACTTCCAAATTAAGTAGAAGTTAGTTAAATATGAGAGGCAGTAAATCCACAATGCGTATGTTAGTGATTATTACAGCCTGTTTTCTCAATAGCTCTAATAACAACAATGTCAGTGACTGAACACAGTAGAACAGTATTGTTTGTCGTGGGGTGGTATGGCTGGTGGTGGCTTCGACATCCTCAGGGCTCAACACCTCAGCATTCAGTCAGAGAAAGGAAAGAAAGTATAGAGAAAGTATAACTGTTTCTTAAAAACTCTAGCTTGGGCCAGGCGTGGTGTCTCATGCCTGTAATCTCACCACTTTGCAAGGCCAAGGTGGGAAGATCACTTGAGTCCAGGAGTTTGAGACCAACCTGGGCAATGTAGGCAGACCCTGTCTCTACAAAAATTAAAAATAGATGAGCTGGATGTGGTGTGGCACACCTGTGGTTCCCAGCTAGTTGGGAGGCTGAGATGGGAAGACTACTTGAGCCCAGGAGGTTGAGGCTGCAGGGGCCTGTGATTGTGCCACTGCAGCCTGGATAACGGAGCAAGACTCTCTCTCTGTCTCTCAAAGCCCTGGTTTGAAGTGAAGTGAAACACATCACTTCCACTCACATGCCATTGTGAAGAACTAGCCGTGGACCATACCTAGATCAAGGGTGGCTGGGCAACACCTTCACATCACAGGAGAGGTAGACTGCATTTTGGTGGATAGAGACTCAAAGAATTCTGTGTAGATCAGGTACCTTCCAGATTAAAGTGGGATGGGGATGGGGGGGCATGAATGTGTCTATGTGTGTGTATGTATAAAAAAAAATGCTATTGATTGCAGAGTACAAGAGACGATTTCCCTTTAAAACTTTGATTTCTGTTTTGATTCGGGACTTGGCAAGCTTTTTCTGTAAAGAAGTATTTTAAGATGTGTAGCCACAGAAGGCCTCTGATGCACAGTCCCCTCGAAAAATATAAAAAGCATTCTTAGTCTGAGGGTGGTACAGAAATAGCCCAAGCCCTGTTTCCATCGATCAGCTCAAACAGGTAACTATTTAAATTAGCTTTTAAAAATAGTTGTGAAGTTTAATGAAGAGTGAGTCATACTAAATACACTAAACTATCTTGAAATTATACAACTGGAGTTTTAAATAATTTTTCTTTAGATGATATTTCATTGAGGTAAAAATGGCCTTCAGGGACTCAATGAAAAGTATTGTAGCCATGTGCCCAAGACTCATCAGTGTTTCAGGTCTTAAGGAAAAGTTCATCTGGTTGAGGAAAGATTGGATCTTGGTTTGTGAGCACAGCTAATGTACTCTTTCAAAATCATGTCCCATCATTGGAGACTTTATTGGGTGCCATCTCCCAGGAAACTATCCCTAAAAGTGACTACTGATTCTCATCTGTTGAATATATAGATCACCAAATAGATATTTAAAAAATGTGAAAAATTGTACGTACATTTAGAAATTTACTCTAAAACCCCATACAGTAAATCTTCAATGTCATCAGTGAGTTCTTAGAAACTGCAATTTGAAGTGAAACTACGTATATGGAAACCAGTTTTCCCATAGGCTAATTGATACAAACAAGATTAAGTTTCTGTGGCATATTTCTGTTCACAAAAACACCACCAAACTTTTAAGTAAAGACCAAAACACTTCTAGCATTAAACGTTGAAATAAATGTGAGCCATACCTATATTTAAGAAAGATTAATGCAACGTGAGATAATTCTTACCCACTTATTCCACCTGGTCACAGGTGGTCAGAGCCTATCCTAGGAGCTCAGGGCACACGGCGGGCACCAGTCCTGGACAGGGTGCCATCCCATCACAGGGCACACTCACACTCACACCCGCACCCATGTCCTTAGACTGGGACCAGGTAAATGCGTTAATAAACCTAATGTGCCCAGCTTTGTCTGGGAGGAAACCCAGGTACCCAGAGAGAAAAACCACCAGACAGTGGCCCGGTTGGGAATGGATTTTTCTTATCAACTGTGTAACTAAATGATGGTCAGTGAAACGATGTTATTTGAGGATGTGCTGTATACTAAAATATATGGAATTCTATTTGGTTTGTGTGTTAGTAACCCCTGGGGATGGATTCAGATGATCTGAAAATTCCTTATTGAGGCTGTGCATGGTGGCTCACACCTGTATTCCCAGCACTTTGGGAGGCTGAGGCGGGTTGATTGCATGAGCCCAGGAGTTTGAGACCAGCCTGGACAACATAGTGAATTCCCGTATCTACAAAAGTGAAAAAAAACTATAGAAATTCCTTATAAAGGTGTTAAATATCTAAATATGACTTAAATGTAAAACCAAACCAGAAATGTTTTCATCGAAACAGGTCAGTATGTTTTGTAAGTTCTTATAGAAAACCATAAAATATTTAAAAAACAGAAATCTACCATTCTAGCCTTGAAGTTTCTAACAGTCAGCTGTCTTAAAATACCTGTTCAGTTAGTTCCAAGTGTTAAGTTACATTTTCTGACATTCTTAATGGGCTTTTAAAAATTAGGTTACTAATAAATGTAATATAAGTGTGTGTGTGTGTGTGTGTGTGTGTATGTGTGTATATATATATATAAAATATGTATTTATTTAGAGGCTATTTAATAATTTAAAAGCTCCTTTACATAGTATCTCCACCAGTTGAGACTGTACCAGGGGTCTGCATGAGGGCTCTTGTTTCTTCTTAAAAAGCCAAAATCTGTGACCTGTGTGGCTAATAAGTAATTATTATCTTCTCAGACTATTGTACTTGAGAGATTAAACTGCAAATTATAATTAGAATAAAACTATACTCTGAAACCTTTAACAGACTCTGTATGGTGGTAGAGGTCAAATATACACTATGTATGAGATAATTTTTTTGTCTAGCTGATCTTATTAATAGAGTTTTAACACTTTTCGTTATATTTGCTTATATTATCTGGTGCCGGCTCAGTCTTGCCCTTACAGTGGAATCATCTGTTGTAGCCGGGGGATATTATTGCCCAGACTACAGACAGTCCTGACTTGTTGGCATTGTATAAAGCATGCTCCAGATAAACACTACTATGTACATTGCTTCCAAAAGTTCATAGTACTGCAAATGTTATAACCCTTATGCTGTGTTTAAACCCTTATTCCTGAGCCTTTCCGCTTCATGAGCCCACTTGGCCAGACTTTCCAAAAACCGTATTTAGGGGCCTTATAGTAATATTAATCAACACAGATCTTAGGACCTCTTTTCAAGATCAAATAAAAAATGAATTGGTTAACCTCACATTGTAGTTTATTTTGACTAGCACAGATGTAATCTTAAATAATTTTTAAAAATCCAGAAAATAAGCCAGGTGTGCTGGCTCATACCTGTAATCCCAGCACTTTGGGATGCTGAGGTGGGAGGATCACTTGAGGCCAGGAGTTCAAGACCAGCTTGAGCCCAGCATGGTGGGACCCTATGTCTTCAAAAAGTTAAAAAAAAAAAAAAACTAGACAGGTGTGGTGGCGCATGCCTGTAGTCCCATCTACTTGAGAGGCTAAGGAAGAGAATCACTGGAGCCCAGGACTTTGAGGCTGCAGTGAGCTACACAAGACAATAAGTGCTAACAGGTATGTGGAGAAATTGGAACCCTTGTGCAATGATGATAGGAATGTGGAATGGGGCAGCTGCTGTGGAAAGCAATATAATGATTCTTCAAAAAAGTAAACATGGAATTACCACATGATCCAGCAGTTTCAATTCGGGCTGTATATCCAAAAGAAAGGAGGGTCTCAAGGAGATATTTGTACAGCCACATTCATAGCAGCACTATTCACAGTAACCAAAAGCGGAAGCAACCTAAGCCTTCATCAACACAAGTGAATAAACAAAATGGATACAAGACGCATTCAAAGGAATGTTTCAGCCTCAAAAAAAAGGCAATTCTAACACATGCTGCAACATGGATGAACCTGGAGGACATTCTGCAAAGTGAAATAAGGCCACCATAAAAGGACAAACACTATGTGATTCCACTTACAAAAGGGCCGTGGAGGAGTCAAGTTCATAGAGACATAGTAGAAAGGGGGCTGCCAGGGGCTGGGGCGAGGGGATACGTGGAGTTACTGTTAATATGGCACAGAGTTCCAGTTTTACAAGATAAAAACTTGCAGAAATGACTGATGATGCATTGTGAATGTATTTAATGCCACTGAACTGTACACTTGAAAATGGCTCAGATGGTAAATTTTGTTGTATATACTTTGCCACAATTAAAACAGTTTTTACAAATACTCTAGATGTTTTTATTTCTTGCTAGCTCTACTACAACTTGAAACACACAAATGAACGAACAAACAAAATCTTTTTCTCTTCCTCACTTAGGACTGTTGCCCAACTTAAAAAACAAAACCACTGCTAATATATCCACACAGGTGACCCATCTGACTTCAAGATATGCCTCTTATCAGTGTCCTGGCCACGCTGACCAGCTGAGGACCAGTCTCAGATGTCACCTAAAAATACTTTAAAACTGATTACTTGCACTTCTACAGCACAGTATGACCATGACCAGGTACAAAGTTAGTCCTGGTGTTAATGCGCCACAGTGATGCCTGTAATGACAGGGTTTAAAAAGACAACCCCAGTCTCATTAAGGCTGAAATTATTCCAATAAAGGACCTGTGTGGTATTTTAAGTCAGAAGAGTGCTCTTTCAAATTCCCCATCCTACGACGTCACCTGTGGTCATGGGGCTCACCACCACCTTATAGCAAGGTCAACAGCCTGGTCCTCCCTTTTGGAGCCCAAGTCCCTAGCCCTGCCATGGACCAGTTAACTTGGGCAAGGTATTTACTCTAAAACCCTATACTGTAAATAGTGTTTATTTTGGTTAGAAAGATGAGGAACAAACTGGGCGTGGTGGCTCATGCCTGTAATCCCAGCACTTTGGGAAGCGAGCGGATCGCTTGAGTGTGGGAGTTCAAGACCAGCCTGGGCAACATGGTGATACTGAGACTGAGATGGGAGTGTGGCTTGAGCCTGGAAGGCGGAGGTTTCAGGGAGCTGAGATCTCGCCACTGCACTCCAACCTGGGCAACAGAGCCAGACCCTGTCTCCAAGAGAAAAAAAAAAATCAGGAACAGCTTTGTGGAAGAAGATACTATGTCATAGGGTTGTTTTGAGTTAAGAATTAATACATGCCAAGTCTCAGAATAGTGCTTGATGCATATAGTAAGTACGTACTGAATGTTAGATATTAACAGCTTTTTCTGCCTGGCTCACTACCTGCCCACAGTGTTGAAGATTTGACTTGGCATTGATGAGGTTCTTCCTCACCAAATTTTCTTCCTTTATATACCTTATCTATTCCTCTTTCCACATATATAAATATACAAAACAAACCTTGCTTATGTGTTCAAAATATTAATAAATTCTCCAAATAAAGGTCTAACAATGTTAAAGCAAGTTACAAATATGTCCCTATGAAATAATTGTTCTCATTGTTGAGTGGAACCAGAAGAAAACTATAGTCACTTTGTAATCTAGTTTTAGGTTGATAATATGCTTGTATAAAAAGGCGATCCATATTCAAGAATAAAATTAGGCAAGCATGTCATCTGAAATACAGTCTGTCTAAAAGTCAAAACATTGTCTAGCACCAAAGAATCTAAAAATGCTTATATAAGTTTTTAAGAAAAAATTTCATTATGAAATATCATACATATGTAAGCTTTTGACTGAAAAACGTTCACCACTCTTCAGTTGATGAAGAAAATATTGAGTATAAATTGTTTATACAACAACCCTTTAAAATCCCCTCACCAAAGATGGACATTAACCAACCATTTCTCATCCTTTCCAAGCAACATTACCAACAAGTCTTAGTGCACTTGTTACTCTCAGGTCAAAGACCTTTTTTGGTTCCTCTTCATTCATAGAATACATCCCAAACTTTTAAACAAAAAGTATGAAGCCTTGTGGGTCCAGAAGACTTCTAACCCTGTATGTCATTATTGTATTGTGTTTTAGCCCTGACTTTCATAATGAATTGTTACAACATTTTATTATTTTTATATTTTAGAGACAAGGTCTTGCTCAGTTGCTCAGGCTGTAGTGCAATAACATGATCATAATGCACTGCAGCCTTGAACTCCTGGGCTGGTGTGCTCCTCCTGCCTCAGCCTCCCGAGAAGCTGGGACTACAGGTGCAGGCCACCACACCTGGCTAATTTTTATATTTTTTTTGTGGAGTTGGGGTCTCAATGTGTTGCCCAGGCTGGGCTTGAACTCCTGGGCCCAAGCATTCCTCCCACCTGGGCTTTGCAAAGCCCTGGGATTGCAGGTGTGAGCCACTGTGCCGTCCAGTCATGACAACTTTGTATTTCAACCAAATCCTTCTCCTGCCCTGTACTATTTGTCTCCATGCTGTTGCACATGCTGTTTCCTTTACTTGTTCTCCACCAGGGATGATTTTGCTTCCCCCACCCTTGCAGGGTATGTGGCATGTCTAGGGACTGGTTGTCACAGCTGGAGGGGTGCTACTGGCATCTAGTTGGTAGAGGCCAAGGGTGATACTAAACTTACTATGATACAAGGAGAGGCTCTCACCACAAAGAATTTTTTAGTCCAAACATTCCTTGTGCCATGGTTAAGAAACCTGACCTGGACAGTCATTTCCCCTGTTCTTTGTTCAGGTTCCAGCCATTCTTTATGCTCTCTTGTTACCTCTTCTGTGAAAGCTGGTTCTGTTCATTCCATCCAGATAATCACTTTTGACTTTGAATTTTCCCAGACAAAGCACTTTTGTTACTTAATACCTTTTATTATTTTTATTTTTAATTTTTTTTGAGACAGGGTCTCAGTCTGTCGCCCATGCTGGAGTGCAGTGGTGCTTATCATAGCTCACTGCAACCTCAACCTCCCAGGCTCAAACAGTTCTCCCACCTCAGCCTCCCAAGTAGCTGGGACTACAGGTTTGTGCCACCATGCCCAGCTGTTTTTTATTTTTTTGCTTTTTGTGAAGATGGGGTCTCGCCATGTTGCCCAGGCTGGTCTTGAACTCCTGGGCTTGAGCAATTCCCCTACATCGGCCTCCCAAAGTGCTGAGATTACTGGCATGAGCCAGTGTGCCGGGCTACTTTTTAAAAAGTCCTGTTTATAATCTGTTTTCTCCCTTGGTAAACTCCTTTAAGGTAGGCTCCGTATTGATTGATCTTTGTCTCCTGCACAGTAATTTGTATATGGTGGAGAGCATTATCTTTCTGGGTGAACAAACAGTGTGAAAGTCCTGCAGTGTTGACACCGAGCAGTTGGGCCAAGAGCACCTGAATGATGGTTGGTGAGGACATTGGAAGGTGGAGGAGTCCCCTGATGAAACCTGAGTTGGGCTTCTGTTGAAGGGTAGGACTGAAACTCTGGTGTTTTGAGGGAGGAGAGACAAGGCTATGTAACTATAAAGAAACGTACTTGTGGACACACACACATGTGCATATCAGGGAAGTATTTAATTCTGATAGTACCTTGAGAATAGCCTCAGCCAACCTGGAGGGACTGGTGGCTCAGATGGTGGTTTTAATCTCTTGACTTTGAAATGTTAGGTGGACTGAAAGTATGTAGAGGTTTATTTTAATCTGTCTTTTCTGTATGGTGGCTAAAGTCCAGTATTACCCACTAGAAAATTGTCAGTTAACAGTTACCTAAAGGAATCTACGTGTGTGACAGCTGTCCACCTTGCAGTGGGTCTTCTAGCCAGATGCTTGTTCTTTTTGGGTGACTATACTCGTTTGGTGCTCACAGAACCGAAACCAATCAAAATGAATTAAAAGAAGAGGGCTGGGTGTGATGACTCATGCTTGTAATACCAGCACTTTGGGAGGCTGATGCGGGAGGATTGCTTGAGGCTGAGAGTTCGAGACAAGCCTGGTAACATGGGAGACCCTAGCTCTCCAAAAAAAAAAAAAAAAAAGAAAAAGAAAATTAGCCAGGTGTGGTCGTGTATGCCTGTAGTTCTAGCTACTTGGGAGGCTGAGGCGGGAAGATTATTTGAGCTTGGGAGACCGAGGCTGCAGTGAGCTGTGATTGTGCCACTGCACTCTACTCTCCAACCTGGGTGCCTGAGTGAGACCCTGTCTCTAAAAAAAAGAAAAAAGGGAAGAAGAGTTCACTTGATATTTTAGCAGCTAAGTGCTTTGTCATTGCTTTTGTGAGTTGTATATAGAGCCAACGTTACCTACCATATGTAAAATTAGAAATTTTCTGTTTGATCCAATCTTTCCTCCATCCCCCCGATATACATATATATATATATATTTATCTCTGTGTATATATATATATTTGTGTGTATGTGTATATATATATTTGTGTGTGTATATATATATATATTTGTGTGTGTGTGTAGTACATATATATATACATATATATATATATATATATATATATATTTACCTCTCAGATGTTTGGACTTAAAAATTTGGTGTGGTTTTATTAGTGATTTCTCCATGGTTAGGACATTTGGTGTCCTTTATTTTGAACCTCAATGTGCATGTACAAAAAGTTCTTTCTGGTTGGAATTCAGGTGGTGCTCTTTCATAGCCGCTTGATGACCGAAGCCACATAAGACTCATGAGATAATTCATTTTTAATACCTTATGTTTTTTGGCCCATTTGTAGTTTTTAAAGTTTCTTACTATTATTGATCCTTGAGGTTGCTACAGTTCCATCCGGAGCTGATTGTCTAGAGTAGACAGATTTGTTGTTGAGAGTGCAAAATGACTAGTTTGACTGGAATGCATATTTGCAGCCAGTTTTCAGTAATTTTACGCTTAGTAGTTTTCATTAAGATAAGCTGTTTCTCCATGGTGTGGTTTCGTGCCTCTTCTGCCTGGAGTTTGGAAGGCCCGGCTCCTACCCGGTCACTAGGCCCTGCACTCTGCTTTCTGTGCTGTGGCAATCTCCTGCCTCTGTTAGTAAACCAGGTGCGATGGGATCCGTTTTTTTGGTTGCAGTGGAGAAGGACCTCAGACTTCAGGCTTTCCATGTCAGAAAGGGGCTTAGGTGGAGCAGGACATAAGCTCACTGTGTGAGTTTTCTCCTGGGACTACCATCACAAAGTATTTAATCGCAGGAACTGGGTGGGGTTAAACAACAGAAATGTATTCTCTCAGAGCCTGAGGCTAGAAGTCTGCAGTCAATGCGTGAGCAGGGCACTGCTCCCCTGAGATTCTGAGCAGGACCATTCCATGCCCCTTCCTAGCTTCTGGGGTGGCAGTCAACCCTTGGGGTTCCTGGCTTGCAGCCGTCTAACCTCAGCATCTACCTCTGCTGTCACTGGTGTTTTCCCTCTGCGTGTATGTCCAAATTTTCCTCTCCTTATAAGGAAACCGGTCATGTTGGATTAAGGGCCTTGCCTATTCCATTATGACCTCACCTTAAGTTACTACATCTACAGTGACCCTATTTCCAAATTCGGTCATGTTCTGAATTTTTGGGGGAGGGGGTTAGGACTTCCATCTATCTTTTTGGGAGGGAGAATTGAGCCCATAACACTCATGGTCTTTTCTTAGCATAATGGGTTTTGAAACTCTTTTGTAGTTGACCCAGTGTCAGTATGACTAATAAAAAATGAAGGCAGTTTGCTTCCTTGAAGTTTGAGTGTAGGTAACCCTTAAGATAAGGACATTTTGTGTTTATGAAAATATACTGTAATGCAGGTCATAATGTTGGCAAATCTACAGCTTCGCTATAGGAGAGCAGGAAAGAGTCTTTGTAGCTGTGGGAGGTTACACAGCCTGTTGCACCTACCTGCGTGCCAAAGCCCGTAGAAGTGTGGTGTGCCCTCGTTTTCCATCATTTCAACCTGGCACATGGTGCTTTTTCTCCATTTCCTTAGTGCCATGGTCCCAGGCTTTGGAACAAGTTCTCAGATCCTTAGCTTCTCTATCTTTAGAGTGGACACTCTACCTCCCTAGCACAAGGTTTGGATGAGATGACATTGGCGTCCTGTCACCAGTGCATGCATGTTTGCCCTCTCCTCCCCACCTTCTCTTAGCATTGGCCACGCTGAAAGTGGTTGTCAGTGGCACTGCTGGATTCTGTTGCTCTGGTGGCAGGGGCATCTTGCTGCCAGGGTGCCAGACTTTGCCCAGCGTCCAGCTACCTAAAAGTCACCAGGAAGACAGCCAGAGGAGGTCTCCTGCTTGGATTTGGTGGCTTTGCGGGGTGGGGGTTTTCTTTGAGGAAGATACTGCAGATCTAGGGAGATGCCCTAACTGCTGATGGGGCCTAAGAGTCCTCGAGGCTGTGGCACCATGACACCCAGAGTGGCTGGGGCCGACTTCATCTGCCTCCCACCCTGTACTTGAGTAGTCTTAAAATTTTGGGGGATGAGGAATGCTGTGGAGCAGTATCTTAATATTTAGGAAAAGAATTTGATGTAAAATCTGGCTTGACATAATTTCTTTAAAAATATATACAAACGTTGCATAAAGGAATATTTTAATAAAAACACCAGTTAACCAGTGTATTTGAAACCATTTTTTCCCAAGTATTGGTGTCATGCTTAAGTTTTCTTTTAGGTGACTTTATTTTTGACATAGTACACGTAACAGATCTTCATTTACCATTTATTATATGAGACATACCACTTGACTCAGCTAAACCTCCGTTTCTGATTCTATAAATTGGAAATAAGAGTAACCATTTTACTCATCTTAGAAATGGTTATAAAGATCAAAACAAAGGATTTATGCATATGTTGGCCAATTCGAGGAGATAATTTCCTAGGGTTATTACAGTTGTGAGATTTTTCCGGTTTCAAAATGGGATAATTTGTAAAGGTGTTTTAAAGATGCTAAGCACAGGTCAGTGATGATCATGTCATTTTGGAAACATTCATTATACAAGCTGGGAACCTTGTAAAATGAGTTTCACAAGGTCATTTGCTTTACACCCACAGAGTAGTGTATATTGCAACTGATCAGATTCTTAGGGGTCAGAAATTAATATTAATTTGTCAGGCTTCAAATGTAAATCAGCATTTCCCTGTTTTTCTTTTGAGAAGACCAAAGTTGCTAACCTGTATTCTTGTTCTTGGATTATGCTGTTTGTAATAAAAAAAGATGGATCGTGATGAATGCTGATTAGCACCTTGGGGACTGTTGACGGACGGATGTGTAGTGTATTTTGGAAGGTATGGTGACCACGCTGAGGTATCACTGGGCTAGTAGGAGAAGGAAGCATAGTGTACGGGCTTTAAAAATCATATACTGCCTTCAGAATGAAGTAATTATCTTCAGGTAGATAATCAGAAATTAATTGTTTTTGAGGATTTACAGCAGAGAGACCTGAGGAGTAGATTTTGCAAACAGATTCTTTATTTTTCTTAACTTTTGATTGCATTTATTTTATGCGGAATTTATTCCTGTGCCGTAAGTTTTTATTTCTTCAGTTTCTTCTCAGGTATCTTTTTCTTCGGTGCAACCTCTTCTTCTGATTTAGGAACAATTTGTTCCTTTTCAGTAAGAATCATCTCGATGTGGCTGGGAGAGCCCACGTATGGGTTAGTCCAGCCATGAGCTCTGTAAGTCCGACGGTGCATCTTAGGTGCTTTATTTACCTCGAAATGCTCAATGGCCAGAGAATCTACATGGAAACCCTTAAGTTCAGCGTGACTTTCACCATTTTTAAGCACGTGCAGCAAAAGTTCACCTGTGTCCAGCCCCACTGTTTGGCCTGGGCACACCTACCGACTCTACCATTGTAACATCAGAATGATACCATTTCTGTAAAGTGACATCTTTCAGTTACCTGGTGGCTTTTCATATATGCAACCTCGATGGCCTGGGTAATGTCACAAGTGTTTGTAAAGTGAACATGAAGATTTAAACCTCTTGATTTCATGATTGTGTAGGGTTTTCTGGGTCAAGTGAGTAGTGAACCGTTTTCACAGATCACCTCAGGCCGCTTAGGGGAAGAGCAACAAGTTCTTTCAGTTTCCTCTCCCCTGTGATTTTATAAAGTAAATTTTCATGTACCTGTCCTAGAAAGAGGAAAAGGGAACCTAGTAATTCTAAATTACTGTGGAACTTTAGTTAAATACTGTCTTGTCCAGAAGGCAGACTTGGGGCATTTGAAAAGGTGAAGGGGTCCGTTGATCATCCGTTCTCTTGTGCTTCTCTGGTGCTGTGGATGAGATAATGAGAAGCCCTCTAGTATGTGCTCCCGAGACTCCAGGTGAGAGCTAGACTTGGAAAGTGCAAAGGGCAGGGCCTCTGTCCTGTAACTGAGCGTGACCTCTGGGTGGTTGGTAAGTAACCAGAGGAAGACACTTGGTGCTCTTTGTAACAGTCGCAGCCGCTTTGTTCCTTGCCTCACAGGAAAGAACAGAATGTCTAATTATAATAATCTTCTAATAATTACAATATTTTGTATTCATTTTCTTTTAAAAATCTGTTTGAGTAACTACTAGCCTTCAGAAGATGCTGGAAAATAGTATTTAGGCAGCAGCTGGCAGCTCCCAGTGTTGGAGTCGATGCGGTGCTCGGCTCGTAAAGATTTCATTAGCTGGACATACACTCTGATTTCCTTCTTGCTGCACAAGTACATTCTGTTGAGCAGCTGTTTTGGAAAGGGAGGTACAATAAACACTTCTGCACTTGTTTTAAATACGTGGGTTTTGTTGCAGTGTCGCTTGCCATCTGGAAGAGAGAGGAGTGAGTGACTTACTGCTTGAGAGGAAGGGTTTGGAATCTCCACGTGTGTTCCTAATGCAATTTGAGGTTCCCTCTCATTTTCATTCACTGAGAGGTGATAATCGGCAGCTGTAGTCATTTTGTTTTGTCAGAGCCTTAGCCAGTGTGTTGCATGAATTAATAGAATTAATAGAAATTAATCGAGTTGGACCTGATCAGTGGTGGTTTTATTTTTTAAAGCAAATGTACAAAGGAAATACATGATGTTGTCAACAAGTCAGAGAAAAGTACAGATATGCATAGAATAAATTGTGAAAGTACTCCCCTCATCCCAGAGCACCCGAGGGTAACCCCATCAGCAGTAAGTTGTCATGTTCTTCCCTCTTTTTTTCCCACTGTGTCCCGTCTAATAACTAGGTGTCCAAGTGATCTGTGAGCAGAATTCTTTATTCTAGTAGTGACTTGTGGGTGGGTACATACTGGCAGTCACACACTGGTTCTCTTGAGGCGGCAGTGGCATCAGGGAACTGGTGGGTGGGTTGTGAGCAGAAGAAAACCCTTAAACAGGACCACTGGCCAAAAAGGCTTGCTGTCCAGGTGTAATTGGAATCACAGTAACAACTGCTCCCTCACAGTGGGAGTTTCCCATGTACAGGACACCCAACGCTGTGCATGTGTGTCACTCACTGAACTCTCATGGTGACCCCATCTTACAGATGTGGAAACCCAAGCACACAGAAGTCAGCAGCTTGTCCAGCATCCTGCCGCGTAATAAAGAGATTCCAGTTTAGTCAGTCTGGCTCCAGAATCATGTTCTGACGATGCTGTGCCATCTTGTAGGAGCAGAACTCTGTTCTCTGGGAGCTGTTATGTATATATATGTATATGTATATATATATGTATATATATTTGTGCGTGTGTGTGTGTGTGTATATATATATATATATATTTTTTAAGGCGGAGTCTCGCTTTGTTGCCCAGGCTGGAGTGCAGTGGCACGATCTCAGCTCACTGCAAGCTCTGCCTCCTGGGTTCACGCCATTCTCCTGCCTCAGCCTCCTGAGTAGCTGGGAATACAGGCGCCCGCCACCACGCCCGGCTAATTTTTTTTTTTTTTGTATTTTTTAGTGGAGACGGGGTTTCACCGTGTTAGCCAGGATGGTCTCGATCTCCTGACCTCGTGATCCACCCGCCTCAGCCTCCCAAAGTGCTGGGATTACAGGCGTGAGCCACCGCGCCCGGCCGGAAGCTGTTATATTTTTAACTCATACCTTTTTGGCCCCCAAATCAGGTAAATGGAAATTATAGATCTGTTAATGGCTTAAATACCGGATAATAGATTTTATACAATTGATTGAATGTATAACTTGAAACAGTGTCGCCGCTGCCAGCCTGCCTGCAAGAATCTTTCTTGTGGTTTTGCTTTGTAAAAGTAAATGTTTTCCCCGTGAATCTTCTGTAGTGTTTTATTCTTGGTGTTTTTCTTTGGGGCCTGCATGCTTTCTGGCCTTTGCTCCTGCTGAGTAGGCAGACATATCTGGAGAAAACCATGGAGTAAAGGAAAAGCTTTGGAATTTAAAATTGATTTATGTGGAAGCTTTTTCTGTGGTTGAAAAAAAGTAAAGAAAAACCCTCCTTTCTACATTACCAATTCCCGGCAACAGTAAGCCAAACCTGTTGTATTTGGGAGCAGGCCTGGGTGCATGGAAACTGCTCAGAACAGGGAGGTCAATGCCATTATGATAATCCAGTGACTTCCATGGGAAGCCATCATTGAGAAAGGGTACTTGTGCAGATCTAAAATTTGGAACAAAACACCCTGAAGATGGCCAAACTGATATAACGTTATGTACCTTGGTGGAGTGTCTTGGTCTGTTTGTGTTGCTTTAAAGGAATACTAGAGACTGGGTAATTTTGTTTATTTATTTATTTTTGAGACAGGGTCTGTCGACCAGGCTGAAGTGCTGTGGCTTGATCATGGCTTGCCGCAGCCTCGACCTCCCAGGCTCAGGTGATCCTTCTACCTCAGCCTCCCGAGTAGCTGGGATTACAGGCGTGCACAATAATGCCACGCTAATTTTTGTATTTTTTGTAGAGATGGGTGTTCGCCATGTTGCCCAGGCTATCTCAAATTCCTGGGCTCAAGCAATCTGCTGGCCTCAGGCTCCCAACGTGCTGGGATTATAGGTCTGAGCCACTGTATCTGGCCTGAGACTGGGTAACTTTTTTTTTTTTCTTATTTTTTGACAGGGGATCTTGCTCTGTCACCCAATCTGGAGTGCAATGGCGTGATGTTGGCTCACTGCATACTGTGCCTCCCGGGTTCAAGCGATTCTTTTGCTTCAGCCTCCTGAGTAGCAGGGATTACAGGCACCTGCCACCACGGCTGGCTAAGTTTTGTATTTTTGGTAGAGATGGGGTTTCACCATGTTTGCCATGCTGGTGTTGAACTCCTGACCTCACATGGTCAGCCCACCTCAGCCTCCCAAAGTGCTGGGATTACAGGCGTGAGTCACTGCACCTGGCCCGAGACTGGGTAACTTTTAAAGGAAAAAAGTTCATTTGGTTCATGATTTTGCAGGTTGTACAAGAAGCACGGCCCTGGCGTCTGTTTCCAGTGAGGGCCTCAGGCTGCTTCCACTCATGGCAGAAGGCTAAGAGGGCTTGTGTGTGCAGAGATCACACGGCAAGAAGGAAAGCAGGAGAGAGCCAGAAGGGCTAGGCTCCTTTTAACAACCAGCTCCCGTGGGGACTAAGAGTAAGAATTCACTCCCTATCCCCAAGGGAATGAATCTATTCATGAGGCATCTGCCCCCATGACCCAAACACCTCCTGTCAGGCCCCAGTACTGGAGATGAAATTTCAACATGAGATTTGGAGGGGAAAAATATCCAAACTCTATAGCATGGAGTAATGGCATTGAGAGCTGCAACTCTTAATCTCTGGTAATTAGTGGTTAAGTAGACGACAGGATATTTTTCCTTGGGCATGTTTTGAACTCTGTGTGTGTGTGTGCAGTCGCACATGCGTGGGTGTGCACTTAATGATAAAAGCAGCACCATTTGTAATGGCAGTTCATGTTACAGAGTGCCTCATATACAGGTCGGCTGTGTGGTGGACCACACTTCAGCAGATCCTTTCTTTCTTAGCAGTTCTGTCCTTCTACCCAACCAGGCAGTTGACATTTGTGAAAACACAGAGTTTAGGATTTCAAGAACAAAGTATATAAAGATGGTGAAACATTTTCTCAGTTCTTTTTCATGATTTCTAAACTAGGAAGAGTCAAGAATTCAAGATTGCTAATCTAAATTCTGATGTTGGAGTAGTCATTTGTGAAGGGTGATAGAACAGAGTATCATTCTTAGTTACAACAGCAAAGGTTAATTACCTAGTTACCTAGTTCCTCTGTAAATTATTTAAAGCTCAGAATATTCTCCAACATTACAAAGACTTAAAAAGCAAAGGAGAATTTTGAGAATGTACTCCATGCACAGATGCTATTGTTGCGCCCCCTGAGATTTTGCTTCAGTACTTGAGATGTGTATCAGAATGTTGAAGGGCAGCAATGATGTGTAACAGTTTTATTAAGATATAATTAACGTACTACAAAATTTACCCACTTAGATTGTGCGATTGTTTTTTGTATCTTCACAGAGTTGTGCAACGATTACCACAAATGTGCTAATTTTAGCACATTTTTAATCCTACAAAAAAGAAACCCTGCATCCATTGTAGTCACTTCTCATTTTCCCTTTCCCAGCCCCTGGGAACTGCTAACCTGTAGTCTGTGTCTGTAGAGTTGCCTAGTCTGGACATTTCATTAATGAGTCATAGAATGTGGTCTTTTGTGATTAACTTCTTTTACTTTCACATAATGTTACAAGGTTCATCCATGGTATAGCCTGAATCAATACTTCACTCCTTTTTATGACTGACTAATATTCCATTGGATGGATCTACCACATTTTGTTCATCCTTTTAGTATTTGAGTTGGGAACATTTGGTTGTTCCCAGTATTTGACTTTTATGAACATAATAAGGCTGCTAGAATTCCTGTAACAAGGCTTTGTGTGGATGTGAGTCTTAATTTTTGTTGGATATATACCTAGGAGTGGAGCTGCTGGGTCTTATGATAATTCTGTGTTTAACTTTTTGAGGAGCTGCAAAGGGCAGCAATTTAGCACTCTGATTTATTCTTTTTTTCAGTACAAGACATTATCTAATAACCAGAAACTTGTTCAACTTAGATCTAACGTCAGATCCAGCTAGGAGTTGCAGACTTCCATTTTCAAGTCTCTCCAAGAGAAATTTTGTTTTATGTATGTCTATGAGATCACAATGACTGTCCCATCTCTCTCTCTCTTTTCCCCACTTTTTTATATTAAAAATTTATTGTAAAATATACGAACACAAAATATACCATTTTAATCATTTAAATTTTTATTGTGTTAAAATATATATAGTGTAAAATTTATCATTTTTACCATTTTTGCACTTGATCTTAGCCAAAAGGCAAAGAAACAGTTTAATCATTTTAAAGTGTACAGTTCACTGGCATGAGGTAGATTCACAGTGTTGTGCAATTATCACCACTGTCCATTTCCAGAACTTTTTCTTCATCCCTAGCAGAAACTCTGTACCCGTTAAATACTAACTTCCCATTTTCTCCTTTCTCCAGCCTCTGATAAACTGTATGCTAATTTCTCTCTGACTTTGCCTGTTTTAAGTGCCTCATGTAAGTGGAATTGTATGATATTTGTCCTTCTGTATCTGGCTTATTTAACTTAGCATAATGTTTTCAAGGTGTCCATGGTCTAACATATATCAGAGTTTTGTTCCTTTTTTTTAAGACCAAATAATATTCCATCCTGTAGATATTTACTACATTTTGTTTGTTGATTTCTAGCTTCAGTGCATCATGGTGGCAAAGTATACTGTTAGAGTGTCACCAATGCACCACAATGTAGCAGTCTCTCATTGTGAGGTAGCACCTGAAGTTCTTTGTCTCATGACTAAGAAAATTAAGGAGCATGGACACAAAGGGTGAGCTTGGAGCAAAAGTTTAAAAGTTTAATAAGCAAAAGAAGAAAGCTCTCTGCCTCAGAGAGGGTGCCTGGAAGAGGGTTGCCAACTATGAGGCTAGATTTGGGGTTTTTATGGACTGGGCAGGGAAGGAATGTGCTGACTGGTCTTGGAGAAAGCCTACTCAGCTTGGCCTGGGACCACTCAGGAGCTGAAGTGAAAGCTTGGTCCAGGACCTTGGCCTGGGACCTTGTCCTGGGACCAGTCAGAGGCTGAAGCGATGATTCATAGAGGCTTGGCAAACAGTCCAAATCATGTCCAAAAAAGGAAAGCAAAGTGCCCACAGGAACCCAACAGAGCCCACTGCGTACATGCCCACAGAAGGAAAAGAGACTATTTCCTGGAAGCCCACTGGTTATACAAAGAACAAAGGCATTTCTGGGTTGGGCCTTGTTCCTGTATCTGAGTGGGCTGGATGTTTGTGCGAGTTTTCTTATCTGTGCCTGCAGCCTGATTTTTCAGGCTGTTTCTCTTTTTAAAGGAGTTTTGCCAAGGACCTACCCTAACTACCTAACTTTCTCTATCAATACTTTGTATGACTTCAGTCTTTTTAAATTCATTGAGACTTGCTTTGTGGACAAACATAGTCTCTTCTGGAGAGTATTCCATGTAAACTTTAGAAGAATGTGTGTTCTGCTTTGTTTGAAAAAATGTTCTGTATATGTCTGTTAGATCTAGTTGGTTTATGTGTTGTACAAATTCTCTGTTTCCCTATTTATCTTTTGTCAAGTTCTTCTATCTGTTATTGAATAGGATGTATTGAAGTCTATTATTCTAGAGCTTTCTACGTCTCACTTTAGTTGTGTCAGTGCTTGCTTCCTATATTTTGGGACTCTATGTTTGGTGCATTTATGTTTATAATTATTATATCTCCGATTGAATTTATTCTTTAATCAAATATAGTATCCTTCTCAACTTCAACAACATATTGATATTAAGCATATTTAAGAAAGTTGCTTTGTAAAGTCTTTGTGTAGTAAGTACAATGTCTGGCCTTCTCAGGGACATGTTCTGTCAGTTAATTTCGTTCCTTTGAATGGGCTATACTTTTTCCTTATATGCCTTAGGATTTTGTTGCTGTTGAAAATGGGGTGTTTGAAAATTACAGTGTTGTGTCTCTGGAAATCAGAGTCTCCTCTTTCACCGAGGTTTGCTTTTTTTGTTGTTTTTGGTTTTATGTATCTCTTTTTTTTGTCAAGTGACTTTTCCCAACTATTTTTGTAGGGATTATATTCCTTGTCTTGTGTGGTCACTGAAGTCTCTGTTTCTTAGTTAATCTTCTGGTACTGTTTTTTTTGTGTGTGGTTTTTTTTTTTTTTTTTTTTAAGAGATGGGGTCTTACTCTGTCACCCAGGCTTGGCAGGAGCCACTGTGCCTAGCCTGGTAGTGTTTTGACAGAGATTTCCTTGAATGCCAGGAGCTAAAACAAATAAACAAACAAAAATACTTTTTCCAGTTTTTGCAGGTTGGCTCTTTGCTGGGGCCCTCCTTCAATAGTGAGCCAGACTTGTGTCTAGGCTAGTATTTAGCCTAAGGTGAAAAAGCTTAAGGTCTTCCTGGGTTTTATTCTGAGCATGTGTGTGGCTTTCTAATTTCACCCATATATATGGATGCTTTTGATTGCCCTAATTTCCTAAGGTAACTTTCTTCACGTCTTTTCTTCCCAGACCTCAGGTCATGTGTTGCATGTCTCATTTGTACTCTTTGACCCCAGGTGTCTGGATTGTTTTTGGGCAATGCCAACCACTTCCAGCCTGGATGAGTTTTGAGTTTTAAGCATGAACCTTGTCAAGTATCCCTGACAGGTTGGAATGGAGTCACTAAAAATTTATGAATGCGTTCTACTTGTTCCTATTGGAACCAGGGACCAGGGTCCCATTCTTGGAATATGGGCTGCCATCACACTGGGAGGAGATAGGGCAAAGGCAAATAAGAATGCCGTAAAGCTTTCCTATCCTTTGAAGTTCTTGATTCAGTGTTCAGTTGGTTGCTGTAAGCATTTCACTGTTTTCCAGAGTTCTGACAAAGTTAGTTCTGACAGTTGGTGCTTGTTTTTTGATGTTTTAGGTGCAGGGAGGTGTATGGGCACTTGGAATTGTCTACTCTGACATTTTTTCGACATCTCCCAGTCAGCCTTGTTCTCTTGCAGTAGTCCATTTAAAAACCCACAGAAGCCTTTCCTTCTACCACCGCCACACACGCTGCAGGCAACAGATGCCACCTTACTTGTCATACCCTCTTCCTGTATCTCCCTGGCAATCACCTCAATTTCTGTTGTATTTTTGGTATAGTTATTAGCTGAATACTAGTGTTAATATTTTCCCTATTAAATGTTAGGTTAAGCCGGGTGCGGTGGCTCACGCCTGTAATCTCAGCAGTTTTTGAGAGGTCGAGGCGGGTGGATCACCTGAGGTCACGAGTTCCAGACCAGCCTGGCCAACATGGTGAAGCCCCGTCTCTGCTAAAAACACAAAAATTAGCTTGGTGTGGTGGTGGGCACTTGTAATCCCAGCTACTTGGGAGGCTGAGGCAGGAGAATCGCTTGAACCTAGGAGGCAGAGGTTGCAGTGAGCCAAGGTCACGCCATGGCACTCCAGCCTGAGCGACAAGAGTGAAACTCCATCTCAAAAATAAATAAATAAATAAATATTAGATTAAATAAACATTAAATTAAATGCACTAAATATTAGATTTTTGAAAAATCTTTTGTGATGTCTTAGTCCATCAGGGCTGCTATAACAAAATCCCACCATAGACTAGGTTGTCTATAAGCAACGGCCCTTTATCTCTCACAGTTCTTGGGGGTTTGGTTTTAATGCATGAATTTAGCTGGGAAACAAACTTTCAGACCATAGCAGATGCCTTGTGATCTTCATGACACCTTGAGGCCACATTTTGGGATTTTTCCCCCACTGTGAACACGCAATCCTGAAATGACCCAAAGCAGCGATAAATATGATTTGGTTTATATACAACTTTATAGTAACATCTTCACTGGAAAATGAAGGATAGTTCAATGGTCTTTTTCCTCTTCAGTGAATAGTATGGCTGGCCAACATGGCAAAACCCCATCTCTGCAAAAAATACAAAAATTAGCTGGGCATGGTGGCATGCGCCTGTAAATCCCAGCTACTCGGGAGGCTGAGGCAGGAGATTTGCTTGAATCCAGGAGGTGGAGGTTGCAGTGAGCTGAGATCACACAACTGCACTCCAGTCTGGGTGACAGAGTGAGACTCCATCTCAAAAAAAAAAAAAACCCAAAAAACTATATATATATATATACATGAATGTATCCATCAAACAGTGGTCATTGCACGTGGCTTTTTCAGAACTTATGGTTCCTTCATGTAACGTGAGATATAGTATAGGACACAGTATATGCAGGAGAAGACAAGTTCTACCATTGTACGTGAGCTAGAAATGATCATCTCAACAAGAATTTCAGGCTCTTTGATGCAAGAATGTATGGTGTCTTTCTGGTGTTCCTTGGCCACTTCTGTCTTTGATGAATCATTTTGATACTGGATTGGGATTCACTGTTAATTTTTCAGGAGTACAGTCTAAGAGTTAATACACTGCATTTATTTTGAAGACTGAGTAGAGGAAAACTAGAAAAAGAGTTGCTAGTAAATTATAATTATGGTTTCTGCTAATCAAATAAGGATGCCGATGCCCAAGAGAGCATGCCATCTTCTTCATCATCCCTCATTGCCCTCACCTTGTGTGTCCAGGTTTAAACTGGAAATATCATTTGGTTAAAATTCTCCCTAAAACTAAAGAAGTACACCTGCAGTTCTTTGCTTAAAATAGCGATAGCCAGCTGGGCACTGTGGCTCATGCCCGTAATCCTAGCACTTTGGGAAGCCGAGGTGGGCAGATCATGAGGTCAGGAGTTCAAGACCAGCCTGGCCAACATGGTGAAACCCCATCTCTATTAAAAATACAAAAATTAGCTAGGTGTGGTGGTGCACACTTGTAATTCCAGCTACATGGGAGGCTGAGGCAGGAGAATCATTTGAACCTGGGAGGCGGAGGTTGCAGTGAGCCAAGATCGTGCCATTGCACTCCAGCCTGGGTGACAAAGCGACACTCTGTCTCAAAAAAAAAAAAAAAAAAAAAAAAAAAAAGGTGATAGCCTAGGGAATGGTTGTGTTACTCAGTATTGACATGCTGCTTCAGGGGATTTTCTTGGATTCAAGGCGTATCTTAACCCTGTTGGTACCTCTGGTTCTTTGGTGTACTTAAGCACATATCTCCTTTAAACCTCCTATTAGTAAGGTGAAGTGGGAAGGTAGGCAGGTGGGATGACCTTTGTTTCACAGATTTGTAAGCAAAGCTTTAGTGCCATTGTTTCTTAATTAAGTGATGGTGTTGGTATGGGAGACAGGTCTCAGGTATACAAGGCTAGGAGTGGTCTTGAGAATATTTTACATGTGACAAATGGATATTGAGAAATAGTTACATGGTTAGAGAAGAACAGTGTAGTTAGGAATTAATGGATGGAAAAGAAAAGGGGGATCCTAAGAATCAAAGACCCTCTCTGTTGTGGCATGTATGTTTGTGTGTATTTAGTTGTATCTGTCTGCGTGTGTTTGTTTATTGATTGTGTTTTGGCCACATAGCTTATAATGTAATGCTTTTGAAAGTGACAAAGCCATATATCTTTTAAGATAGGGACTTAAAACAAGAACCTCTTGAATTTTCACTTTATTTCATTCTTTTCTGCTTTTTTCCCTTTCGGATCTTTTATTTTCCCCACAGGAACCCATAGGGGAGAAGACTTAGAATAACGTAAATGCAGGGGCGATGAAACTGAGGAGAAAGGGCTAATGACAGCCCTGAGTAAGTGCTGGGAAAAGAGCCTGGACCCCAGGGGTGGAGAAAAGGAAAAAGTCTAGCGAGTACCTAAGTAATTGACCTCGTTCCTAGCATGGCTGCTATGCCACACAATTACAGAGTGTGATATTGTAAAGGATCAGAGAACTGTGGGCTCTGCTTGAGGCACTTTCAAACCTCACTGCTCTACCTGAATTGAAGCTGAAGCCCGTGGGATGATTGACTTCTGACTTTCTGGCAGTGAATAGGCAGACCCAGAAGGGAAGTGGGTAGGAAGTAGTGCTGGCCTGGCCCTGTTTATCTTCCCCACTGTAGGCAGGGGGATTGTACACTTGAAATCAGCATGAGAGTGGCCCCCCAAAACATGCTCACATTACTGTTTGGAAGCATGTGTCTGAAGTTAGCTACATAGCTGGGTTTGAGGGATGGTTGTCTTTGTGATGTCTCTCTCTACTTTTGGCCTGCGTGTATTTTCCAGTGAGGGCTGGGGCAGGGACCACAGAGAAGATTTAGAACAAAGTTAAGTTCCAACCCTTCATTTAGCCCTGTGACCTAGGTAGAACAAGCTACTCTACTCTCTTTGCCACAGTTCCTCAACTGTAAAATGTGATAACAATGATACATTTACCTCAGAGGAAGAAGAAATGAGTTTATGTGCTCAGGCAGTGCCTAGCACAAAGTCAGTGCGGTAGAAATGTGGTCTGGGGTAGCAGACCACGCAAACAACAAAGCAATGCGTTCTATTCCTCCTGAGTGTCTCGACCACATTCAGTGCATATTTTGTTATTCACTATTAGTTTTCTAAATGTTTGCCCTTAGACTTTGTTGTAGGACTTCATTTTGTCGTAGTTACCTATCTCCAGCGGATGCAGGGAAATAGTTACAGATGTGACGAAAGAAAGACATGGTGTATGCAGATTTGGTGGATTTTGTGAGCTTTTTGATTCTAGGTGAGGACTTGGGAAATGATAATGGTGACAAGAGATAAAGTCTCTGATGTGCCAGTCACATTTTCCCTGCAACAGTAATCATTTGTTAGAACTCAATGCAAATAGAAATATACTTGATAATACATTCTTCTGGGTAATATAAGCTGTGCAATGCTTATACTTTATGCAAAACTATATGTTTAAAATCTGCTCATGTTTAAAGAATGGTGATTATTACGACTGGCCCTCACAGAGCATGGTTTAATATTTTCTAACAATTTTTATTATTAAATTTGTGGATTTTATGATCATTTTAAATGGTGCTGATTTTATTCGAAAATAATTTTAGGTTTACTGTGGTATTATTTTATTAAATGGTTCTAGTTTCCTTGTTTTCCTGTACAAGTAGAACCAATTGGATAAAATAACCTGTTTCTCTTTAAAGAAGAGCTGTTTTCTTTTTCTGTAAGTGACATTTTTGCAGGCTCATGGTCCAAAACGATTAGCTAGACTGAGAATAAGGTAAGTGATGAATTAGCAAAAATTTCTGTGAACTCCTAAAACACTCTTACCTTGTAGCTATGCTAGGATAGGAATATTGGAGGTGACATCACTGTTAGTGGTAATGGCTTAAATTGAAACACTTCGGATTCTTACAAAGTTCTTTTTCTGGCTCCCAAGTGTCAGCCTGACAGACCGTCTTAAAACCTGGAGGTTCAGTGCCTTACTGGGTTAACCAGTAGGCCTTTTGTAAGAATGTTTAAAAATTTTTAGAAAGTCAGAAGTTGGACTGTTTTAAATAATCAAAATAACTAGTGAAGTTTCTCCTTTGTAATTTATGGAGAAGGAAATATGTTTTGTAATTTTTACCTGCCAAATTATTAAAATTTTCACTTTGCAATTTAGCTGCTTTTAAATGAAATTTGAAACAAAACTACCTGGTACTTGATTATAATTAAAAAAGAGAGTTTTTTGTTTGTTTTTTTGTTTTGTTTTGTTTTTCCTTCCACAATTGATCACGATTACTCTACTCTAGGTTGTGACCTTGGTGAATCTGATATCACCATTTGGAAAATTAAGGCCCTAAAGCTGGAGTGAGTTTGGGAGGCTGGAGTGTAGCTCTTCAGGGCCAAGGGGGAGAAGGCGGCTTTTCCTGGGTTTACTCTGTGGTGAGCAGATCAGTCCTTGTTTCATTTAAACAGCCCACGGGCAGCAACCACTTCTCCTCAACTTTCCCAGCTTTCTCTACCTTTAACTCTTGGATTATAGTTTCTTTGCTAATTCTTTTGAAAACATTTGGCTTCCTTTTACAATTAGGTGGGTCCCTGTGTAAGCAAATAAAAAGCTTTCTATCTTGGTCATATCACTTTATTTCTCTGGGTCACTTTTTTTACATATAAAATATGATGAAGTTGGATTGCTTTCTAGATGTAGAACTCTGTGAAGTGGGACGAGATGAGAAAAGGTCCTCTGGTGGGCCTTCCTCTTTTCTTTTTCTTTCTCATTTTGCTCAGTTCCTTGTATTCACTACAACCTGGGTAAGTAAGTAAAATTTATCTTTAGAAAGGCAAGCTAACCCTTCTTTCATTTCCGTCTTTTTCAGTGAAGCCAACCAGAATTTTGAGTTGCAGGTACCTGATGATATACTTCAGTAAATATTTTATAATTTTACAAATATATTAAATATTAAAATACCAATAATAAGAAAGTTTCTGTGATAGCTTCCAAAGTGATTGACTGACTAATCAGTAAGATTTACTAAGGACTTAAAATGCTCCCAACATAGTAAAGAACTATAGGAGCCACTGAAAGTGTTTACAGTATATGAGAAAGATGAAAACATCTGAAAGAAAGAACTGCCAGGCACTAAATCATGCTCTGCTGAGTGAGTGTGCCCCAGCATGGGGATGATGTGTGCATTGTGGTCATTGTTAGCACCTACTGAGTTTAGTTGTAGTTCAGTTGTAGTTTGTGAGATGCAAGTTATGGGTGAGTGAAAAGAGTTAAAGACAATCTAGGTTTTTAGGGACATCATGAGCAAAGGCACTAGACGGGAATTAGGCTGGTTCAGGTGAGGAGAGGAGAGGAATGAAGAGAGGGTATGGATAGCTTTGTGATATGGACACTGAGTAGGCACTTGAAGGAGTAGAAGACTTACCAAGGTAGGTACTGGTGGTGGCAAGATAACTCTAGACCCCATTCAGAGGAGTTTAGATTGGAGGGAGGGAGATACTCGGAAGCGTTTGTGTTGGTTCCTTGAATTCCATCCTATATCTTTGATTTCTTGAATTTAATTTCTACCAGGTACTCTGCCTAGATCAGTTCCTGTTGGCAGTTTTGATTTGACTGGATGTTTTAACAAGTCCTCTTAACTTTGCTTTATTCTAATCTGGTTATAATATTATGGAATCTTAAAAATCTTAAGGTTAGAAGGGCCCATATTCACAACCAGTACAGGAGCCACACCCTGAATTTTTGAAGTAGTTATTCTGTTTCTGAATGTGTGAACCCTTTTTTTTTCTTTTTTTTTTTTTTTTTTTTTTGAGACGGAGTCTCGTTCTGTTGCCCAGGCTGGAGTGCAGTGGTGTGATCTCGGCTCACTGCAACCTCCGCCTCCCGGGTTCAAGGGTTTCTCTTGGCTTAGCCTACCGAGTAGCTGGGACTACATACAGGCAAGTGCCACCATACCCAGCTAATTTTTGTATTTTTAGTAGAGACGGGGTTTCAGCCTGTTGGCCAGGCTGGTCTCGATCTCTTGACCTCGGGATCCACCCGCCTTGGCCTTGCAAAGTGCTGGGTTTACAGGCGTGAGCCACCACGCCCAGCCTGTGAACCATTTTTTAAGGCATCATTACATTGGTAGATTTCATTCAGAGGTTAAAGTCTGCCTTTCCTCGCTTTATCTGAGCTATACAAAGTCTACTTTTTCAGTATTGGAGCCCCTCAGACAGTGGAAGACAGTTATGATGCCTCCTTCTAAACTTTATTTATTTTCTTTGTCTAAATATTTCACTGTCTCTTCCTTTTATTTCAGGATTCCCCATCATTATTCCTTTTTTTTTTCCCCATAAAGGCCATCTCAGCTTCAGACTCACCATTATTCCTGTCCATCATCTGTATATGCTGCATCTTATTGACTACTCAGAATTGAACATAATATCCTTTTAAAAAAATAAATTGTGATGTTTTTAGCAGCAAACAACAGAAAATCCCTACTTATCTGGCTGAAACAATAAGGAATTTACTTTTTTTTTGTTTCTGACGTACATTTTCTTCATATGTGATTATTTCTGAAATTGAGACACGTGGTCCATTTAAATGCATGGTGTGTCAGTTTGTTTGACAACATTTTTTCCTCACGATGATTAACAAAATAATGATGCATCTTAACCACTGATGAGTCTTACATTTGATGAAATGTGATAATATCTCACATATCAGCAGCTCCTATAGGTAGTGCAGATTCCTGGTTGGTTATTTTATCGGCTTGATTCCATCAAGGACCCAGCGTGGTGGATCTGCTTTTGGCTTGCCCTTGGGGTCATGAGATAGCTGCAGCGGGTCTAAGCATCATATCTCTAATCAACAACATTCTAAAGGCCAGAAGAGATAAGGTACCTTCTTTGTGTTCATTTTTAAGAGTAAGCAAAATTTCTAGAAGTTGCCCCTCCTTGGCTAGAATTGTTGTATACCCCATTTCTAAACTTAGAGATACGCAGTTGCCATTATTAGTTCAGTGGTTCTTGGTCAGTAGTTTTCAGACTGGTCTGCATCAGAATGACTTGGAGGACTTATCAAAACACAGATTGCCAGGCCCCACCTGAAGAGTTTCTGCTCTAGTTTGGATTGGGGACTGACAATTTGTGTTTTTCACAAGTTCCTGATTGAAGCTGATGCTGCTGATGTAGGGAATGGGGATGGGTCCAGCCTGCCTGAAAGCACATGGCAAGCTGATGGCCATACAGAAGCAGCGTCTGTTAGCAGAAAGTGAGGCGGGGCAGCTGTGAGGACAGCAGCTGTTCTTTTCTCTCGCGATCTAGGTCAGTATTTGCCATAGCTGTCGTAACAGACTGCACTGTGGTCATTACTTGGGGGTTGTATAGACTATGTTATTAGTAAAGTAAGTTTTGAGAATGACTTACTTAAATTATATGCAGCAGTGGATCAAGTAAGTTGAAGATAATGTTTGTTATTCTCTGATGACATGCTTTCTAGAGGGTGAAGGACAAGGGTCATTGAGACCCCAAAGAATTGGGTACCCCTCTGGGAATATATGGTGGATGTTAGTAACAGCTGATGTGTATTAACTCATTGAAACGGCCAACTAAATTCATGAGCTAGTACTGTTAATGTCCACCTGTCTCAAGGAGGAAACTGTGGCTTAAAGAAGGTAAGTAATTTGCCTAATGTCATACAGCTTGTAAATGGTAGAACCAGGTTTCAGAACCATGCAGTTTGGCCTCACAAGCCACACTTTTAATCACGTGTCCTACTGAGTGCCGGCAAGCGGGTCCTCAGTTGCAGGAAGGGTAAGACTGAGAGGTTCATTTTATGTTCTTGGCTTGTATGCAGTATGGTGGGATTAGTGTTCTGGTAATTATTCCCTTTCTCCTAGGCTTATCTCTGCCTATATTTTTGCATTTGATGTACTTGAACCTAAGCGTAGAACTTAAAAAATTGTGTTAGCTGTGTCTGTCCGTTTCGTCATCTTTGCATTTAGAAGCCTGCCATTCCTGTCTGTGCACATGCTGGAGGGATATACGATTGTATAAATAGAATTGAGCACAGAGACCTGTGTTTAAACGTTTTGTTTTGTTTTTTTGCTATTGATGGAGGTGGATTCTTTTCATAAGAGGGATTGTGTTGGTCAGGGTCTCAATGGCGACTAATGAAGTAAACACAAAGGTTTTTAGTTGCTCCATAATTGTTGGGAAAGCTAAAGAAACTCAAGGCGAAGTTTCTAGGCACAGCTCCTGAAGCAGAGTGAAAATCCGGTTGTCTGATTTCTTGCCAGGCCCTGCCTAGCACTTTCAGCTGTAGCCATCCTGAACAACTGGTCATGTTCTCTTGCTTGTAGTCTTTGTGGATGCTGTTTTCTTTCTCTGGTACACTCAGTCTTCCTCTTTTCTTGGCGAGTGCTTCTCATCCTTCAGGCCCTATTCTAAGTGTTACTTTTAAATTTTTCCTGGTCCTTCCATAATAATCTCGCTCAGACCGTTAGATGCTTCTGCTCTCTGCTTCCATTGCACACTGTATTTCCCCTGTCATTATGGCTGACGATTGATTATTGCCTTTCCCCACTCCTCACTGAGTCCCGGTGCCTGGCACAACACCATGCTTGAATGTAGCAAGTTGGGTGGTTCAGAATTGAAAAGTCACTGATTACACGTTTGAAGCTTCATCATCAAGAAATAGATACCAATCACCAACTTTTAAGTTGTAATTTATAATTTTCATAATTGCAATTGACTCAACAGATTTTTGCTTTGGTTTGAGTGTAACACCCTTTATAACATATCTAATGCCGCTTGATGGAGATTGGATAACTGGCCTGTTTGCTAATAATTCTTTGAAGTTTGGAAACTGGGAATCTCAGAGATTTGTAACTAGATAAAAGAGACTCTAAAAAATAAACATTTTGGCCAGGCATGGTGGCTCACGCCTGTAATCCCAGCACTTTCGGAGGCCAAGATGGAAGGATTGCTTGAGACCGGGAGATTGAGCCCAGCAACATGGTGAGACCTTCATCTCTACCAGAAAAACCCCAAAGAATTAGCTATGTATGGTGGCATGCACCTATAGCCCTAGCTAATAGAGAGTCTGAGGTGGGAGCATCCCTTGGGTCCAGGAATTCGAGGCTGCAGTGAGCTATGATCACGCCACTGCACACCAGCCTGGGCAACAGAGAGAGACTGCATCTCTAAAAATCATACATACATACATACATACATACATACATACATACCTTTTATTTTAAAATAATTTTAGGTTTTTTATGTTTACAGAAAAGCTTAAAGATAGCACAGAGTATCCATATACACCTCATCAGCTTCCCCCACTGTTAAAATTGTTTGTGACCATGGTACATTTGTCCAAACTAGGAAACCATCATTGGTATGTTAGTATTATACCCCAGGCTTTATTTGGATTTCTGCAGTTTTTCCATTTGTGTCTTCCTTCAGTTCCAAGGTTCAGCCTAGTGGACCATCTTGCGTTTTGTTGTCATGTCTCTGTCTCCTCTGCGCTGCAACAGTTTCTTGGTCTTTCCTTGCTTTTCATCACCCTGACAGTTTGGAGGCTTGCTGGTCAGGCATTTTGTAGGATGTTTGTCAATTTGGGTTAGTCTGACATTTTTCTTATTAGGCTGGGCTATGGATTTTTGGAAACAATACCCCAGAGGTGAAGTGCCCTCTCATGACCTCAAATTAGAGCATGTGTGATAGTCACATGACATCATGGCTGAGGTTCATCTCCGTCACTTGGTTAAAATCCTGTTTGCCAGGTTTCCTACTGTAAAGTTACTCTCTTTGCCTTTTCCCCCATCTTCCTTGGAAGCAAGTTCCTAAGTGTAGCCTACCCTGAAGGACTCTGTGTGTGTGTGTATGTGTGTGTGTGTGCATCTGTGTCTGTGGTGGGTGGGGTGTTAGGCATCACCTCCTGGACTGGGGAGTATTTACCTACGTCATTTAGAATTCTTCTGTAAGCAAGATTTTGTCTTTCCCCTTCCCACCCCAAAATAGATATTTTGATTTACCACTGTGCAGTCACTTTGTAGTATTTTGATGACAATTGAATAGATAATGGGTGTCTACTATATGTTAGATACTGTGCTAATTTTGGGGGCAATAATTTTTAACTTCTTTGGGGTCACATGCCTCTTTGACAAACTGATATTTGCTGTAGACTTTTTCTCCAAAAACATTAAGATACACAAAATACTGCCTGCAATTTTAGGTGTTTCACAGATCTTTGAAACTCTTATGATTTCAGTTAATGTAATGTCTGCCCTCCAGGAATTCAGCCCAGCTGAAGAGGCAGGCAGGTGGGGAGATAGAATAGGATGTGTTGCATGCTCTCAGACATAGTTTTACATTGGATGAGATGGTAGGGAAAGCTGCAGAGGGGAGATGTTATTTGAATTTCGCCTTGATGAGTGAGGAAGAGTTAAATCAACAAAAGTTGGAAAAGCATTCAGAACAGAGGGAGAAAAACCGACAAAGGCCTATGCAAAGAAGCATGATGCACTTCAGAATTGGTGCAGATTCTGACCTTGCCACAGTAAAAGGTGAAGAGGGAAGGGACTGGATGTAAAATTAGAGAGGCAGGAGAAGGCATAGAGTGGAAAGAGAATTGGATAAAGTCAAAATCTTTACAAGACCTTGTTTTGTTGCAAGTCAGGAGAGACTTGAATGTGTTTAAATAAAAGGAAAGCACTAGTAGAGAAGGAAAGCAGGTAATTGAAATAGCTCCTGCAAAGGTGGAAGGGTTGAGTTCACACAGAATAGGCGCCTCCTTCATTGCATCAGGAGAGAAGGAGGACATGATCTAAATTTGCACTAAATTGCTTGTGTGGATTGTATTTAGAATGATCAGCTTTATCCTGAAAATGCAAGAGAGCCATTGATGACAGAAGATCATGTTTGCATTTCGAGTAAGATCACTTTGACTGCAGTGGAATGGAGTGGGACAAAGTGGAAAAATAGACGGGTGGGAGGTTTGAGTAAGGTAGGGAGGCCATTGAGACTTCTGTAGTGCCAGTGTCTCTGCAAGTGATGAGGATGGTGCTTTGTAAGGACCTGTTACACTCTGTGTGCTGAGATACTGCTGAAATTGTCCAGAGAAAACTGTGTCTGTATATAAAACAAACAGCTGTTGCCTCTTGAAGGAAGAGTAAAGCTATATTTGTGTGCATATAGTTCTTGAATCCCATGTGAGTATCTTGAATTCCATTAAGGCTCCTTATCCTGAAGATAATGCACAACTATTGTGAAGTCTTTATTAATTTTTTTCTCTTGAGAGGGGTCCCTTGTTCACTTTATAAAATGAGATTTTAAAATATTCACATTATAAAGTCTTTGGTCATACTGGTTTAAAAACAAATTTTTCCCTTCAGTTTTAAACATATCAGACTACCAGTATGGAATACTCGACCCGTAATTAACTAATAAGGCAAGGAATCCAATCTGCCCAAATGTTAAATAGTGCCATTTAAAATTTGGAAGCCTGAAGCAAGACAGTAAGGCTTTGGTAACAGTGGCCAAGCCAAGTGGAATCTTTCTGAGTGATAAAATGAGCTTGTAAAATGAGCACAGTTGTGGGAGTATGCAGTATCAAGACTGGTGAAGCAGGTGCCAGTGGTTGGGGGCCTCAGGATGAAACCATGGTTCTGGCCAAAATATTGCTGTTTGTTTTAATCTCTAACGCAGCTCGGATAATATGAAGCTGTGCTGCTTGAAAACATTTTATATTTCTTGATTTGTCTTTCCCTTCCAGGAGTAGTAGACATGTTGTCAGCAGATTTATAAGAATATGATAGAATTTTAGAATTAAAATTTGAGTCCCTTAAGAATTGTAGACTACTGGGAAGATTTGAAGAGGGTAGAGGCAGTCAATGGAAAGAAAAGAGGACAGAAGACAAGGTACTTTTGTTTTCTCTTAAAAGAGTTGAAGGGTAGACCCTGTTTATAGGCAGAGAAGGAACCAACAGAAAAGGAGGATTACATGTATTCTAGAAACTCTTACTTAATTTTCAAGAAAACTGTAAAAAATACACTGACTGATACCTTTCCAGCATTAGCCAAACTGTGAGTTGTGAGGTGTGATTTCCAAGACTACTCTCACTTCTCACACCAACTGCAAGTTTGGGGTGTTTCCAAAACCACCTTCAGGTCTGACAATTTGCTGGAAGGACTCATAGAACTCACTGAAAGCTGTTACACTTATTGTTATGGTTTATTAAAGGGAAAAGATACAGATCAAAGGAAGCCAAAGGAAGCCATGGGGCAGAGTCTGGGAAGGTTCTAATGTGAATCTTCCGTTCTCCTCTTCCATGGAGGCTGGGCATTGTTACCCTCCTGGTACTGATGTGTGACCGTACGCACGGAATGTTGCCAACCAAGGAATCTCTTCTGATTTTTGGTGTCTAGAGTTTTTATTAGAGCTTCCTGAGATAGCATGTTTGATTGATTGATTGCCCACAAAGTTGAACTCCGTCACCATGTCTACTGGTATCGTGTGAGCCAGAGCTCCCACCCTAAATCACATGATTGGTCCTTCTCATATGGCCAACCCTACCCTAAGATCCAGTGTGGCCAACCCCCACCCTAAACAAGGACACTTCTATTAGTTATGACACAGATTACCTCCCACTAGCCGAGGGCAAAGGCCAGATGTCTCTTCTCGGCAAGGCCAGCTTCTTTCCTACCCACCTAGGCTTTTAAAAGGATTGCAGTGAGTTTTATGTTGGGAATGGTCTTGAAGGGCAGGGGTGGAAACGGAGAGACCAATTAGGAAGAATACTTGCAGTAGTCCAGAGGGAATATTCGTTTCACCCCTGGTAATGGTGGTAGGGATGATAAGTGGTTGGAGTCTGGAAATATTTGGGAGGAAAGGAGCATGAGGATCTGTTGATGGGTTGGATGCAAATATGCAAGAAAGAGAGAGGAAGGAGTCCAAGATACCTCTTAAGGCTTTTGGCTTGAGCAGATCAAAGAATGGAGATCTCATTACTGAGATATTCAAAAGTCAGTTGTCCATCCTAAGAATTAGAGGATTACTGCTGCTACCACCAATTAAGAGGAAATCACAGAAACCAGCCCAATACTGGTTGGTATATTGCAACTCATTTAAAGAAAATTATTCCTTGTATTTCAGATATTTGAAAAAAGAAATCTGTTATGGCTTATAATCCCCATGTCAGGAGTTCAAATGAGCAAAAGACCGGTTTATATGATGTTATTACTTTTATATTGACTTTATCAAAGTTTCTAAACTGTATTGAGATATTTTTAATTATTTCCAAAAAGCAGTAGTAGTAGAGTTTTTGGGGCTAAAGTTATCCAACCTATTGATACTGCTCACATTTTCAGAAATGCTTGTTCTGTATGTTATACATGCTACATGCACGAGTAATTCCATATTTCCTCACTTCTAACAGAGTCCTTAGTTCCTTCATGCTCTCTCTTGACCCAGTAAATTGGTTTATTTGGGTCAGTTGGGAGTAGTTATCTGCAGGAACCATTAAGATTGAGTTCAGTTCTTCACGTAGCTTTTCTTCTGCTTTGGTGGTGGTTATTTTTATATAGGCTCAGTTTCTTCATTGGATTAAACTGTGAATGTTGGCACCTATAATAATAATTCACTGGGTAATGTGGAATAATCTAATTGTATTCTAATTGTAATTCAAAAATTAATAATTCCTTCAAATAGCAAGATTTTGTTAGTATTACTCTGTGATCATAGTCAGAAACAAACCAAACCGTGGCATTCTGTGAGCTAGTGCAGATCTGTGGGCTACAGCTTGGGCCATTTTAAAGCCCCAGTAATCCAGTAATATTTTTGCTGAACTATGGAAAGTAAAACCAGTATGCTTAGGACTGCATAGGAAACTTCTCATCATTCAGAATTTTGATTGGATAATTATATTTGTTTATATCAGTGGCTGAAAGGAATGACCAGAAAAGAAACACTCTGTCCACAAGCTAGTTGAGGATCAACATGTCATTTCTTGGCATGGCGCTTTAGTTCTCTGGGTTACTTAGTTCTGTTCACTTGTTATACAAAAGCAAACAGATGAGTGAAATAAAGCAAACTGGGTGTTATTGAAATTAGAATGAGAATCTTCGTTCAAAATTTGTATTTATTAGGACAAACGTTCAGGGAAAGTTCTTCAGGGGCAAGACATCTCATCCTGATAGGAACAGATTATGCTTATGTGGTGAGGTGATTTAATTTTCCTTTCTCCCTTCTTCTTTCCTTCCTTCAGACTCTTCCTCCATCTTACCCATGATTTATTATGTATCTAGATTTTTAAAAATCCCACTCAGTATATTCGCTTAGCTTTAAAAATGCGTTCAACCTTGACTGGCGTAGATAAGGCCAGCAACATGCCCAGATGTTTTCTGGAATCAGAGGGCTGAGGGTCTTCTGAATGTTTCAGGAAGGACAACTGTAGAGAAGCAAAGAGCCCTTAAATACTTCAGAGAAGTTTGGGTAATACACTTCCCCACAGCCTGTATCTCACAGCTGATAGCACTAATGTCCTTAGCATTCAGGCCCTAAGATTCCCAAGACTGTCACTTTTTACTGCTGGGAAAATTTTCTTAAGATTCTTATTTGAATTCTATATACTTTAGCAAAATCCTGTGTACCTTAATGTAAATTGAGAAAAAAGGGACCGCTTTGTTTTGATAGTAATTTGTTAATAAGTTTGGTGATTACTATTGTTTGCCTTTTTCTTGTGATCTTCTTGACTCTAAGTAGTATTCAGTCTTCAGTTTAATATCCTTTTGAACGGGACTTGTTTTTTTCCTTCCCAACAAGTACTAAAAATGATCCCATTTGCTTTTACATAGCCAAAATTGTAGTATGAGTACAGGTTTATTAATTGTTCTTCCCCTTGCTGATGGGAGCTACTGGGAACACATAAAAGCTGATTTGTAATAGCATTTTAAAAGGCGGAGCGGGGGGATGTAAGGCAGAAGGGAACGTGGATGGATATATTGAACAAGCTTGAGAAAATTAAAAAAAAAAAAAACTTGTTCAAAGACTGACAAATGGATCGTGGGTCTGGATTTTCTGAACTGAGACTCTGGGTTCATCTGCTCTGAATCCACCAGGCTTCCAGACTGCGCCGTTGCTTCTGCTATCAGTGCTGCGTGGTTTAGCATGAGCTTTTAGGGAAATGTCACATCTTGTTCACATGGGTAGAATTATATTACATCTGTTCTTACTGAGCATGAACCAAGATTAAAATCTTGCCATTCTCAACAGAACAAATAATAGAAAATTACAGCAAATGATGTGCATGTTCTTTGCTCTTAATCAATTTTCTGCAGTCCTACAAAACTTTTCCAAAGTAAATGTAAATATTTTCTTTATACACACCTAGCAAATGCACAGTGTATGATTATATTTTTATTAGTATACATGAACTTGGGTTAAAGTTCAATAAATACGGTTTAAAATTGGGAAGGAAAAATTAAATAATTTCAAGGTTGCATACTTTCACTAGTAGAAATTCTCTACTTTTGGGACAAAAATTATTATTTTCCAAATATCCAATGAGTATGTCACTTGCGGGGGAGAAAGAGGAACTGGAAGAATATCCTGAAGAGGTTAGGGAATGTGGTAAAAGGGGCACATTTTAAGGGCTACTCACAAAAGAGTCTTATATGAAGCATATTAGTTTGGGTTTATTTTTTCTTGGGAGGAATTCTAACATAATTTTAAGTTAAGGAAAGATAGCACAAAATAGCATTCAGTGAATAAAGTGAACAACACACATCTTTATTATGGTTTGAGGAGATAGAAGAAAAGAGGAGAAAAAAATAACTGATTTCAAGGTTGGAAGGAATTTTTTTTTTTTGAGATGGAGTCTTGCTCTGTCACCCAGGCTGGAGTGCAGTGGCCTGATCTTGGTTCACTGTGACTTCTGCCTCCCGGCCTCAAGCGACTCTTCTACCTCAGCCTCCTGAGTAGCTGGGATTATAGGCGCCCGCCACCACACCCAGCTAATTTTTGTATTTTTAGTAGAGACGGGGTTTCACCATGTTGGCCAGGCTGCTCTCAAACTACTGACCTCAGGTGATCCACCCGCCTTGGCCTCCCGAAGTGCTGGGATTATAAGTATGAGCCACCACGCCCAGCCTGGAAGGAATTTTAAGAGATCATTCTGTCCAGCTCCTCTTTTCCAGATAGTTAGATATTCCAGTTTAAAAAATGGGATGGAATCAGAGAAGTTTCCAGAACCCCGGGGGGAAGGGGACTTTACGTAATCAAATTTACTTTCACCTTGTTTTCTACAAATGGCTTATGCATAAAGCATAAAACAACAGTGGGTTTTAAAAATTGATACATGATATTTTACATATTCATGGGGTACATGTGGTGTTTTGTTACATGGATAGAATGTATAATGATCTAGTTGGGTTATTTGGGGTATCCATGACATTGAGTACTTATCATTTCTGTGTTTGGTGAACATTTTGAGTTGTCTTGTAGCTACTTTGAAATACACAAAACATTGTTGTTAACTATAGTCCCTCCACTCTGCTATCAGACATTGGAACTTACACCTTCTAACCGTGTGTTTGTATCCATTAGCCATCCTGTCTTCATCCATTGACCAGCCCTCTCCCCCACCCAACTCTTCCCAGCCTCTGGTATCTCTCATTCTACTCTCTAACTCCATGAGATCAATTTTTTAGCTCCCACATGTGAGTACATGCAATATTTGTCTTTCTTTGCCTGGCTTATTTCACTTAATAACCTTCAGTTTCATCCATGACGCTGCAAACGGCGTGATTTTATTCTTTTCTGTGGCTGAATAGTATTTCATCATGTATATATACCACACTTTCTTTTTCCATTTGTCTGTTGGCAGACACTTAGGGTGAGTCCACATCTTTGCTATCGTGAATAGTCTGTGAGATTTCTTTTTGATGTGCTGATTTCTTTTCCTTTGGACAAATGCCCAGTAATGGGATTGCTGGATCATATATAGTGGTTCTGTTTTTGGTTTTGTGAGAAATCTTCATACTGTTTTCTGTAGTGGCTGTACTAATTGACATTCTCAGCAACAGTAACAGTGGGTCTTTTTTTTTTTAACGTGAAGCATAGGCATTCTTGAAATATTTTCATCTCATTAGCTTTTAATACTTTTTTCATATTACAAAAGTATGATGCAGTATGATTTTAAATATGGAACCATTCTGAACATGAGATGTAGACAACATGTAAAGTATCAAATCTGATGTTTTGAATTAGAGTCAGGTGCATAATGACATTTTGGTGTACAGCAGACCACATATACGACGGTGGTTGCATAAAATTATAATACTGTATTTTTACTGTACTTTTTTTCTATGTGTAGTTAAACAAATACTTACCATTTTGTTATAGTTGCCTACAGCATTCACTATGGTAGCCTGCCATGCAGGTTTGTAGCCTAGGAGCAATAGGCTGTATATAGAGTCGAGGTGTGTCGTAGGCAATGCCATCTAGGCGTGTGTAAGTGCACTGTAATAATGCATTTCTCGGAATGTTTTCCCATCTTAAGTGACACATGACTGTACCTCCCACGGGCTCCTGATTCCATCACATTAGGGGTTAGGCTTTCAACATCTGAATTTTGGGGGCACACAAACATTCAGGTCCTGAGACCCCCACAGTTTCCTTATGTGCCTTTGTAATCCCCTCCCTGTCATCCCTCATTTCCAGGCAACCACTGATATTTCTTTCATCATACATTAGTTTGCCATTTCTGGAATCTTACGTTGATGGAATTACACACTGTCTTCTTTTCTGTTTCGCTTACTCAGCATAATTATTTTCAGATTCATTCATGTTGTTGTGTGGTATTAATAGTTCTTTCCTTTTTATTGGTCAGAAGTATTGCATCATATGGAAACACCAGTTTGTCCATTCATCTGCTAATGGATACTTGTGTTGTCTGCAGTTTAGGGCTATTACAAATAAACATGATGTGAACATTTGTGTACAAGTCTTTGTGTGGACATGTTTTTATTTCTCCTCGATAAATACCTAGGAGTGGAATAGCTGGATCATATGATAGGTATATGTTTAAGGTTTTAAAAAACTGCGAAACTGTTTTCCGGAGTAGTTGAACCATTTTATATTCACATCAGCAGTCTGAGAATTGCAGTTGCTTCATATCCTTTCTGTGTTTGTTTGCTAGCACAGCCATAACAAACAACCACAAACTGGGGCGCTTAAACAACAGCAATGTATTTCTTCAGAGTTCTGGAGTCTCGAAGTCCAAGATCAAGGTGCCAGGAGCATTGGTTTCCTCTGAGGCCCCTCTTCTTGGCTTGCAGACGGCTGCCCTCCACCTGCCTTGTTACATGGGCTTTGCTCTGAGCATGCACATCCCGTGTCACTTTCTGTGTCCAAATTTCCTATTATTATAAGGACACTAGTCAGATCAGATTAGGGTCCACCATGATAGCCTCATTTTAGTTTTTTTTTGTTTGTTTGTCTGTTTGTTTTTGAGACAGGGTCTTGCTCTGTCGCCCAGGCTGGAGTACAGTGGTATGATCTTGGCTCTCTGCAGCCTCAGCCTCCTGAGTTCAAGGGATTCTCCTGCCTCAGCTTCCCAAGTAGCTGGGACTACAGGTGCATGCCACCACGCCCAGCTAATTTTTGTATTTTTAGTAGAGATAGGGTTTCACCATGTTGGTCAGGCTGACCTCCAACTCCTGACCTCAAGTGATCCTCCTGCCTTGGCCTCCCAAAGTGCTGGGATTACAGGTGTAAGCCACTGCACCCGGCCCTCATTTTAGCTTAATTACCTCTTTAAAGACCTCCTCTCCAAATACAGCCACATTCTGAGATACTGGGAATTAGGCCTTCCTATGAATTTTAGGAGGGGTCAGTTCAGCCTGTAATACTTGCCAGCACTTGGTAAGATCAACTGTTGTGATTCCAGCCTTTCTATTAGGTGTGTAATGGCATCTCCTTAATTTGCTTCTCCCTAATGGCTTGTGATGTTGAGCATATTTTCATATGCTTATTTGCCATCCATATAGCTTTTTTTTTTTTTTTGAGACAGAGTCTCGCTCTGTCACAAGGCTGGAGTGCAGTGGCACGATCTTGGCTCACTGCAACCTCCGCCTCCCAGGTTCAAGTGATTCTCCTGTCTCAGCCTCCTGAGTAGCTGGGACTATAGGCACGTGCCACCACACCCAGCTAATTTTTGTATTTTTAGTAGAGATGGGGTTTCACCATGTTGGCCAGGATTGTCTCGATCTCTTGATCTGCCTGCCTCAGCCTCCCAAAGTGCTGGGATTACAGGCGTGAGCCACCGCGCCTGGCCGCCATCCATATATCTTCTTTAGTGAAGTGTCCGTTGAGATTTCATGCACATGTTTTGAGTTGTTTGGCTTCTTATTATTGATTTTTGAGGAATCTTTATTCTAGGTACAAGTTCTTTTTTAAATGATTGACACATAAAAAGCTGTACCTATTTAATTTATACAACTTGATAAGTTTGGGGATAAGTTCATGCCCTTGGAACCATTAACACCATCAAGAGCATAAACATATCCATTACCACCCCAAGTTTCCTTTCACCCCCTTTATTTATTTATTATTATTATTATTATTAATTTTGTGGTAAGAACACCTAACATGAGATCTACCTTCTTAGCAAATTTTAAGTATACCACACAGTATTGTTAGCTTCAGGCTGTATTTTTTCCCTTTGACCATCACCTCCCCATTTTCCTCTTCCCCAGCTTGTGGCAACTACCATTCTACTCTGTTTCTGTGAGTCTGACTATTTTAGATTCCACATATAAGTGAGATTATGTGGTATTTGTTTTTCTGTGTCTGGCTTGTTTCATTTAACATAATGCCCTCCAGGTCTGTGTATGTAGTCACAAATGGCAGGATTTCCTTCCTTTTTAAGAACAAATGTTTTTTCATTGTGTGTGTTTACCACACTTTCTTTATTTGTTCATCTGACAATGGACATTGAGATTATTTCCATATCATTCTCATAATAATATCTTGTAATGAGTGGGAGTTTTTCATTTTGATGAAGCCCATTTTGTTAGTGTTTTTTTTTTTTTTTTGACAGGGTCTCACTCTACACAGGCAGGAGTGCAGTGGCATGATATTGACTCACTGCAGCCTCTCTCTCCTAGGCTCAGGTGATCCCCCCAACTCAGCTTTCCACATAGCTGGGAATACAGGCACATGCCACCATGCTCATCTAATTTTTAAAAATCTTTCTGTAGAGATGGCGTTTCGCCGTGTTGCCCAAGCTGGTATTGAACTCCTGGCCTCATGCAGACCGACTGCCCCAGTCTCCCAAAGTGTTGGGATTACAGGCATGAGCCACCACACTTAGCCAGTTTTTTCTTTAACAGGTTGTGCTTTTTGGTATCATATTTTAGAAATCTTTGTCAAGCCCAAGGGCACAAAGATTTTCTCCTATAATTTTCTTCTACCTGTTTTATAAAGTTTAATATCTAGTTCTGTGATCCATTTTACATTACTTTTTGTATATGGTATGAAGTGTGGATCAGAGTGCTGGTTTTGCTTTATTGTGTTTTCTAAACAATATGAATATTCAGTTGTTCTATTACTATTTGTTGAAAGGCTATTCTTTCTTTACTGAATTGCCCTTGCCCCTTTATCAAAAGTCAATTGACCATAAATATGTATTTCCGAGCTTGATTCTGTTCCATTGTCCTTTTTGTGTATCTCGATGCCCACACCACACTGTCTTTATTACTAGGTTTTTCATTATAAAGTCTTGAAGTCATGTAAGTCCTCAAACGTTATTCTTCCTTTCCAAAATCATTTTGACTATTGTGGGTCGTTTGCATTTTTATCTGAATTTGGAATCAGTTTGTTAATTTCTACAAAAACAGTGTGCTAGGATTTTGATCGTGTTGAGTTAGCAGATCAGTTTTGGAAGAATTGAAATCATGACAATATTAAACCTTCTGACCCATGAATATGGCGTATCTCTCCATTTATTTAGATCTTTAATTTCTCTTAGCAATTATGTTGTAGTTCTCAGTGTAAAGTTCCTGTGCACCTTTTGTCAGATTTCTCTCTGTTTCATTGTTGATGCTATTAATGTCATTGTCCTATTAATTTCTATTTTTGATAGTTTATTTTTATAGAAATACAGTTGATGTTTTTATCTTTGCATATCCTGCAATCTTGCTAAGTCTTAGTTGCAGAAACTTTTTTTTGGTAGCGGCTATGGGAATTTCTGTGTAGATGATCATGTCATCTACAAATAAGTTTTATAACAATGTACTTTGATGTGGATGTCTTCATCTTTTGTTCTGGTTCTTGGCCTTTTCAGCAAAGAAAATTATTATCTTTAGTTGTGGGAGACTTAGAGACGTTTCTGGTGCAGACTGAGTCCTCCTTATCTGAAACATTTGGAACCAGAAGTGTTTTGGATTTTGCATTTTTTGGATTTTGGGAGTATTTGCATCATGCTTACCAGTTGAGCATGATGTAGATATCTGAAAATCTAATCCAAAAATCTGAAATCCAAAATGCTCCAGTGAGCATTTCCTTTGAGTATCATGTCGTTGCTCAAAATGTTTTGGATTTTGGAGCATTTTAGGTTTTGCATTTTCAGATTAGAGATACTCAGGTAGTTTGTTTCCTTCCTCCCTCCCTCCCTCCCTCCCTCCCTTCTTTCTCTCCCTTTCTCCCTTCTTTCCCTTCCTCCCTCCCTTCTCCCTTTCTCCATCCCTCCCTTCTCTCCCTTCCTTCCTCCCTTCTCTCCCTTCTTTCCTCGCTTCTCTCCCTTTCCTTCTTTCCCTTCCCCTTCCCCTTCTCCTTCCCCTTCCCCTTCTCTCCTTTCCCTCCCTACCCCTCCCTTCCCTTCCCTTCCTCCAAACTGAGCTGTCTTTGTTTAGGATGTGAACAAGGCAGGGCTCTGGAGATGAGGACTTTAATTATCTTACGGAGTCAAAATGGAAGGTAGTGTTTGAATGTTTCAGGCACGGCTTTGAGGAAAGAAGGAAGGAGCTTGGCGGCTTGCTACTTTGCCCTCACCCTATACTTGGGTCTATACCTGGAAAGCAGATATCGAGGTATCTGCCTGAGTGAGGGAGGACAGTTACCCACAGGTAACTGCTGCAGGAAAGCATCTGGGACTCAAACTGCTCGTTAGTCAAAATCATTACCAGCCGAGCTCTTAGCGCCATCCTGTGCCTGCGCCCTGGTCTCCAGATTACGTGGTCCTTTCATTTCCTGAACTTCCTAGGGTTCTGAGTTTTGAGTCTACTTCCTGCTTCTCGACTTTGCTCCAGCAGACCCCTCTGTCTCCTTTCCACTTTCTCAAATGTGACCATCTCTCATCTAGTATCATCACTTCTCACTTCTGTCTTTCCTTCTGGGGTTATACCCGCTTCTTCCTTTATTTCATGAGAGTTTCAGGAGGGAGCCGAGAAGACCTGTGAAGCCTACTTTAGATACACACACACACACACACACACACACACACACACACTTTTTATTTAAAACAAAACTACATCAAATAAATATATACAGCGTTTATGGACTGAATTGTGCATCCCTCAAGCCCCCTCAGCAAATTCATATGTGAAGCCCTGACCCCCAGTATGACTATGTTTGGACCTTGAAAGAGGTAACTAGGGTTAAACGAGGTCATTGACGGGGGGTCTTAATCCAGTCTGGCTGGCAACTTCTTAAAAGAAGAGGGAGAGACCCCAGGGACACACATGCACAGAGGAAAGGCCCTGTGAGGACAAAGGGAGAAGGTGGCTGTTTGTGAGCCAAGGAAAGAGACTTCAGGAGAAAACAACCCATTTGAGACCTAGATCTTGCACTTCCAGCCTCCAGAACTGTGGGAAAATCAATTTCTGTTGTTGAAGTCACCCAGTCTGCAGTATTTTGTTATGGTAGCCCTCAGAGTCGAATGAAGTAGCTTAGCGGATTATTGTAAAGTGAATCCCCTTTAGCCACCATCCAGGACCACAGCAGGAAATTAGAAACTCCCGTATGTGTCCCATCCTAATCACAATCCCTTCCCTTCCTCCAAAGTAACCACTCTTCTGATTTTCCTAGTAGTTGCTTCTTTACATTTCTTTATAGTTCCTTCACCCCATCATACATTTCTAGACACTAAATAATTTGGTTTTGGTAATGTTTTTAGACTGTGTCTTTTAAGTCTCCTAATCTGTAGGTATCACTCCAGCTATTTAATGTTGTTTCTCAGTCTGCGCTCTGCTGGTGTAATTCAACATGTTCCTCTGTCCTCTTGTGTTTTCTGCAGATTGGCAGCAGAATGCAGTTACATTGTCGGATTAGGATTTAATCCCTTCAGCACAATTATATGTTGTAGTGTGTTTTTCTTTTTTGTGTGTTTTAAAGAAGGGACTTGGTCTTGCCATGTCACCCAGGCTGGACTTCAGAGGCTATTCACAGGCACAGTACTACTGCTGATCTTCATGAGAGTTTTGAGTAGTGTTTGTTTTTTATCAGAATGTGTATCGTCTGGTTTTCACTCTTTCTTTCTTTGTTTCTTTTTTTTATGTTAGCTATTGATGCTCAGTGCCTAGATTTATTAATTTATTAAGGATTGTAAAATGGTGGTATTTGACTTTGTCATTCTGTTTTCATTTATTAACTGGAATAATTGTATAAGAAGATGCTTCTCCTTATCTATTTGGTTGTTGAGTTTATTTAGGAAAGTCAAGATGAATATTTGATTCTTTCCTTTTATTTACACAGCTTTCAAAATAATGAATTGATTTCCTGTCATCCTTAGAACGTGACCAGTTCATTTCTTTTCTTTTTTAAAAAAATCATTGTGATCTCAGAGCTTTCAGCATAGTCGACAAGTAACAATTCATTGTCATTCTCATCCTCATTGAAGCTCACATTGTTCCATCATTGATGTATTAGGCTGTTCTTGTGTTGCTATAAAGAAATACCTGAGATGGGGTATTTCTAAAGAAAAGAGGTTTAATTGGCTCATGGTTCTGCAGGCTGTACAAGAAGCATGGCACCAGCTTCTGCTTCTGGTGAGGGCCTCAGGAATCTTCCAGTCATAGTGGAAGGCGAAGGGGGAGAAGGCATCTCACATGGCAAGAGCTGGAGCAAGGAGCAGGGATGCCACACACTTGTAAGCAATCAGATCTCGTGTGAACTCAGAGCAATAACTCACTCATCACCAAGGAGATGGTGTTAAGCCATTCATGAGGGATCTGCTCCCATGATCCAAACACCTCCCACCAGGCCGCACCTCCAACACTGGTTATTACATTTCAACATGAGATTTGGAGGGGTTAAACATCCAAACTGTATCAGTTGGCCAAAGGGAGCCTCCTTAAATTGACTCCTGAGTCCTTTTGATCAGACCTTACAAGCCCTTTATAGCTTTCTTGCTGTCTGGTATGTCAAGATGTTTCAGGTTCATTATCTACATATCTTGCCCAGGCCTAGAATCAGCCATTTTCAAAGAAGTCCTAGTTTTATTTAATTGGAAATGATGCTTCAAGACCTGAGTATAGATGCTGGATGCAAATTGTTACTGGGTTTATCATTGCTTCTGTGCCTTCCCAGTAGAGAGGGCTGAAATGTATGTGTGTGTATAAAAATAAAACATCTTGAGTTCATACTGATATTTTTACTTCAAATTCAGAACAACTTGTCTTGGTGTTTCCTTTTTTCCTTTTTTTTTTTTTTGGAATGTAGTATATAAACAGAAAAAAATGGACAAATCTTATGTGTCCAGCTTGGAGAATTTTCAGAGTGACAATTTGGTGACATCCCTATAACCAGTTACCAGATCAAGAAAGAAAACATCACCAGCACCCTAGACCCCTCCCCAGTCACTCCCCGCTCCCTACTCCACCAAAGATAATTACTGTCCTACCTTCTAGTAGCATAGATTGGTTATGCTCCAGGACCTTTTCCCTCTCAGTTGTCATCCTTTTGAGAGTGTGGCTAGGGTCACCAGTCAAGGGCTATGGAGACAGATAGGCTCCCATCAGGAGCTGCTGTTCCACTCCTGATACTGGGCACACGATCACTCATATTGGGGGAGAGCTGTGGAGCCGTCAGTGACGTAACCAACTGGAGCCTAGTTGCTGAGCCAAGAGCACTGGTCTGGGAGTCCTCAGAGCTGGGGTCCACGTCAAGAGTATGCGTCTGACTTGTTTCTCTTTGCAAGCCACCTATCCTCTAAGGACCGCAGGTCATTTGCATCATCTCTTATGTATTACAGCTCTATTTTCTTTTTTCTACACTGAGAATCCTGGCTTCCAGCTTCACATGGTGCCTTAGTTAAGGCTGCTTGTGAGGCCATGAATCCCATCATGGGGGGTCTACCCTCATGACCTCATCTAAACCTAATTAGTTCCCAAGGATCCTGCCTCCCAGTGCTATGGTGTTGGGGATTAGTGTTTCAACATAGGAATTTTGGAGGGACATATTCAGTGCATAACACGTGATGATAGACTATTATAGAATTACTTATTTGCTTTGTCCCACAATACACATAGGAAGTCTCTGAATAACAGTACTAGTACTACCAGCTTCCGTTATGACTACTGAATACAGTTAAAGTCTTTTGCATCTGTTCTCCCCATTCTCCTGTGTGTTTAATTGTTGTACCATGTCGACTTAGCGTGTAACCATTACGTGTTGTAATCTCTGCCTCTTAACTCTCATTTTAACTTGATTCTGCAAGTAACTGTGTAATCAGTTTATACTCACAGCAGTCTTTCATATATGTCTTTGGAGTGATGTTGATTTTCTGAAGCTTATTCTCTAGGAGGTTTCTCAGGAAGGTTTTTTTTTTTTTTTTTTTTGAGACAGAGTCTCGCTCTGTCGCCCAGGCTGGAGTCCAGTAGTGCGATCTCGGCTCACTACAAGCTCTTCCTCCTGGGTTCACGCCATTCTCCTGCCTCAGCCTCCCGAGTAGCTGGGACTACAGGCACCCACCACCATGCCTGGCTAATTGTTTTGTATTTTTAGTAGAGACCGGGTTTCACCGTGTTAGCCAGGATGGTCTTGATCTCCTGACCTCGTGACCCACCCGCCTCAGCCTCCCAAAGTGCTGGGATTACAGGTGTGAGCCACCATGCCAGGCCAGGAAGGGTTCTTAAGAACAACATATCTTGAATCCTTGTCTAGTGATAACTGTCCCCTTGATACTTGAAGGTCACTTTACTTAGAGATAAAATTATTGGCTTGTATTTTCTTTCCTTAAGTATCTTAACTCTCTTTCTCTGTTTCCTTCTGGCATAAACTGTTGCTGGAAATGTGCAGTGATATTTCCCTCTGTAAGTCATGTGGTCTTTTTGCCTCGATACCCAAAGGACTTTTTCTTAATCTGGTGTTAGCCATTTGTGGTTGATAGGCTTAGATAGGTGGTATGTTCTCTCAGTGTATAGCTTCAGATCGTTTTTCATTCGGAAAACGTTTCTTGGATTGTAGTCTTCAGTATTTGTCCTGTTCCATTGCTTCATTGTTGCTTTTATAGTCAGAGACTCCTGTTATCTGTTTCAGGTATTCTTTGCCTGTCTTTAGTATTCATTTCTTCTCTTGCATTCTTTTTATCTCTTCTTTTTTTTTTTAATTAAAAAATTTTCTTCTTCAAGCCGCCTGTTTCTCTTAAAGCATTTTTGTGTTTACGTGTTCTTGTCTTCCATATAATCTTTATGTATAAAACGAGTTTCTCCTTTATTTGTACTTCCTAGAGATTTGCCCGCTTTTTGAACTTTAAAAAGGAAATCATTCTGGCTTACCTTCGTTCATGGCTTGTATCATTTTCACATACTTTAGCTCAGTTTGAATTGTATTTTCTTCAGTGTGCTTTCCTTGTCTGTGGGGATTTTGCTGCTTAAATCTTTCTCTCGTAGTAAGTTTGTGTGGGGTCTGACCTCAGTGCTTTCGGTGCTTGTTTGTATGTGACGCTAGTTTTCCTCAACTCATGGAAGGAGACTTGGGAGATACACTGCCCTGTTACAGCCCCTTCGGCTGTGGCTTTTGTACAGGTTTCCTGCTTCCCCTCTCCCAGTTTTACCTGCCTTTTCTTTGTCCCTGTCCCTGTTTTGCTCCTTTTTGAATCCAGTCCCAGCACTTTCTCCTCAGTGTGAGGCCTTGGCTTGGAGCGGGAGCCCTGGAGCATCTGTTTTCCGAGTTCCAGGAGGTGAGGCTCATCTAGTCCCTCGGACCGCACTCCCTGTCTCTGTGGAGTGGCCAGATCCCTCCTAGTAGCAGCTGCTGGCAAGAAATGGGTCTGCTGTGCTTTTCAGTGAGTGCCTCAGGCTGTTGGGGTGTTCTGCCTTCCCGAGAGCCCATGCCTCCTCTAGTGGCTGGTGCAGGGGCAGTGACTGCTGGGGCCTGGTCACTGCCTCCCTACCTGCCTGTGCCTTGCTGTCCACAGGATTCTTTGAGTTATGTAAGAAATGATGTCTGACTTTGGGTTTTGCTACTTATTCTGCTTTTATATTTCATTTAGAGAAAATTATAGTTTTGTACATAAAAGTGAAGAATTTTATCTTATTTCATGGAGGAAAGCATCTTTTATAAAATAACACCCTTGTTGTGGAGGCCAAGAGAGTAAAATTGCCTGTTAAAGCTTTGTAATTTGCATTTACTATTAAAGGTTAATGGTTTTATTCTGAAATTGCCATAGAGTGGGTTAGAGAACTAATTGCTTTTATTAATCATTAACAAGTTACTGAAAATTATCCAGAATGTGGCAACTAGCTAACTATATATTAGTGAATATGAATATTGTTGAAAATTTCATCTTGAGGTCAGGTTTTTTTTTTTTTTATTCTGCCGGTGAAATGGCCCAGATAACTTCATTGTAAAAATATTCTGGCTTTGGAACATAAGTTATTTGTTTTATATAGTTTGCCTGTTTAGAGAATATAGAACATTTCAAATAAAATTAGTCATTTTGTGAAAATTCAGAGGACTGGGAATTTAACTGTCCTTCTGGCTGTAGGAATCATAATCTCCCCATTTTCATCAACCTGAAGACCTCTTGGTTGTAAGAATATTTGGGTTTTGATGTTTTAAAAAACTGATTATTTAAAAAAACTGATGCAACCTTTGTTGCATGGAGTTGAGGAAGGCCCAGGAGGGAGGATTAAAATTAAATAAGAGACAGTTTCGCTTCTTAATGGTTTCTCCACTTAATTATTTTAGTAGGAATCTGAAATCAAATATAGAATGGAAAACTAATGTAGCCAAACCATCTGAGAGCCAATAGTAGAGACAGACATTAAATCACAGCACTTGTTCACTAGCAGTTTGGGTACCTACAGTATGCTATATTGAATGATAATTGTTAACAGCTAGAAACTTGCTTATAAAATGTGGTGATGTTTCTTTATGATAGATGCCTGACCAGTGTCCTCTTCCCTCAGTAAGGTGGTTCTAACTCATAGTTGTTCATACTAATGGGAGAAGATGGTGGGAGAGTCTTATCATCTGCTAACATTTCAACATGAGACACCACACATGTGTGTCCTAAGTAGGTGATGCATTGTTGAAGTACCTGCAGGATTTTCGTATGATCTTTGCATTTATAATATCTTTCTGGAATGGGTCTTAAAGTCAGGTTTGAGCAGGTGCTTATAGCATGTAGTCAGATTCCATGGTAGAGGCAAGCATTCTCCCTAAGAATGTTGTTTACGTTGAAGACAGCGATGGAGGATCCCACCCTTCTGCTCTGATGTCTTCCGAGGTAGAAGGGGTTGCTGACGGCTTCATCAGGGCATTAGAGAGAATGAGCCTGGTGGGTTTACTGTGATCAAGGTCGAGTTGTGTCACGAAATAGGATTTTGGACCTAAGTCTTATTCTTTAGTTTATTTAATATATCAGTCTTTTTCCATTATTTCCTCATTTGCCTTAATTGAAGATTCTAGAGTTGCGGTGCAGTTCAGAAAGCCTGAGGTTTAAGGGGAAATGGTAAAGAGAAAGAGGACCGGAGCAGGATTCGATTCAGAGCCAACTGGTTTTCTTCTTTCCTATTTCAGGGGAGTAGCTTCTTCAGCAGACTCTCCGCTGCTTGTGCTCCACATTGCATTGCTCACACCATGGCATGGTGTTTCCATTCATTGTCTCCTGAGTTCATTTGGTGTAGAAGAGCTGGTTCTAAAGAGAACTTCTCCCTGCTGTCTTTTTCTTCCAGAACACTGGGGTGATGGGTATACCGCAGCAGTTGCCTGGCCGTCTCCTAGGTTAGTGTAGCAGAGATTCTATTCTCAGATAAGACTTCCGTGTCGGCTGAAGATGTAAGGGACTGTCCACGTTTGAGGGAGAATTTCTTCTCACTATTCTAGCTAGAATATGTGAATGAAGAAAGATTTCTATTATCCTGGACTCCTTTGTATTTTTTATAATTGTTTTCTTTTTCTCACTTATGCTCTGATATGTATTGGTTTCTTGAATAAATTAAAACTTAAAGCACTGCTTTAGTAGACATTTCTGGAATTCCTGTCTCCCGCTTTCCTGACCACATACAGCTCTTCTCCACTGCCTACAGCTGTATGTTTTAGCATGATGATGGATGGATGGACTGGAGCTAGAGCAAGGTTAACCACATATGCTCTGGTTTCAGAAACATCAGAGAGGGAGGTGGTGACATTTATAAGTATTCATCTTTTATTTACAAATTTCACGCACATTTGTAGTCTACTGTAAGCAACATAGTGTCTTCTACCATCTTTTTCCTCTTAAGGGTCAACACTACTATTCTATTTCATATTTACCATTTTTTTCTTTTAAAAGAATTCATGTGGTGGGTCATTGTAGAAAATTTAGAGAATATGCAAATATTGAAAAAGAAAAAGAAATGATGCAACCTGTAACCACACTGTGTGTAGGTGTTCTCTGTGTGGGTATCTTAGTTTGGGCTTTTATAACAGAAATATCATTGCCTGGGTGGCTTAAACAATGGAAATGTATTCCTTCTGGTTCTGAGGTCTGGGAAATCCAGGATTCAGATGCCATCCGAGTTGGTCCTGGTGAAGACCTCTTCCTGGTTGGCAGAGGGAATGCGTTCTTGCTGTCTTCACGTGGTAAAGAGATCATCCCTCTTGTCTCTACTGATAGGGTACTAATCCCACTCATGAGGGCTCCATCCTTATGACCTAATTAATAACCTTCTAAAGGCCCTACCTGTAAGTACCATCACAATGGGGGTTAGGGCTTCAACGTAGGACTTTTTTTTTTTTTTTTTTTGAGACAGAGTTTCGCTTTTATTGCCCGGGCTGGAGTGCAATGGCGCAATCTTGGCTCACCACAACCTCCGCCCCCCGGGTTCAAGCGATTCTCCTGCCTCAACCTTCTGAATAGCTGGGATTGCGGGCACCCGCCACCACACCCAGCTAATTTTTAGTAGAGACAGGGTCTTGCCATGTTGGTCAGGCTGGTCTTGAACTGACCTCAGGTGATCTGCCCACCTTGGCCTCCCAGAGTGCTGGGATTACAGGCGTGAGCCGCCGCGCCAGGCCAGGAATTTTTGAAAGACATAAACATTCAGTCCCTAGTAATGGAGGAAACCAGCATGTAAGTCCTATACGTAAAGTCCCATAAAGCTTTTCATCCTTTTTTATTGCCTCGCAGATACTTCCGGTGGTGGGATGCACTAGTTTTTATGTTCTAAGAAAGAAAAAAAATGGCAATAATTTATAAGGTGCCATCTATTGTAAGAAATATCTCAATTCCATAGATAAAAGAATGCCTCTTAGAATTGTTGAAACACTGGTAACTTTGAGTTATATAAACAATATATTAATCTATTCCTTTAAAATGTTATCAGCCTTTTTAAGTGGTTTTTGCATTTTGGGAGAAATATTTTCTGCTTTTAAAAATGTACTTTTCTGTATTTTTATCTTGTTTAGTCTTCCTTCCTTCCTTCCTTTTATTCTTTTTTAATTATTTAGATCTTGAATTTATATGAAATTTTTTTCTGTATGGTGGTTTTTTCACTTTTTTCTCCTTTTCCTTCTTTAATTTTTTTCTCCTTTTATTTGAAATTCTACCTCAGAAATTACACATGTACATGTTTTCAGACATTTTTTCATGAATTCACCCATTTTCTGTTCCTCTGTTCATACCACACTATTTTAGTTAATGTGATTTTAGAATATAGTTTAATATCTGATAACAGCAAGAATTAGAAAAAGGCCTAAATGACCGATAATAGATCAACTATTTAAACTATAGTAAAAGTCATCTTTCTTTGGGTCTTCCAGTCCTAATTGTTACAATGATATTTAAAGATAGCAATATTAAACTGTAAGTAAATCATGATTAACTTTTGGTAACTTTATTCTATCTATCCTGGGGTAGATTCTAAATTACAGGGTGACAGAAACTCAATATTTTTGTCAATTAAAAAATTTAGGGCTTTTTGGCCGGGCATGGTGGCTCACGCCTGTAATCCCAGCACTTTGGGAGGCTGAGACTGGCGGATCACGAGGTCAGGAGATCAAGACCATCCTGGCTAACATGGTGAAACCCCATCTCTGCTAAAAATACAAAAAATTAGCCAGGCTTGTTGGTGGGCGCCTGTAGTCCCAGCTACTCGGGAGGCTGAGGCAGAATGGCGTGAACCCGGGAGGCGGAGCTTGCAGTGAGCCAAGATCTTGCCACTGCACTTCAGCCTGGGCGACAGAGGGAGACTCCGCCTCAAAAAAAAAAAAAAATTAGTGCATTTTCTATGCATTTTTGACATTTATATACTTAAAATAAACAAATACAATCAAAATTTGTAGCCAGCCTTTTTACTTCAGCAGAGTATAATGGAAATATCTTTCTGTATTATTAAATGTCATCCTATGACATAATTTTCTATGGTTGTATAGCATTTTATGTGGTTGTACTGTAGTTTAATTAGTTGATCTATTATTGGTCATTTAGGCCTTTTCTAATTCTTGCTGTTACAAATAACACCACGGAATACATTTTTGTGAATATAGTATTGTCCATGATTATTTCCCTGGTAGGTTAATTTCTTTTGGGGCTGTGTGTGTGTGTGTGTGCGTGTGTGTATTCAGATAGCCTTCATAAACGGTTGTACCAGTTTACACTCCAACTCACAGTAAAAAGAACCATCCAATCTCTTTTCCAAAAAATATAAAAATATACAAAATGTAAGTCTTCTGTGTTTCAGTTTCCTAAAAATCTTAACAAATGCCACACATTCATATGGCACCCACTGAATGCCTGCCATTGTGCCTAGGAGACAGAAATGAGTGCATAGAATTGTAACTTGTGCAGTGTTTCCACTTGGAGTAGTCAATGCCAAGTTGTCCAACAGTGTATGATGCTACCCTTTTCTCTGTATCCTTGCTAATACTTATTAGTTTCAGATATTTTCATTTTTGTTAATCTTGGCCAAAGATACATATGACAGAAGTCTTTGTTTTCCACGCCCTTAAGGCATTGGGATAGGGTATGGAAAGGGAGGTAATCCAGATGGACAACAGTAACACACACTGTGATCAGTGCTATGAAAGAGGTGGGAGAGGGTTGTTTGGGGACATAGAGGAGAAGGTAAGGGTGGGCAAGGAAGGTGTCATGAAGGAAGGGAAGCTTGGCTGTTTTGAATGTAGAGTGTAAGAGTTCTCCAAATGAACCAGGAACCAGGGTGTGGTGATGAAGGCCATTTATATAGAACAGCAGCACGTTCTGGGGCTCAGGGCTGTGGGCCTGAAGGATGCATTAGGGGAAGTGCAAGTAATTGCAGGATGAGGCTATTTGATAGAAGATCAGGTCAAAAACATAAGAGACCAGCTCATGAATAGCACCATAGACAAAGTTGTGGGGTTTAGACTTTATTCCATAAATGGGAGGAAGTCTTGCTGGGTTTTAGTAGGAGCCGACATGGTCTGAATAGGTCTATGATATAATGGAAAGCATAGAGTTAATTATGTTTTGGATGTGGGGTGGTTGTAAGACCTGACATTTCTTAGGGAAGTAACATTGGTCTTAAAAGGAATCAGGCTATTGAGGACATGGAGGATTTTCAACATAGGGTATTTCAGCCACCTGCCTATTTCCAAAGGAGGAGGTATAGCCCTGCCAGCATGCTTTTCCCAGCAAAGGTTAGTCTATTCTTAGACACACAATTCTTTGCTGAGTCCTAGCCTGTACTGTGTTAGCATTTATTCCTTTTTCAGTCTCCCCGGAGAGTGTGTACTCTGAGAGAAACAGCATTCCCGCCAGTTCAAGGTCCATACTCCGAAAGGTCTTGGACATTCCTAAGGAGAGCTTGGTCTCCTCCTAGTTTTTGCCCTCTCTCCAGGAGGCAGATCTTAAGGGTATTGTTCACATGCTGTGCCCCAGGGTCCTCTGAGTTAGGTCCAGCTCAGAGGCCCTAATCATGACAGAGGAACGATTATTGCTACAGTGCACTTCCACCTTGCCTCTCACAAAGGAGGGCCTGATGTGAAGCTGACGCCGTATTTTTGTAGATCTGTCAACCTGTGATTCTAGCTGGTTACAAACAGAGCAATGATCATGTTTTGATACCTTACTTCTGATGACTGAAAGCGATAAGCTTTTTATAAATGTGCATTTAGGTTTCAATTCCTCGTACCCACACCCTCTCCCTTGTATGCTTGTATTTAAAGCCAACTATATTCATATATTTGCTTTGCAGTACAACTTGAAACTCACTGTCTCCTCACTATAACATTAGATGTCAAATGAATTACTTTTTGCCATTTTTCTTACAAGATTTTTGATCTCAAAAATGTGTAAATTTATTTTTAACTCTTCTTTTTTACTTGTATCTTTTTAGTCTAAATTGAAAAGCAACTTTTGTCTTTAGAGCATTTATTTCTGGCATCTCCATTGGAAGATTTTTTTTTTTTCACACATCATACAAAGCATTACAGGTGAAAAGAAATGTAAGTAATAAAAAAAGTCTTCCAAGAAAAAAAATGTGCGTGTGTGTGTGTGTGTGTGTGTGTGTGTGTGCGTGCGTGTGTGTGTATGAATGAAGGGACAGAGCCAGTATGAAGAAAGTAAAAGTTGAAGATTAGGCCATTGCCAGGTATGACATAGAACTTTAAGTAACAAAGTTGACCAGATGCGGTGGCTCGTACGTGTCATCCCAGCACTTTGGGAGATCAAGGTGGGTGGATCACTTGAGGCCAGGAGTTCAAAACCAGCCTGGCCAACATAGTGAAACCCCGTCTCTACTAAAAATACAAAAATTAGCCTGGCGTGGTGGTGGGCGCCTGTAATCCCAGCTACTCGGGAGGCTGAGCAGGAGAATTGGTTGAGCCTGGGAGGCGGAGGTTGCAGTGAGCGATCCGAGATTGCACCACCACACTCCAGCCTGGGTGACAGAGCAAGATTCCGTCTGGGGGAAAAAAAAAGAAAAAGAAAAAGAAAGAAAGTAAGTTATTTAGGTTTGGTTAAGAGGAAACTAGTACAGACTGTAGAATAGTGTTGTTTAGACAGTAGCTCTGTAAGTACCACCTGTGACTGTGATGCATTCACTTTGATCTTGAGGATAACTTGTCTCAAAGACAACTGATTACTTGATTTTATGAGATCAGGCTTTTCAAAGTATGGGCCTGGCATACCTGGGAGCTTGTTAGGAATGCAAATTTTAGGGCGCTGCACCAGACCTACTGCATCAGAATCTCGGGTCAGTGGAGTGCAGCAGTGCTGAAGTTTGAGACCCACTGTATCAGAGCACAGAATGCAGAGAAGATAATGGCTCTTTGGGCCAGCAGCACTAGGGGAAAAACATACACAGTCATGTATCACTTAACAATAATGTTCTGAGAAATGCATAGGCAGTCTTGTGCCAACATCATGCACTGACATACACAAACCTAGATGGTATAGTCTACTGCACACCTACACTGTCTGGTATAGCCTGTTGCTCTGAGGCTTCAAGCCTGTATAGCACGTTACTCTACTGAATAGTGTAGGCAGTTGTAATGCAAAGGTAAGTATTTGTGTATCTAACCTATCTAAACATAGAAAAGGTGTAGTAAAAATATGGTATAAATAATCATCTGGGACCACCATTAGGTATGTGGTCCATCATTGACCAGAATATTGTTGTGAATGTGTTGCATGACTGGAAAAGGAGAGCTAGACAACACTGACTACTTCAGGGGAAGAGAACTGGCGGCTAATGGCAAGGATGAAAGGAAAACTTTTTATTGTGTACCTTTGTTTACTTTTTGAATTTTATGCTTTTAAGCCATACAGAAATATTTTTTAAAACGTTAGCTTTATTTACATCATGAAGTTTAAGTATGTTTCTCAGGAATTTTCTTCTTTAACATCATAAATAAAGAAAAACTCAAAAAAAATGATTTCATCATGCCTTCTATGTTAATTACTCTTTCTTGTATTTTACATCTTTCCAGTAAATTTCAGTTCCTAAATTCACACACAGTTCCACATAGGAAGCTAAAGAGGCATAATCCAGATTAAGAACCAAAAATGAAACAGAAATAGGATACAGTTGAATCATCTGTGTAACAAATAAAGAAAAAGCCTGGGAACTATAAAGCTATGGAAAATGAAAGAGGCTCACTGAGATGAACCAGAGTGTATAAATGCTGAATTCAATACAGTGCCAAGTATTTAGAGTGTTTTTTTGCATTGAGGTTATTGTGGCTGTGAACAAGGATTACCATCCACAGCTAGAAGAGAAATCCCCCGGGACAGAATCTCTAAAACAGGGTCCTCAGTTACATAACTAGCGATTTATGAAATGTGCTTATATTGTATGTGATGTCATGACATCATTTCTTGGTCTTCTGCTCAGAATTAGGTAGTTTGACTATAAAATCTACTATTTGGGGACACATTTGCTGCTCTGCAAGGTTACTGTTACCATTGCTGCAGTCAAGTGGCATATACTTAAGGGACTGGAGTCCTGAAGGTCTGTGTTGATTCTGGGAGGTGTGCACATATGTGGGTCCAGTGTTCTTTACAAAGGCCCCCTGTGCGGCATCTGTCGTACTTCTTATTTGTTCAGCATATCCCTTGGCTTGTGATGGAAGATACACAATCTGTACCTTTGTCTGAAGGAGATACCAGCTCCTGAGTGGCCTTTTACATCATCCTTAGGTGGGGATAGTTAACGTAAAAAAAAAAAAAACCGGCGAGGGAGAAAAGGCCGTCTTAGCCATAGTTGGCAGCCCCTAGCCCTTTAGCCTAAGGAAGTCTACAGAGACTACGGCACTTGGGTGCAGACTTTTAATGAACCCATCTTTTGTTGTTTTTGTCCATTGCACTGTCTGTGTGTAACACACATGTCCCGGTTCTCGCCCCTGATCCTGATGGTTCCAAGGAGCGTGGATGGATACTTTCAAGACCAACCAGACTACTACGTGGCTTAGTGTAGATATGGCGATAAAACACTTGTGCTTTGGAAAACGTAAAAATCCCGAACTTAGATCTTGACCAGTAAGTGAAGAGGAACTGAATTTTAACTATTTGCTGAAAAATCTATCATTTTGGAAGCATTAAAAAAAATTAAACTGTAAACTGAGTGCACACATCTTAACCCTAAATACATACACACATACACACAACCAGCCACAAAATAGTGTTATTTCCTTAAATGCCACACACTGTCTAGTTCTAGAAGTGAAAAGGACCTTCTTGTCTTTTCAGAAGTGTGTGTTTTGAGTATGTAATGAGATTACCTTTCTGTGGCTTTGGAGAGTTAATTTCAGCGCTTTATTGTCAGATCTTCTCTGTAAGAAATGTGATAGGGATTTCCCATTCAATCTGGAACTAAGAATTCAGATTGACACTTGAGCTTTGTACCTCAGATAGCGTTTTTCCTCATCTCCTGTTATATATCAAGCAGCTGAGATTGGTTTTTAAAAAAGTGAAGATTGAATTGTCTTCACACATTTATTGTGAACTTGCAGAAAATGGAAAGGATTATGCTTTAAAGACAGTTGGCTTGGCTGGATAGAAAAGATCCCTCTGTCCTGTTTCCCTGTCCTCCTTCCCACATCGATTTAAAAAATTAGATGCAAATGCAAAATCCTTAAATTATAGATTTATGATGAATTTAAATTCTGGTAGAATCAAGGTTTTATAACATTTAAAGTGTCTGACACTAAGTGTATATAATCTTTTAAGAAACGTCTTCTTAACAGCGCATGGTATTCTGTGACTGTTCGTGTACCATGAATATTCTTATTGGGTTCTAGAGTTAGTTACTGACTCTTGAAGATGGGCATCTAATGGTCCTCCTGTGGAAGTGGAGAGCAGCTCTCCACTGTTTGATAACATTTAAAGCCAAGGGTGAACCACTCAAGAAACATTTGGTGGTTATAATATTTTTTTGTTGTTGTTAAGTACCATCAATAAAACTGAAAAATCTCTTAAGTACCTGACTCCTGCAATGATACAACTGCAGTGATAAACCTTTTAGCTTTTTACATCAGGGGTATTAGGTATTTTCTCACAGAAATAGCCTTTTGAGGTGAAATTCACATAACATACAATTAACCATTGTAAAATGAACAATTCAGTGGCGTGTAAGAGTATGTTTACAATGTTGAGCAACCATCACCTCTGTCTAGTTGCAAAATGTTTTCATCACTCCAAAAGAAACTCCTTTATTCATCATAGCCCAAAGTTGGAAGTATTTTCTTGATTGGGCTCTTGATTACATGGATGCATCTGAGTCATTGAATTGAAGCCTAAGATGTGCTTAATTTCACTGTGTGTAAGTTTCACCTCAGTTAACAAGAGAGAACAGAACAAACCAAAAATCTTAATTCTTTTGAAAAAAAGACTTTCTGGCTGCTTTATTAAAGAAGCCAGGGGAACAAGGTTAAAAGGAAATCAGTTAGCAGTGACCAAGGCAAGAGATGATGGTGGCTTGGCTGAAGATGGTGACAGTGGAGGTGGTAAGGTGATCAGATTCTGGATATATTTTGAAGGTTGAGCTAATTTGGTCAGCTGATGGGCATAATGGATGTGAGGGAAAGAAAGTTGGAAAGGATGATGTGAAGATTTTTAATGGGATGGAATAGGTGTTTAATGAACAGCCATTTAACAACATCAGGGTAATTTCATCTTGTGTATCATTCTCTACAACAGGGTTATACTCTAGGACAGTAGAGTACTGCGGGTACTCTAGGTGGTACTTGGATAAACATCATTAAAACTGCCTCACTTTGATGACTAAACAACTGCTTTCCTGCAGTCCCACTTAATGAGATGTACTACTAGAACTGGTCATTCGGAAGATCAGGCATTTGGTTTTAAATATGCATATACCTGTTTGACATCTGAGATGGGCTATCAAATAGGCAGTTGTGATGAAGGAGACGGGAGTTCAGAGGTCTGACTGAGACCTATAAAATCTGGAGCGTCAGCACAGATAGTAAAGCCCTGAGATTGAATGACTTTCCCACAGGAGTGAGTGTAGACAGGAAGGCCTGGGAACTGAGCCTGGATGCACTGGGGCTTTAGAGGTCAGGGAGAGGAGAAGAATCCAGCAAAGGGGAGTGCGAAGGTCTGGCCAGTGGGGTAAGGTGAAAACCAGATCAGTGTGGTTTCCTGTTTCTAGTAGAAAAAGCTCAACCAAACATTCAGATTGTCCTTTACGTATTAACTTCATTCTAGCTAATTTGTTGTTTAATTAGTCCCGTATTAATTGGTAAAGCCGTAAAGATTTTGATGGCTTAACTCTTCTATTTTTTACCCTCCACTGATAAATCAAATGCATGTCGTTTTATGTGAAAACTGAAATAGAAAAATGCAGTCTAATTTTAGTGTGAACTATGCATTGAAATAGCCATGTCCTCCTTAGGTAACAGTATTCAAAATTTTAAGATAAAATCGTATTGCTTCATTAAATTTCAACTGGTTAACGTCAAATCAGTGTTAAAACTATACCGTAATAGCCCTGGGGTAGACACATTAATGGCGCCCCCCGCAGTGTCCATATTCCAATCCCCAGACCTATAAATATGTAACCGCACATTGTAAAGGAGACTTTACAGAGGTGATTAAGGATTTGGGGATGAAGCAGTTATCCAGGATTATCTGGGTAAGGTGGGCCTGATGTAGCCACAAGGGGCCTCCTAAGTGAAAGAGAGAGGTAGGGTGGCCAGAACTAGAGAGAGGTTTGAAGGTGTTACACCACTAGCTTTGAAGGCAGAGGAAGGGGCCACAAGCCAATGAATATATGTGGTCCCTAGAAGCTGGAAAAGGCCAGGGAGTGGATTCTTCTCTAGAGTCTCCAGAAGAAATGTGGCCCTTCTGACACCTTCATTTAGTCCACAGAACTATAATTTATCTTAGTTTAAGCCACTGGTAAGTGTAATTGTAATTGTAATTTGTTACATCTGCTATAGTGAAACTAATACTGAAATTTAGAAAAGATGGGTAACTTATTATGTGGTGAAGTTTAAAAAAGATAAGTAACTCGTTGAAGATCACATAATTAGAAAAGAAAGCAGTAGAGCTTGGCCTTGAACTCAACCAGTGTGACTCCAGAGCTTGTAGAACAGAATAACCACCTCCAAGGCCAGCTGAATCTGACCACAGTCTGGTGGAATTCTAGTACATCTCGTTAAGAAGTGGGATTGCCGGAAGGGAGTTGGTTATTCATGAAAGTGATGATGTTTATCCAATGTACCACCTAGAGTACCCTTAGTACTCTACTGTCCTAGAGTATAACCCTGTTGTAAAGAATGATACACAAGACAAACTTACCCTGATGTTGTTAAATATATGTTAGATGACCAGTTGCTTTGATTTCTTTGCTCAATAAACATTGGATTACAGCTGGTTTGCTGTGTGGCATGCCTACATGGAGGGAACACACTGAGCCAATGATTTCATCATCTGGGTCCCTTTGGTTTATATCAGTTTCCAACATGACTTGTTTGTGGGGCTTGTGGGAGGGGCACATACATCGGCCCCAGGATTCTAACATCTCCTGGTCTCTGAGGTTATAATTTTCACTTAACATTGTCGAGTTGGCATTTTGGTTTTAGTCCAATGGTTCAGTTCTTTGAAACTGACTCCAGAGATGGCTCTGTTCATTAATAGATTGTTTTGTTGACCCTGTGAGGATTAGTCTGTGGATCTTGGAAATTCGGCAGGTGACTACAATTCTAGAAGGCCTCTTGTGAGATATAAGGTGTTTTCCTTAAGTGACATGGCCCTGCGTTGCAAAGCTGAGAAGTAATATGAAGGAGCGTTTTGTAAGTTTGAATCTCTATAATCAAAAACCAGACTAATGACACATTCGCTTTTAGAACTTAAAAAAAAAAATTCAAGAACTGAGTAGTAGGCCAAAAACAAGATAAAATGTAGCATAACAAAATGTAGAGTTTTGTACTTTATCACTTAAAAAACGCCAAAGTAGGCCGGGCACAGTGGCTCACGCCTGTAATCCCAGCACTTTGGGAGGCCGAGGTGGGCGGATCACAAGGTCAGGAGTTCAAGACCAGCCTGACCAATATAGTGAACCCCGTCTTTACTAAAAATACAAAAATTAGCCGGGCGTGGTAGTGCACGCCTGTAATCCTAGCTACTCAGGAGGCTGAGGCAGGAGAATAGTTTGAACCTGGGAGGCGGAGGTTGCAGTGAGCCGAGATCATGCCACTGCACTTCAGTCTGGGCGACAGAGGGAGACTCTGTCTCAAAAAAACAAAACAAAACAAAAAAAACAAAAACCACCAAAAAAAAACTGCCAAAGTATAGGTCATAGAAGAGCAGACTTACTTGGTGTTTGCAAGAAAGACAAAGAGATTTAGAGTTTCCATCAAGTTTGTTGTGAGTTACTAGGAGGTAGTGCCAGAGAAGCAACATGGCATTAGGCTGCATGGGTAGAAGTATAGTACTGAGAACACGGGAGAGCATCGGTTTTGTTGTACTTGGGACTAAACATTCTGAGGGTCCTGGACGTTTTATGAGAGGCTTTGGTAAACTGAAGAGTGATGTAGGTACAGATGCACAGATGTAGAACAGTGGACAGAAATGGAAATATTTAACCTGGAGAGGAATTTAGGTTGGAGGAAGGGAACACAGTTGTTTTTAGTTTTTTGCAGGTATGGAATTTGTACTGCAATTAAGGAACAGGGAAAAGTCCTCTCTGTCCTTCGCACGGCTGTTTATTAGGTATTTCAGTTAGAGTGTATAGGTCTCAGGAAGCCATGAGGATCTTCTCTGGGTGGTGACAGGACTCACATCATCTCCGTTATGGCCCTGCAACAAAACTTCACAATTCTGTATGTTTCCTGCCTAGTAAGCTCCCACCTGTTCTGTGGTAATTAATCTCATACTCAACCATGGAGTTGTTTCTAGATCTTGGTGTGTTGTCCTCCCTCCCCTTTGCCTAAAATCAATAACCTGAGCACACCTAAAGGTGTCTTCAGGCCTCGATGTGCCCTGTGAATTGTGCGGGGTTCTAGGGTCTCTGTACGTAAGGAGATGGTCTGCATTTGCCTGGCCCCTCTTGCAGGAAGAGCAGCAGCGGTTGCCTCGCCTCCGGTCCTCAGCTTGGTCCTTAGCAGGGTGAGCAGGGCCAGAGTCATGGGCATGTGACCTGTGCACTCCCTCATGGCCCCACGCTTGCTTTCACATTTTCCTACTGGCATCAATACTTTTTTTTTCTTTTCTTTTTCTTTTTTTTTTTTTTTGAGACAGAGTCTTGCTCTGTTGCCCATGCTGGAGTGCAGTGGCGTGATCTCGGCTCACTGCAAGCTCCACCTCCCGGGTTCACGCCATTCTCCTGCCTCAGCCTCCCGAGTAGCTGGGACTACAGGCATCTGCCACCACGCCCGGCTAATTTTTTTTTTTTTTTTAATAGTAGTGACGGGGTTTCACCCTGTTAGCCAGGATGGTCTCAATCTCCTGAGCTCATGATTCACCTGCCTCAGCCTCCGAAAGTGCTGGGATTACAGGCGTGAGCCCCTGCGCCAGCCCAGCATCAATACTTTTTTTAAAAAGTGCCCTGTATTTTCCTCATGCCCTGGAGATAATGGAGCCGTCTTTTACTCACTGCCCACTTCTCATCTCTGTCTGCTCCTGCTTCCTCTTGTTGGCTTCCTGTGCCTCCCTCCAACCTTCTCCTACCCCCCTGCAGTGTTTTAAACTCTCTTTTCTTCTTAATTTCTGTTCGCCTCAACCAACCCTAAAGTGCTCTTGTACTCACAGTTAGGCTTTTATAATTGCTTGATCAGTTTACCAGTCAATTTCAGTATTTTGTTGAGCTTTGACAAAGATTTTTATTCTAATTCTATGGAGCCCATGTAATAATTGTTTTTTCAGCTTCTGCTTGTGACTTCTCTACTTCAAAAAATGTACGTGCTTGTTTCTGCCAGTTACATCCCATGTTTCATTGGATGTGTGTACTGTGTTCACATCGAGTTGGCCCCACCGCTGAGTGGGTTATTGATGATCTCAAGAGTCCAGTAGAAATGAAGGGTAGAAACTTAGCCACATCCTGGTTTGTGTTTTGCCTAACAGAGGGGTTTCACTTTCCTCTTTGGTAAGATGAATATGCTTGATAATAGAATAGCATTAAGGTTGGCTTTTTTCTCCCTCAAATGATTAAACTGTAGTTTCATATGTAAATGCCAGTAAATTAGAATCATTCTAGTAGGGAAGATAAAGTAAATAAGTAAAAATATAGTATGTTAGTAGGAAATCGTGCTAGAGAGAGAGAGCTCAAGCAGGACAGGAGGGGCCTAGAGATTGCTTGGGATTTGATGAAGAGACAGGACTGTTTTAGAGAGGCTGCTCACGGCAGTGCCTCTGAGCAGGTAGCACTGGAGCCGATCCTCTGCTGCGATGAGGTGGCAAGCCAAGAACATCATGAGGGAGGGAAGGGCAGTCCCAGAAGAGAGAGCACAGTGCAGGTGCCAGGTGGGGACCACGGGACACTGGAACTGCCTTGGTGTGTTTATTTCCAAATAGTGTCTGGCATTACACTGAGATGAGGAGACTTTTTTGTTTTTCATTTTTTGTTTTTTTTTCCCGGGGTAGGGGTGCATATTGGATTTCTTCAGGAGATTCAGCCTCTTGAAAAATATGAAATATAGACAAGTATATATACATAAAGATATATTTGAGTATTTTAAACTTTATATAGCCAAGTATCTTAAACTCTGCACTCTTGAATTTTTAATCCTCGTGTATATCCATTATGATTATTTCTATTAGTTCCAGTTTGAGGTTGGTGATGATATTGTCATAGAAGCTTTGTCAGGCTTCACATTGTAGCAGCTGGTCTGGAAGGTGGGGCATATCCTTGTTCAATGTGACTACTTTAGTTGCCTGTCCAATATGAAGTAGAAAAGCAGATTTCTGGATTACAGTATTTGTCAACATAGAATTTGCCGATTTAAAAAAAAACAAAAAATCTTTATGTTTATAATGACAAGGTCCATAACCAGATTGTTGTTGGCAACTTAAAGCAAGTTGTCAAGAGAAATATTGTAAATGGTTTTGTTTGTGTGTGGGGCATGGGCTTTTTTTTTTTTTTTTCCTTCTACACAGAGTCACTCTGCCACCCAGGCTGGAGTGCAGTGGCACAATCTCGGCTCACTGCGACCTCCACCTCCCAGGTTCAAGCCATTCTCCTGCCTCAGCCTCCCGAGTAGCTGGCATTGCAGGTGTGTGCCACCACACCTGGCTATTTTTTGTATTTTTAGTAGAGACGAGGTTTCACCATGTTGGCCGGGCTGGTCTGGAACTCCTGATTTCAGGTGATCCACCCACCTCGGCCTCCCAAAGTGCTGGGATTACAGGCGTGAGCCACTGCACCCGGCAGAGGCATGGGCTTTTTAATCACTTAAATTTTAACTTATTGTGTTAGTGAGCTTGTTTATTCCATTGCTACATGAATTGTGTGTTACTTTTTCCTGTCTAGTTTTCCCCTGGAAAACAGAATCAACCATACCAAATATTAGTGAGGGTCCAAGTCAGATTAAATAGTATGAGTCAATCTGCCCTCAAAATAAATATGAACTAAAATGAGATGCTAACAGATTGACAGTGATTACCAATGGTAAACAGACCATGAGGAGAGGTTTAAGCTGTCACTAACTTTTTGAAGAACAATTACATTATTTACCAATTATGGTGGCCTGATACCTAAAGAATTGGCCTGATATCTAAAGAATATCTTATTTTCTAAATAAGAGTGCCAATGGAAAAATGTCAAAATCTTATACCTGCCACTGCTTACGCACCCATTGGCTAGTAGTCAGCAGTGACAGTAATTGTGAGACTCCTGTCATTTTGGGCAGGTGGAGGGGCCTGTGAGGGCCAAAATCTAGCCATGCTGACATGATTATGCCTCCTGTCATCCTGCTGAATGGTTCAGCTATATAACTAAAGTATTCTATCTCTGGTTAGTGTTGATTTGGGGCAAATATGAGATCTGTAAAGTAAAATGGACAAATAATAGTTTCGTAGCACATTCAGCTTTGCCTCCTTCCTAGAGACTGATCTTCAGTGACGTTTTACCAGGCAGCCTGACTGGTTTCATGTCTTCTGTCTGTAATAGTGGGTGTCCCATAAAAAGGCAAGACCGTATTTTCAAAGGAGCTGGGCTTGGAGACTTAAGATCACTGAAAGAGACTGTGGCAACAGCAGTTCATCTGGATTGGCCTTGTGTCTGGGATGGAAGAGATGAAAAACAATTGATTATCACTCACTTTATGGCACACTCTGTGCTATTGAATATTGAATATCCCATTGTGTGTGATGTTCCCCTTCCTGTATCCAAGTGTTCTTATTGTTCAATTCCCACCTATGAGTGAGAACATGTGGTATATGGTTTTTTGTCCTGGCGATAGTTTGCTGAGAATGATGGTTTCCAGCTTCATCCACGTCCCTACAAAGGACATGAACTCATCATTTTTTATGGCTGCATAGTATTCCATTGTGTATATGTGCCACATTTTCTTAATCCAGTCTATCATTGTTGGACATTTGGGTTGGTTCCAAGTCTTTGCTATAGTGAATAGTGCCGCAATAAACATATGTGTGCATGTGTCTTTATAGCAGCATGATTTATAATCCTTTGGGTATATACCCAGTAATGGGATGGCTGGGTCAAATGGTGTTTCCCGTTCTAGATCCCTGAGGAATCGCCACACTGACTTCCACAATGGTTGAACTAGTTTACAGTCCCACCAACAGTGTAAAAGTGTTCCTGTTTCTCCACATCCTCTCCAGCACCTGTTGTTTCCTGACTTTTTAATGATCGCCATTCTAACAGGTGTGAGATGGTATCTCATTGTGGTTTTAATTTGCATTTCTCTGATGGCCAGTGATGATGAGCATTTTTTCATGTGTTTTTTGGCTGCATAAATGTCTTTTGAGAAGTGTCTGTTCATATCCTTCGCTCACTTTTTGATGGGGTTGTTTGTTTTTTTCTTGTAAATTTGTTTGAGTTCGTTGTAGATTCTGGATATTAGCCGTTTGTCAGATGAGGAGGTTGCAAAAATTTTCTCCCATTCTGTAGGTTGCCTGTTCACTCTGATGGTAGTTTCTTTTGCTGTGCAAAAGCTCTTTAGTTTAAACAGATCCCATTTGTCAATTTTGGCTTTTGTTGCCATTGCTTTTGGTGTTTTAGACATGAAGTCCTCACCCATGCCTATGTCCTGAGTGGTATTGCCTAGGTTTTCTTCTAGGGTTTTTATGGTTTTAGGTCTAACATGTAAGGCTTTAATCCATCTTGAATTAATTTTTGTCTAAGGTGTAAGGAAGGGATCCAGTTTCAGCTTTCTCCATATGGCTAGCCAGTTTTCCCAGCACCATTTATTAAATAGGGAATCCTTTCCCCATTGCTTGTTTTTCTCAGGTTTGTCAAAGATCAGATAGTTGTAGATATGCGGCATTATTTCTGAGGGCTCTGATCTGTTCCATTGGTCTATATCTCTGTTTTGGTACCAGTACCATGCTGTTTTGGTGACTGTAGCCTCGTAGTATAGTTTGAAGTCAGGTAGTGTGATACCTCCAGCTTTGTTCTTTTTGCTTAGGATTGACTTGGCGATGCGGGCTCTTTTTTGGTTCCATATGAGCTTTAAAGTAGTTTTTTCCAATTCTGTGAAGAAAGTCATTGGTAGCTTGATGGGGATGGCATTGAATCTATAAATTACCTTGGGCAGTATGGCCATTTTCACGATATTGATTCTTCCTACCCATGAGCATGGAATGTTATTCCATTTGTTTGTATCCTCTTTTATTTCGTTGAGCAGTGGTTTGTAGTTCTCCTTGAAGAGGTCCTTCACATCCCTTGTAAGTTGGATTCCTAGACATTTTATTCTCTGTGAAGCAATTGTGAATGGGAGTTTACTCATGATTTGGCTCTCTGTTTGTCTGTTATTGGTGTATAAGAATGCTTGTGATTTTTGCGCATTGATTTTGTATCCTGAGACTTCGCTGAGTTTGCTTATCAGCTTAAGGAGATTTTGGGCTGAGGCGATGGGGTTTTCTAGATATACAATCATGTCATCTGCAAACAGGGACAATTTGACTTCCTCTTTTCTTACTTGAATGCCCTTTATTTCCTTCTGCTGCCTGATTGCCCTGGCCAGAACTTCCAACACTATGTTGAATAGGAGTGGTGAGAGAGCGCCTCCCTGTCTTCTGCCAGTTTTCAAAGGGAATGCTTTCAGTTTTTGTCCATTCAGTATGTTATTGGCTGTGGGTTTGTCATAGATAGCTCTTATTATTTTGAGATATGTCCCATCAATACCTAATTTATTGAGAGTTTTTAGCATGAAGCGTTGTTGAATTTTGTCAAAGGCCTTTTCTGCATCTATTGAGATAATCATGTGGTTTTTGTCTTTGGTTCTGTTTATATGCTGGATTACGTTTATTGATTTTCGTATGTTGAACCAGCCTTGCATCCAGGGATGAAGCCCACTTGATCATGGTGGATAAGCTTTTTGATGTGCTGCTGGATTCGGTTTGCCAGTATTTTATTGAGGATTTTTGCATCAATGTTCATCAAGGATATTGGTCTAAAATTCTCAGTATGTTGTATTCAGGAAACCCATCTCACGTGCAGAGACACACATAGGCTCAAAATAAAGGGATGGAGGAAGATCTACCAAGTAAATAGAAAACAAAAAAAAGGCAGGGTTTGCAATCCTAGTCTCGGATAAAACAGACTTTAAACCAACAAAGATCAAAAGAGACAAGGCCATTACATAATGGTAAAGGGATCAATTCAACAAGAAGAGCTAACTGTCCTAAATATATGTGCACCCAATGCAGGAGCACCCAGATTCATAAAGCAAGTCCTTAGTGACCTACAAAGAGACTTAGACTCCCACACAATAATAATGGGAGACTTTACCACCCCACTGTCAACATTAGACAGATCAACGAGACAGAAAGTTAACAAGGCTATCCAGGAATTGAACTCAACTCTGCACCAAGCGGACCTAATAGACATCTACAGAACTCTCCACCCCAAATCAACAGAATATACATTCTTTTCAGCACGACACCACACCTATTCCAAAATTGACCACATAGTTGGAAGTAAAGCACTCCTCAGCAAATGTAAAAGAACAGAAATTATAACAAACTGTCTCTCAGACCACAGTGCAAACAAACTAGAACTCAGGATTAAGAAACTCACTCAAAACTGCTCAACTACATGGAAACTGAACAACCTGCTCCTGAATGACTACTGGGTACATAACGAAATGAAGGCAGAAATAAAGATGTTCTTTGAAACCAACGAGAACAAAGACACAACATACCAGAATCTCTCAGACACATTCAAAGCAGTGTATAGAGTGAAAGTTATAGCACTAAATGCCCACAAGAGAAAGCAGGAAAGATCTAAAATTGACACCCTAACATCACAATTAAAAGATCTAGAGAAGCAAGAGCAAACACATTCAAAAGCTAACAGAAGGCAAGAAATAACTAAGATCAGGGCAGAACTGAAGGAAATAGAGACACAAAAAACCCTTCAAAAAATCAGTGAATCCAGGAGCTGGTTTTTTGAAAAGATCAGCCAAATTGATAGACCACTAGCAAGACTAATAAAGAAGAAAAGAGAGAAGAATCAAATAGATGCAATAAAAAATGATAAAGGGGATATCACCACCGATCCCACAGAAATACAAACTACCATCAGAGAATACTATAAACACCTCTACACAAATAAACTAGAAAGTCTAGAAGAAATGGATAAATGCCTTGACACATACACTCTCCCAGGACGAAACCAGGAAGAAGTTGAATCTCTGAATAGACCAATAACAGGCTCTGAAATTGAGGCAATAGTTAATAGCTTACCAACTAAAAAAAGTCCAGGACCAGAGGGTTTCACAGATGAATTCTACCAGAGGTACAAGGAGGAGCTGGTACCATTCCTTCTGAAACTATTCCAATCAATAGAAAAAGAGGGAATCCTCCCTAACTCATTTTATGAGGCCAGCATCATCCAGATACCAAAGCCTGGCAGAGATACAACAAAAGAAAAGAAAGGTAACATTTTTTTAAACCAGCTTCCCCTTGACAGACAGTTGGGCTTGTTTTGCAGATTTTTTCTTTCATTTTTTTGTATATTAAGAGTACTACTGTATTGTGGTTATAAACAATGTCCTCGTACAAATATTTTTGCTTACGTGTGAGAAGAAATAAGAATCTGGTCCCAGAAGTTAAATTTCTGGGTCAAAAGCATGCAGATTTTAACATTTTGGTAAATAACGTCATTATTCTTCAAAAAGTTGGTGCTGGTGTATACCTCTCCTAACGGTCTGTTTGGATGCCTGGTCCCCCACACTCTCGGTATTCCCTGTCACTCTGTTAGCGTCTCATTTGGGTTTATATTGCTTTTGAATGGGTTTGAAGTTATTTTTCTGTATTTATTGGTCTTGTTTTCCTTGATGAATTGTCTGTAATTGTTGCACAGTTTTCATGGGGTTTTCTTTTTCTTGGGAATTTATAAGAACTGTATTCATATTAATATTTACTAGAATTTTTTCTCAGTTTATGTTGTTTGTTTATAAGTGGTTTTTTGGCCACTTTTTAATCAGTTGTGTTCTTTTTTGGCTCCTAGGGTTTATGTCATAATTAAAGTTCTTCATGTGCCTTAAAATGTACTTTTAAAAATTTCAGCCATATTTTCTTTGAACATTTTTATGGTTTCACATTTTTATGGTTTCACATTTTCAGATTAAATGTGACATTTCTGGATGTTATTTTGGCTTAAGGAATGAAGATAGAGATGCTGCCTTAAGTTTCCCAAATGGCCAGCCGCTGTCTCCACGCCGTCATTCAGACATTCTGTTTTCTTCCTGTGGAATCCTTCAGTTTGGGATTTTCTGACTGATAAATGTGTTGTGTTTAGGGTGCAAGCTGCATATGTGAAGTTGCAGGACTCCCACAGAAATTAAGAATGCTGTTGGTTTTTGCTGGGTTAGGAGACAAGAGGCGTATGTGTCAGACAGGAAATCTTAGAATCTGTCAGGTTCTGGGAGCAGAAAGAAAACTTCTAAGAGGGGACTGCAGTGTTCAGGTTGCAGTTTCACCCCTAGTGTATCATGGGGGTTAACCCTTTCTGCAAAAAAGATTCAGTCTAAACTAAGGAAACAGTTTTTCATGAAAATATCTTTGACGTTGAATGTTCTTAAATAAATAGCATTTGTTTTTATAGAAGTTTGACTCTATAGTTAGTCTAAATTTGTAACTAACTCACTAGAATTCATCAATCCTATTAAATGGGAGACAGTGTAATATTACTGAAGTGGTGGATGGAGTTTTATGAGTAGTAAAAGTTAAGACTAAGTATATAGTTAGTAAGCTGAAATATACCTCTGAGGATTCAGCCTCCTTATTTTATCATCAAAGGCCTAAAGTGGAAGTAGTGAAAGTTTTGGAGTTAGGACAGTGTCGCAGTTGTTGTCGACTGTAACCTGCATTACAAAACATCAAGTGGTTGAAGGAAAAAGGGGGAAATGGCAGCTGTGACTGTGGCATGGATGAGGTTGTGAGATGTAAGGGGGACATCTGAGTTCGGGAGGCGAATGAAACCTCTCAGCTGCTTTTAGTTCTTGCCAACGAATGGTAGCAAATAGGCCTGGTGTAGTGGCTCCTGCCTGTAATCCCAGCACTTTGGGAGGCTGAGACAGGTGGATCACCTGTGGTCAGGAGTGCGAGACCAGCCTGGCCAACATGGAGAAACCCCGTCTCTACTAAAAATGCAAAAATTAGCCAGGTGTGGCGATGGGCCCCTGTAATCCCAGGTACTCAGGAGGCTAAGGCAGGAGAATCGCTTGAACCCAGGAGGTGGAGGTTGCAGTGAGCCAAGATTGTGTCACTGCATTCCAGCCTGCATAACAGAGCAAGACTCTTGTCTCAAAAAAAGAGAGAAAAGTCAAGTAAGAGTTGAGCTGTGGGTAGCCGACAGGTTCTCTGTGTTGACACAGGACAAATTTGGGATACATAGATGAGCATGTTTAAGACTTAGAGTGGAAAAAGGGTATCTATGAATTAGTTACGTTTTCTCTGAAGCTTCCTATGAACTGAAAAGAACAGTGCCCTCCGACATACATGGGAAAGGAGGACGGGTTTCACTGCTTGCACATAAGACCAGCATACAGTTTTCCATGTTTAAAATTTGAATGCAGCAAAATCTAAAACTTAAGAATCATCTTACGAACATCCGTGGGAAATGTACTTTCAAAGCTTATTGATTTGCTTAAAACCCAGATATGACTCCCAATAGTTCTTGTCTTCTTTATTCTAAGTATTTAAGCATAAACTGCAGTATATTACTTTAAAGTATTTTCTGAGACCTATGAACTTCAGAGTCAAAACATTTCACTTGGTAGTATTTGTCAAGATATTAAATTTAGTTAGACTCCATGAAAAATTATAGAAGATAAGCCAACTCAGAAATGTATTTATTCTTCTGGTTTTAACCCATTTATGCTGGAGGTTGCAGATTTTTTTGTGAAAAATCAGGCCTTGGTGATGATCTTGAGCAGTAGGACACAAATAACTCCCACAAGCTTAGCGTTGCAGTAATGGGACCCTAGGCAGAAATGGGTTAAGATGAACATGGAGCTTAATTTGAATCAGGTGCATATATTTTGACATTTTTTTTGGTAACGTATCATATTCCCACACAATTAAAAAATGTCATTGGTATATGTAGAACCAGCAGAGAAATGCAAAACATTGAACGATAATGTTAGTGTAGACTATATGTGATAATTTATGAATAATATTTAATGGGCATAGATGAATGGTGTAAAACATTCTGTAACATATTTGTCTTCATTACAGTATAGCTAGGGCCAATTCTTTAAATATAACTTTAGCAGCAGGATTTCTGAATTTTAAATTATGGCTTCAGTTGAATGAATTACTCTTAAAATAAATGGTTTTTGAAGGTACTTGGCAGATTTAACCTTTCAAAATAGCCTGAGGCATTATGTTTGGGACCAAAACCACCAGCATTCTCCAAATGAGAAAGAATTAATTTCCAGGATTAAAATAGGATTTTGAAAACAGAAGCTTCATACTGAAGAGACAGACACATGATGAGTTGAGGTCATTGACAGCAACAGCAGAGAGATTCAGGGATTCAGGATTTTGTTTCAAATCCTGCAGCCTCATTCTGTTGTCACTTAATACATACTGCCCTCCTACCTCTTGTGGAATCTCCTTAGCATCATAGCCCAGACTTGAGACCTCAAATTAGGAAATAGATGGCTGACGACTCCAGACTCACTGATGAGGTTTAGAACTCGTTCTGTCATACCAAGCACTTAATTCCGGTGCTTAGAAACATTCGGTATTTGTTGAATGAGTGAGTGCCTTATTTTGGTTAGAGAAAAAGGTTAGTTTTCATGTTGTACGAGTACTGCTATTGGAACCAAGAGTTGTGAATACACAAAAATATATTTCTGAGGGCCAGGCTATTGTTACGGTTTAGCATTACACTGACCTTTCTTGCCCTGGCACATATATACACACACACACACACACACACACACACACACACACACACACACACACACATATATGTGATCTAAGTAGCTGACTTCATTAAAATATTGTTAAATTTAACTCTATTAAAAATAAATGTTTGGCCAGGTGCGGTGGCTCACGCCTGTCATCCCAGCACTTTGGGAGGCCAAGGCGGGTGGATCATCTGAGGTCAGGAGTTCAAGACCAGCCCAGCCAACATGGTGAAACCCTGTGTCTACTAAAAATACAAGAATTAGCAGGCATGGTGGTGGGCACCTGTAATCTCAGCTACTTGGGAGGCTGAGGCAGGAGAATCGCTTGAACCCAGGAGGCAGAGGCTGCAATGAGCTGAGATCCATGCCACTGCACTCTAGCCTGGGTGACAGAGTGAGACTCTGTCTCAAATAAATAAGTAAATAAATCAGTGTTTTATAATCTCAGGAAATGAATCAAATATGACTTTAGCTTTGTAGAACCAACTTGGATTTCAGTTGTTACGATACCCAGCGGCTAACAGGATAAGACGGGCACCACTCCATTCAAAATAGGATTGTGATTCTCTGTGTAGAAATGTGTACATTTTCATTTTTCTGTGATAAAAATGGCTTCTAATATTTTATATTTTAGTGTCATGTTAGAGATTTCATTCCATGCTCATTTGTTCATTCACATGTATTTTTATTTTTAGCTCTAAGCGAAAGACATGAGGCCTCAGCCTGAAATGAGGTTGTTTTGAGGTCATCTGATTTCTGACTAGAAGGTGAGCGATCGCCTCGTCCTGAAACCACTTCAGCCCGCATGGTAAATGGCAAAGCCAGCGAGAGGGAGGCCTTCATGTGTTTCCGTGTCTGTGCTGCCCCAGTTCCTTCCTCTTCAAGATTAAAAACATTTTAAAGTTGTAAACCAAAGGTATTAAACAACATACTGACATATCGTACCTAAATTAGCTCAAATGTTTTACAAAAGGGCTTACATCATAAATGCTAATTAAACCTTTTAGAGCTGTTTTAACATGGCTTTTTAAAGTGAGCTCTTGTGAGCTACCTAATCAGCAACAAAATATTTATTATATGAAAAAACCTGAGCCATTAGGAGTTGGAGATTGAAATTTTTTTTAAACAATAGGGTTTTGCTCTTAAACAAAAGGGAATCCAGACTTACAGGTTTTTAGACTAGAAAGTAAGGATTCTTGCCACAACTTTTTTTTCTATGTTAAAGAATTGTAATGTTTTATGTATGTGTGTGTTTGTTTATTTTACTTTTTAAAATATGATGTGCCTTTGGAGAATGTTAGTTGTATCAGTTAGCTTTAAGCTATTACATGTTCAAATATATTTTTTGGTTGAAGATAATACAGTGGCTTCTTTTTACATTTTAGTAAAACTTTTTTGGGTGGAGGGGAGTGTTATTTAATTATTAAATGTATTCTGATGGACCATGTCCTTTTAAATATGTTGAGGTAGTGGAGCTTATAAGGCAGTTACTATGTTTAACTCTCCTAAAAATAGAATTCCAATAAGGTTTTTGCTTGGAGTTCAGATTCACACTAAGCTATTATTTCAAATAAGTGGTTGTTTACGCCACTTCATTTCTTTCACTACATGTAACAGCATTAATAACAAATATAGTATCACAGATTTACTTATGTTTAGCCTAAATTGTGCAGTCATTTAATTGATGAGATGGTGAGAAAATTAAATTTCATCTCATTCTGGAGGGTGCTACAGAAGGCAAATTGTAAGGAACTGAAAACATCATCATTTTTTAAAAGTCATCTTTATTTTCATGTTTCTCTTCTGGAGACTCAGTTGTCATGTAATTCTGTGTTACTTAATTTCCCTACAAACAGTATTTTCTTACTGCTTAATCTCAGATGTTGAGAGTGATTTAACATTTATAAAATGTGTTCTTTTTCTTCATGTATGTGGCTTTCTGTAATGATAGGGAGAATTATTCACATACACTAAGAAAAAATTACTCACAAGCTGGCCATGGAAATCTGGGCCCCATTAGGTTGACTGGGAGAGCAGTGATTTTATGTGTGTGGGCTCTTAATAATTTCTGCTTCCCCAGGCCAGCTTCGCCTTGTTCTTAAAGAAAAACCAGTGTGCACTCAGTGGTTCTTTGTTTGACCATATCTCCTGATGTGTTGTTTTATGCTTTTGGAAATATGAACTCTGAACTCTTGATTTTCTGTGGAATAATTAAATAAGCTGGTCTAAGTAGCATGGTCTTTAAGCCTATAGTAAATGTTTTATTCATACAGCTCACTTTTGTATATTAATATTTTTAATGAGAAATAATACTGATGTTTTTACTTTTGGAAATTTTGATTTCTTTTGCCAAAAAATTGTTTTTTTTTCTTTTTCAAAAAAGGCCTACCTCTTTGTGGTTAGAACAACTTTGAAGAGCATCTTTCTTAGTTCATGTGCTAAAAGTTAATGTAATAGAAGCACAAAGACTGTAACCGCTATTACTCGACTAAAAAAATAGTTTCTAAAAGTATGAGATGCATAAGAACAAAATCTATAATTTTAGTTATGCATCTGAATGTCTGTCACCATGATGACAACTTTTAAAAGAAAATAAAGACAGAACTAATGCCACTTTAAAGGCTCAAATTATGAATGTGGAGATATTTTGACCCAGTAAATACTCTATAATTAAGTAGGTGGTGTGGATGAGTATTGTGTAATATTTATTTTGCTTTATGAAAACTGCCTTGTTTTTAAATAAAACTTTAATGTTAGACTTAAGAGCTTATAATGGTAAGACGATAAAAAGTATTAACTTAAAATGTTTTGAAAATTATAAAAGTAATTATTGACCATTTCTAAGAAAGTCTTTCCTTTGACATTGTTTAATTTGTTTCCTTTTTGTTTTTTAGGTTTGCAATTTTTTTTGGTGATGGCATGTTCAGAATCTTGGATCCCTAAGTTCAATATATTGGACATATTTAGGAACTCTGGAAATTATGTTGTTTTCACATATCTAGTAACTTACTAGATGAATCAGTAGATTTCATTAAAGTATATCTAATAACAGATAATTATGATGTACTTCTGGGTTGACATGCATGTCTCTCATTATCAGCTATCAGTATTAGTGTCATGCTTTGGAGACAGTTATCTTTTGAAGGTTTTGGGGTTCTTATGAACCTCATTTTTCCCAGGAAGTTTCTGTAATTCCTCCTATGCCTATTCTTGTCTTTTCTGTCTGCTTGCAGTGTAAGTTATTTAGATCAGAGGCAATTATTTTTCAGGAAGAAAGAAATCATCAAGTGACACTCCTAAAGGCAGTAAAGACAAAATTTCAGTCTGGAACCGGTCTCAGAATGGCCTGTATTAGAATATGCAAAGTCCACCCAAATTATATCCAAATATACTTGTGGCACAGTGCTACCAGTTTTTAAAATGAGACGTTACTATGTAGGGCAGAAGTGCCAATGAGGAGAGAGAAGGAGCTGTTCAGTTTGCCCTCCAGCCGCCACCTCCTTCTATTATTGGCTGAATGAATTAGTGCAAAATTAGTAGCCAAAAGGGTAGACAGTGTGAATGGAAGGGAGGAGAAGGACAGAAACTTTAATCTCCAGGAAAGCTTATTTATCCTTTAAAAAATGGAAAGTTGGGCAGGCGCAGTGGCTCACGCCTGTAATGCCAGCACTTTGGGAGGCCGAGGCGGGCAGATCACGAGGTCAGGAGATCGAGACCATCCTGGCTAACACAGTGAAACCCTGTCTCTACTAAAAAAAAAAAAAAAAAAAAAAAAAAATAGAAAAAGCCAGGCGTGGTGGCAGGCGCCTGTAGTCCCAGCTACTCGGGAGGCTGTGGCAGGAGAATGGTGTGAACCTGGGAGGCGGAGCTTGCAGTGAGCCGAGATCGCACCACTGCACTCCAGCCTGGGCAACAGAGCAAGACTCCGCCTCAAAAAAAAAAAAGGAAAGTTGAGTGTATTCCATGTACCTGAACATGCTATTTAAAACTGTGGGCTACTTTCAGAATGTAGACTAATGTGTTCTCGACCATTGGAATGAATGAGAATTTGTATTTGATAGGAAAGTCAGAAAGTCCTCGAGCGGCTATCTTTTTTTCTTACCTGTTCCTGGGATTAAGAAACTTGAGAAGCATTCTGGGGCAGATACATATGATGGTCAAGTAATTGACCAAAACAGGGAAAGACTGACTTTTAAGACGACATTCAGAGCAACTTGGAAATGGATCAAGGGGAAAGAATGAAGAGAATGCACGGAACTATAGAGACTGAGTAGAAGCTCAGTGGAATGTTCGTGTATTCGTTTATTGAAAGTTTGATGGTTGGTGGATTATCCAGTATTTCCGAAACTAGTGTATAGCAGAAGTTTTCATAACATTTCTATTAGATGGCTTTTGGAAGCTGAATAGTCTACCCCAATACCCCTGGCTCCTTTTTGCTTTGCTTGTTTTAAGAGAAATTGGCTGGTAATGTATTTAATATAAAGCACAGTGAAAACATAAAGTAGGTTTTTTAAGGCCAGGCGCAGTGGCTCACGCCTGTAATCCCAGCACTTTGGTAGGCCAAGGTGGGCTGAGCACTTGAGGTCAGGAGTTCAAGACCAGCCTGGCCAACATGGTAAAACCCCATCTCTACTAAAAATACAAAAATGAGCCGGATGTGGTGGCGGGCACCTGTAATCCCAGCTACTCAGGAGGCTAAGGCAGGAGAATTGCTTGAACCCGGGAGGTGGAGGCTGCAGTAAGCCGAGATTGTGTCACTGCACTCCAGCCTGGGCGACAGAGTAAGACTCCATGTCAAAGACAAACAAACAAAAACAAAAAAACAACATTAAGTAGGTTTTTAAAAGTCACGTTAAATTTTAATCTGAACCTCTATTGGCTGTTTAGTCATTTTCTTATTATGACAGGCTTTTAGAAACTTTTATTCTGTGATGCTTTCGTCAGTAGAGGTGTTTCCTCTTAGCCAGTTCTAGCCACAATATTGACTGGGCCCAGGCATTTGCTACACTCAGAAGGAATTAACCAGGCAGGAGAAAACTTGGTCCCTACTGGAATGAATAGTTTAAAGGCCATCTTAGATGCTGAAAACTCTGAGCACAAATGAAAGCGACCCAAGAAGGAAAAACTTCAGAGCCTAAGAATAAAAAATGGTGGTAGGGTTGGGGGATAAACTCGCCCAGAGCTGACTTAAAGTGCTGTCAGGGAAGGAAGTGCCTTTCCTGGGGAGGATGAGATGGTCCATGCCGGGTCTGGAGCTGTGGGCGTTCTGATGTTGGATAGCCCACCCTAGCAGGCTGCAGTGTCTTAAGGGTAGTGGCATGAGATCTTTGGAAGTATCGATACATTTCCTAACAGTGAGTTTGAGTTTGTTCTGGTATGTTCTGAATGGATATGTGGCTCAAAGATTAACTTAGCTAAAAATAAGTATATTAGATATTAGGGAAATATTGTTAATAAAGGTCTTCTGTCCCTGTTGGATAACTTTAGAAAATAATGTAGACAACTGAACGTAGTGGAGATGATGGCATGAATACAGTCAGGGTTTGATGCTTGCTTCCTAGAAACTTCCTAGAAATAGAACACATCTAGACATAGGGAAATAAGGTTCCAAAGAAAACCTTACACTTTTATTCAGATTTTATGTTGGCCTCAGTTGTACTAGAAAAGCGTTTCAGTATGTGTCTCTTGGGGAATCTGCACCTTCTTGGTCACTGCACTTCATAGCCCGGCATATCACTGAGAATTCAGAAATCTGACTCTTTACCCAGGGACGAATACATCGTTATGAGTTCAGGTGCACTAAATACATAGGAACACCCAGAGAAAATGAGCCCGAAACAATGGTTCTTTTTATTTTGGAAGTTTCAGACAAACTCTTTGGAAAATTGAAGAAATCTATGGATCCTTTTCCTGGGAAGACTGTACAGACATACGTATTCGTGTGGTTTCTGTGGGTGTAGGGACTGGCCCTGGTCATGTGTCAGGAAGCCCCAATCCAGAAGATCGTCTTCATTTTACCTTGGCTGGTGATCTGACTCTGTTCTCGCGCCCATCTGTGGTTGATTCTCTGTCGCCTTGGAATGGAGCATCAGATCTTGAAGGTCGCTCATTGCTTTTCCACGCATAGAACTGAGCCACATGGCAAGAGCTTCCTAATGAAATGGACGGAAACTCTCTGCAAAGGGCTGCCCCAGAAGCACGGGTGATAGAAATAGAGTCCAAGGCACTAAGGCCGCTGAGCCACAGTCCTCCTAGGCAATGCCTCCTGCTGGCTTAGTGGGTTTATTTCATAAGTTGAGTACTAATGTCCTGTTTTTTAAATGAACATATTTCTTCTAACATTTCTAACAATTATGAAGATTTTCTCCCTAAGTGTGACTTTTTCTTATGTCTTGGGGTATCAGATTTACAGCGTAACATGTGTACTTCAAATTGTAGTAGTGACTGGAAATTTAGGATTCTGTTGTTTCATAACACTTAAATCTGCAGCAGATTTTCAGGAAAATGGTCAAGATTCACAGATAATTCCTTCCTTATTCCTTACAGATTTTACAATTGTATGGTTATTTCTGAATTTGGTTAATTTGTTTATAAGTGTAGTGGACATTTAACAGAACAGATGCACCCGATTATCTGATTAGAAATGTGTTTCAACACACGGGTCCCTTTGCGTGTTTCCAATCTCTGTTTTCGGATCTGGGATTCTCCACCTGTTACATCGTTCACTGGAACTTTCCTACAAAATACAGCCTCGCTGAGAGGCGCATCGTGGAAAAATGAAGCAGCCTGAAGAAACTCTAATATTGGGACCGAGTGGAGAGATGGAAGAGCATCATCAGAGTGGTGCCGCCGCACATGCGGGAGGCGTCCCAGGCAGCATTGCTCTTTGTACATGAGACAGGATACCACTGTCTTTTATGCATTAGACTGGTAACCAGATAAAATAACCTTGTAAAACAGATCTTTTATGTAAGAAAAATACAACTCTCACCTCGCAAACATTCCTGTCTGTTGCGGATGAACCTAGCAGCAGGAGAGGAGCCAGGGTCAGTCCACTTGGCCTGAAAGTTAACGTCATATATTCAGATGTCAAGGGGTTTCTGTGCATGCTTTTGAAGTATTGTGTTTGGGCTTTTACAACATGTGCCTCACTGTTTCGCATCTACAGAGAGAGTGCCGCTGAGAGAGGAGCCTGAGTGGATCCGTGCCCAGATCTGCATTCTCTGTCCTCACCACTTCTCCCTGCTGGTTGATATAAATGTGGGGATAACGTCGAGCACAAAGGAGTCAAAAATTGATCAGGGCTGGGTGTGGTGGCTCACGCCTAAAATCCTAGCACTCTGGGAGGCCGAGGCAGGAGGACTGCCCAAGGCCAGGAGTTAACATAGCAGGACCCTGTCTCTACAAAAAATAAAAAAAATCAGCTGGGCATGGTGGTGTGCACTTGTAGTCTCAGCTGTTTGAGAGGCTGAGGCAGGAGGATCTCTTGAGCCCAGGAGTTTGAGCATGCAGTGAGCTGTGATCGTGCCACTGCACTTCATCCCAGGCGATGGAGTGAGACCCCATCTCTTATTTAAAAAAAAAAAAAAAAATTGGAATCCTGTTTATCCGTGTTGCTTTTCTTTGCCAAGTAATCATAGTACAGTTCCTTTCTAGCCCTTTGAAATGTTGCTCATTTTTAGCCCTTTTGTCATAAGTCAAGATAGAAGCATCACAGTTTGTTCCATCTTCTTTCCTCTCATTGTCATGTTTTGCTCTGGGGATGGGAGGTTTTCAGTTGCCTTAAAGAGTTCACTTGCTGCCCTTGATTTCTGTCTCCCTTCCTGTAGCTTCTTGTGGGGAAGTAGAATAGATGTGGGCTGAAGGATCTGGGTTGTCTAAGGTTTGCCTGTAAACATTTTGTAACGTTGTATCTTTTTTATTCTTTTTTTTTTTTTTTTTTTTTTTTTTTGAGATGAAGTCTCACTCTCTTGCCCAGGCTGGAGTACAAGTGGCATGATCTCAGCTCACTGCAACCTCCACCTCCTGGGTTCAAGTGATTCTCCTGCCTCAGCCTCCTGAGTAGCTGGGACCACAGGTGCCCACCACCATGCCCAGCTAATTTTTTGTATTTTTAGTAGAGACAGGGTTTCACCATATTGGCCAGGCTGATCTTGAACTCCTGACCTCAAGTGATCTGCCCACCTCAGCCTCCCAAAGTGCTGGGATTACAGGCATGAGCCACCGCGCCCGGCCAGCATTGTATCTTAAAGGTAGCCTTTCAGTTGTTTGGATGACAGTTGTCTCCACTGGACATCTGCTTCATGCCAGGCCCTCTCCTGGGTGTTGGTGTGTCCACTCTTCCCTCCAACCACCATATTCCCTTGAGGCCAGGAATGGACCTAAGGGTGCCTCAGGCATGGGAAGACCCGATACCGGCCTCTCTGGAGCTCGCTGGCTTCTGGAGTTCTGAGTTAAGGAGGTAGTTGAAGAGACCCATGTATGACCCCCAGATGCCAGTAAAACTAATCATGTGCAGGGAAGGTGGTCACGTCAATAAGATTTTGAAAGCAAGATTCATCAAAAAATAGGCCAGATTTGCAGTCCCACATGAACCTGCATTGAACCCTCATTGACTATCCAGGTATGTATTACTTTAAAAAAATAAAAACTAACATAACCTTAAAACATATTAGCAAATTTCCCTGACACACTGAAAGTAGGATATTATTCTAAAATTTTTCCTTTATGTATGTAGCTTTTTAGAAACCCTACAAATGTGTTTTGTGTAAAAGGATGTAGTCTGCAATCATTTTCTGACTCTTGGTGTAATAAAAATTAAGTGGCCTAATTATTTAAAAGCTTGTCGTTTGAAATTATTTTTTGAGAAACAGTTTAAAGCATGATACTATTTTTGCTTTTCATGTAATGTATAAGTATTCGCAGAAGCTGCTTGTATATGTTTGTGTTCCATGTATGAAAATGTTGTAAACAGGGTCCATGTATTTCCCCAGTGAGAGTTGCTGATCTTTTGGCTGTAATTAGCAAGTGCTTGAGGTTGGGGTGGCTGGAAATGAATATCAAGCTTTTCGGTGCCTGGAGCCAACTTTGTCCAAATAAAAGAGCTTTGTACTGTGAAGGAATTTTACTAAGTAAATTTTGTTTAAAAAATCCACGTGAATTAAAGGAAAGGAAATGAAGAAGAAGATCGTATCAATACGATGATCTAAATCAGTGTTCTGCAACTTTTCTACCCAGTCATCAGTGGGAGTGAATCAGTAGGAATGTGGGGAAGGGAGTGAGGGGAGACCCCCTTCTTGACTCAGCAGTGGTGACGGTCGGTGTGTCCTGCAGACCTGAAGCCAAGATCAAGGGCGCTTGAGCACCAGGAGCCCCCGCAGTTGCTGAATGACCAGCGGAGGGCAGGTGCCAGCCTGTGGCAAAATAGGAAAGAAAAGGACAGGATGGGGACTTCACCATTTTTTTCAGCCTTAAATTGTTCCTTAAACCTTCATGTCCTTTTCTCTAATGTGTGTTCTTGTTTGGTAAAATAAAAAAGTTTGTAACCCTGAGTTCTCTAAAGATATACATTCTTTTTTACTGGTTTGTGAAGTCAGAAGGATGAGAGCTGCTATTTCTTGGAACCGTGCAATAAATATTAGCATATTCAGTCTCAGTTCTGCCTAGAGGACCTATTTGCTTTTCTTTATCTCGTAACCCATAACTCACAGGACATTAACCAGGGTGTCCAAGAACAGTCTGGGAAAGTTTTGATAATTACTTCAGCATTGCTGTGTGATGGGAGACATTGTTTTAAAAACCGAATGTGGTAGAGGTTAAAAGGACAGCCGTCACCATCCTGTTTCAACCAACGCTTGACTGAGAACTCTTTCTGGAAATCTCTCGAACAGACTTCCAAAAGTTATATGTGAAAAAGCACTGAAACCTCACATAACGCAAAGATCCACTGCAATACAGGCATATAGGAAATCATTTACACTACCTTGCTGATCACTTTTCACACTTGATCTTAGCCAAAAGGCCAAGAAGCGATGTGGATAACTTTTCAACCTGTAAAATAGCCACCAATCTGCAAAAAAACTAATTGAACACTAATAAATGACCAAAATTGATGCAATGGTTATAACTGGTATTATTTTTATTTCTGATCATCTACAATATCAAGTTTAAGACTGACTGTATATGTCACAGTTTTGTGTGATTAACTACTTTAATTAATTGTCTTTAAAGAACTGCACAAAAGCGCCCTGAAGGAAGAGAAACCAAGGATGAATCCATGAGGGATTCGGGCTGTGTGGCGATTGCCTTCATTTTCCCAGTGGAAGGACATTTTCCAGAGAAATTTATGCTGAATACCCATTTTTATATCTCGCCCGATTGAGTGCCAATCACTGTGCCAAGGGCTGTATATATACTGTGTCAAGGAGAAAATTTCCAAGAAAGATACTGAGATTTCTTCCTTGGCCTATTTAAAATTGGGGTTGATACTCTTCCTCAATGGATGCCGGCAGGCAGGAAGTTCAGAGGAAGTCAGTGATCTCCAGTCAGATTCACAGTTCTCCAAAGTGTGTCCTTTTATTTCCCAGGATCTTGCAAAACTCGTGCTGAATTGCTCATTAGGGAAAGCTTGCCATACGCTACATTAAGTGTTTCCCTTAGAGACGTTTTCTTAGGAGGCCCGACATTGAATTATTAAACCCTGGGCTATGATTAGTGAGGCAGACACCTGCTTTCTGTATTCTGTGGGACTTGAAAGCAAGAATGAAATTACTGAATAAAATGAAATTGGTACGAGGGATATTTTGGACTTCATTTGCAGTATTACTCCGCATCTCCTCCCAAGGGTACGACAGCTGTCAGCAATGGCTTTTAAATTCCACAACAGTGGAAGGCATTACTTTGCCATTAAAATTTTGAATTGAATTTATTTTGAACATTCCCAATTTTGCAGCAGAGAAAAGATGCTAAATCAATACTTATTGAAATGATTTTGCCTAAAATATGACATGATCAAAAATTGTGTCGATTTGCAGTTTTGTATTTTGAAGAGAAAGCACAAGTTTTTGACTGGGTACCTTGACACAGAAGCAGGGAGTTTATCTCAGTCTCCCTCCAAAGCAAGCTCCATTTTTAGTCAAATAGTATCTCAGAAGTTCTCCCTTAGGAATTAGGATTTTCTTTACTACTTGAATGGTTCTCAGTGACCCTTTACAGCCCCATTTTGACCTTAGAAACCCACATCACAGAATGGATTAGCATGCCATTTTAAAAGCCCCATTTGTGGAATCTAGAAAATATTGAGATCATTGTCAGGTAGTTTTTCCACTTTCAGAAATAAAGAATTACCTTTCCAAATGCGAGCAACTATGTGGCTCTGGGACAGCTCAGACTGTCTCCCTGAGTTCTTGTGGGGCCTGATTCAGCTGGTCTCTGGCTGGGTGGCTTGATTGAACTCCTGAATGTTTGAATCTCTTCATGATTTTAGGAAGTTTAAGGCAGGTGTTGGAGCATTGCTTTTCACACTACCAGCATAAGCAATTCCTGTGTCTTTTTTGTTCATCTCTCTAGGAAGTCACTGTAACAAATTGTAGTTTCTGTCTTCTCCCTGGATTTTATTTTTTAGATTTATCTGTGTAAATTGAGATTAAGTAGGATTAATTCAGTAGCTGCCATTTCTTCTAAAATTAAAAAAACTGCCATCAGCAACTGATCTAAAACTCCATCTTACACTAGTGTTATATATAATATATCAATCTTAAATTCTGGCAAAAAAATGAGAATTTGGTCTGAGTGGAGTAAAAGACTGCATAAAAGCCGTTTCTCTAATCTTTGTGTGCCTGGTCTTTGCCTCCAACCTTCCTGGCTGTCTTTCCTCATGAGGTTGATGACCACCTTATAGGTTTGAAACTCAGAGCAAGAATAAGAAGGCAGTGATGGAAGGGAAGTGTCCAAGGATGGGGTGAAAATCCTCCAAATGCAGCCAGTTCTGAGCTAGGGACAGGCAGTGTTGGTTTCTCTCTAGGTTTTCATGAATGCTGAGCACTGCACATTAACTCTTCCCATGTCAGCTCTGTCCCTCCTCATCTTCCTCTTGCCTGATGGAAACTTTGAATGCTGAAGTAGCCTTTCAGTGGCACGAAACTGTTTTAGCACACTTACACTGGTGCCTCGGTGGGCTTCCGGTTGTGAGTGGGCAGAATTTTCCATAGAGTTAGGTTCTGCTGAATTATTGAAAAGATCACATTTCTCAACAATTGGTGTTTGTCCCCTTCCATTCTTGCTTCCTGTCTGTCCCCACCTTTTTCAGAATGAGAGTACAGCAAAATTGTCTTCTCAGAGAGCTATTCGGTAGGGGAACTTGAGAAGCACAGTGCAGCTGGACATAATGTTTAAGTAAATTCTTTATTTTTGCACATTGATGATGCTTACTAGACTTCAGGCACTGTTCTGGGCTCTTGGGAAGCAAAAGACACAAAGCATGGAGTTGCCATTCTAGCAGCGGTAAACTAACGGCATAAATGAATTTGAATATGGGAGAGCTCATGGGAAAGAGCAGGCAAGTCCTCGGGATGCTGGGCTGGGATGGAGGGCAGGTCTCAGTATTCCAAGACGAACTTGCAGGGGAAAAGATGTGAAAAAGACGATGTTTATGTCAGTTGGGATTGACCCACAGGTTTGTCTTAAGGAAGAAAAGAACTGTTGAAATTTTTCAGCCAGTGACTGCTTTTCCAGCCACTCCTGGACCCATCCAGAAGCCCTCGCTGTTTCTAAATGTTGCTGGACACATCCTCCTCGTTTCTCCCGCTGTCATTCCTCTTTCTCAGATGGCATCCGTGACATTATTTATGGAGGTGGGCATGATTGTAACAAACTAGACTGCAAGATACAACACTAAAATTGTGGCGGGTCCGTAAGGGAAGGAGAGCGTTTCTAGATGGGGCCTTAAAGGGTGAGCCACATCCCTAAAGGGCTTAGGAGGACACTCCAGGCCGAGATAAACCCACAAACTAAACAGCATGAGGAATGGTGAGCAGGGTCAAATGCAAGGGTGCTTAGAATGCAGATCACGGAGGGCTGCAAACTTGATGCTAAGGAGTGAGAGTTGCACAGGAGAGGCCACTTCCATCTTCCAGGACTTCTCTCCTGTGAGAGTTTCCACCAAGGAGGGGGAAAATTCATTGGCTCTTGTGGATTCCCAGTTTTTAATCTCTGGCAGATGAGGAACAGAAGAGAAGGTGGTTAGTAAAAATTTCCTGTCTTCCATCTCTCCATCCTTGTTTTTCCAAAATTCAGACAACTTTTTATCATAAAAAATGACATAATTTGTAAATAATTTTAGAGAGTGCACAAAAATGAACAGAACAAAATTCACTAGGTCACTGCTGCTAATACTCCATTCATTGTCATTTCAGATTCCTTTGTTCTCAGCCGTGTACAGTGTACGTTATCCAATCACGGCATCTTTTTCAAGGCCGCTCTGCATGAATGTAACCAGCTCCCTCTTGCTGGAAGTCCAGCAGTTTACAATTCTTGTTATTCAGGTTCTTTCCAATTTTTGACTCTTATAAACTCAGTTTCAATGACTCTCGTGTATAATTTCTGCACTTACCCAAATATCTCTTGCTATAAATTATGGACACTTTCAAAAATTGGGATGTCTGTAGCTGAGGTGCACAGTACTAGAATTCTGTACTGCAAATACTACCCGTGAGCATTGTGTGTGTGCACGTGTGTATGCTTTTCAAAGCGTTTTAGCGACAGCCTCTTTCGTCCGATGTGCGTGGTACCACTGCAGGGTGGGTAAGGGAGATGGAGGTCTCTCCAGGAGATGGGTGAGGAAACTGTCTCCTAACCACTTCCTCCGGCACCACCTGCCCATAAAGTGCATGCCCCCGGCAGCACCTTCCCATAAATCACATTTGCGGCCACCTTTCAAAGCACTGACTCGGAGGCCAACGCCAACAAAAGCTTTTGTAGCATAAAATGATTGGGACAAATCATAGCCAAACTAAAAACAGAACTTCCTACCTTCCTCCCCAGAAACTGCTTTGATTCCTAGTTCAATTAGCCTAATTAGGCAGATCAAAGAGACAACACATTTTTCTGAGAAGATGAGAATCATACAGCAAAATTCTGTTGTGTTTCTCAGTGTAGGAAGTTGCTACAAGGGTTAAGTGTGAATGCTGTCTTAGTTGTAGGGGAAAGCACCTTCTGGAAGTGGTCTGATTGGACTTGCACACTTACAGTTGCTCAGTGGTGGCCTTCTATCCGTGCCATCCTCCCAGCCACTTCGTGGTCATAAGATCTCACGATAGTTTGTAGACTAAATCATTGCGTACTAAACACAATGAGTGGAACACAAAGTCTTAATTAAGGACTCCGTGTCCCATTAGGTGGAAGGCTTGGATTAGGTGGAAGTCATAAATTCTATTCTTTTTTAAAAATGAGGCCAAGTGGATTGGCTCACACTTGTAATCCCAGCACTTTGGGAGGTCGAAGTGGGTAGATTGCTTGAGCCCAAGAATTTCGAGACCAGCCTGGGCAACGTGGCAAGACCCCGTCTCTACAAAAAATACGGAAAATTAGCTGGGCATGATGGCTTATGCCTGTAGTCCCAGCTACTTGGGAGGCTGAAGTGGAAGGATCGCCTGAGTCTGGGGAGGTCGAGACTGCAGTGAGCTGAGATTGTGCTACTGCACTCCACCCTGGGCGACAGAGTTAGACCCTGCCTCAAAACAAAACAAAATGAAAAGAAAAAAAATGAGCCCTACTTAAACTGGCTGCACCCCCTCTCCCTCCCAGCACCCAACCCGCTAGGGTGCCCTACTCCCCCGTGCCTCAGGGCCCTTGCATTTGCTGCTCGCTTTGTCTGGGATGCTCCTCCCCATGTGCTTATGGCTCCATCTCTGCTAAATTGTCTCCTCCGCAGAGAGGGCTCTGCCCAGCCTGTCTAGAGTGGCACCTCTGCCATGGTCTCCCTTAACTTCCTCATCACCTCCATCATGACCTCACATTATAGTTTTGTCTCCTCCGCTAAATATATGCTCAGGGAGGGCAGGGGCTTTGTTCTGTTGGTGGCTGTTTTTTCAAGACCTAGAACAATGCGTGAGACACATTAGAAATTCAATACCTATATAATATTTGAGCGAGTGAATGAGTAAATCCTTCATTGCCCTTGCCTAGGGAGTTGCAAGGAAACTTGGAGATTTTAAAGAATGTGGATTTAGAAGTAAAGAAAGTAAAGGAGTTATGAAAAAAATCCAGCGACTGTAAGAGAGGAGCTGATCTCAGAGCTCGCTCTCCAGGCAGGGCTGCCCTGCCCAGCAGTGCCATTCCTGCCTCCAGCCCCTTCTCTCCCAGAATTTTCACTTGAAGCCAGAGCCTAAAATTCCCCCAGTTGGAGGTTGACTTGTGCTAATGATAAGCATCATCTTTTAAAAATGTTTTAGTAGATTCAGCCATTTAACAGGTATTTATTGGGCAGCAGCAATGGTGTGGCTATTGTGTTAGAGGCCAGGGTGACAAAAGTCAGCTGGACAGCCTTGCCAAGCTTCCAGATTTTCGATGTGACTTTGGTTGGACGATTGCCCTCCTGCTGTACCCAGCTAAGAGAAGAGATCTGAAGAAAGGAGATGTGGTTCAGTGGAGCGGGAGCTGTAATAGGGTGCCTGCCTCTTCCCAGGGAGGTGGCAGCTGCTGCTTTTTGGACAGAGGAGGGCGAAAATGGACAGCGTGCCTACCTGGTGGGGCGTTGAGGGTGCCCAGGGGCTAGGGAAGGGGGAAGAAGCTCATTATTCTCCTAGACTATACCCATAAAGAAAATTCTTATTAATACCCCTTTCTATGTTACACCTACATGAGCTCAATTCAGAACCTAATAATCATTTTTTTTTCCATGGGGGAATGTTCCAGAAGTTTCCAAGATGCAAAGTCTATTTAAAACCAACTTTTGAAACAGAACAGAATTTGTATTTCTCCCTCCTAGCCCCACTTAAGATTCAAAAGAAAGTAAAGCTTTTTATTCGTCCAAGAATGTGAATAGACTAATAGTTAAGGGAACAAGATTTCTAAGAGGTTCTTATCACTTGTGCAAGCAATAAATAAATTATTCAAAAATAAACTTTCCACATACTATAAAAGAGGTACCTTGAACCTTTCTGTAAGGGATATTTAATTGGAAACAGGAACATAATTCAAACATGCATGACCACATAGTCATCCTAGCCTATGGAGAAAGCTTTTCGGCATAGTTCTGATGAGACAAGAGTTCCTGTCCCAGTTGTGAAATTACCAAGATACAGTTCCAAATTGTGCTTTCTGACACCTCGTATTCCGTGAGTGAGAAGTACACACAGCATTAGTAGCGTCAGGAAAAACTCGAGACTGCTAAAAATAGGACCTCAAGTTCACCGAGTCCACTGGGTCCTCTTGCTCACGTACCAGCTCTTAGAAATAATGCTACCAGGATTGACAGGCCTCCAGCTCAGTCCTCAAACTTTGTGTGTGTGTGCGCGCGCGCCTGTGTGTCGTGCATGTGTGTGTGCATGCGTGTGTGTGTGTTGTGCGTGTGTGAGTGCGTGTGTGTGTGTGAGAGAGTCACCTGGGGATCTAGTTCAATTGCAGATTCCAATTCGGTATTTCTGGAGTGGGTCGTGGGATTCTGCCTTCCTAACAAGCCGGAAGTCGAAGCCAGTGCTGCTGGTCTGTAAACTGCAGAGCCTAGCAAGGCTCTAGCTTGCCAACAACTTTCACAACAGTGTATGCTGGGGGAGCCCCCCGGCAAAATTGCACCGGTTCCCAGAAATCACCAGTCTCACCAGTTGATATTACGTATTTGATGGGCATGTGATTATTTTTGACTTCCACGTGAATTCTCATCTTGCCTTAGATGTTACTAACACTATAGCAAATAGCTTTAAAAAAAAAACTGTAGAATTTACGATGTATTTAGTAATACTTTACATTTGTATAATTTTTTTTTTTTTTTTTTTTTTTTTGAGATGGAGTCTAGCTCTTGTCCCCCAGGCTGGAGTGCGGTGGCGTGATCTTGGCTCACTGCAGCCTCCGCCTCCTGGGTTCAAGCGATTCTCCTGCCTCAGCCTCCCAAGTAGCTGGGACCACAGGTGTGCACCACCACGCCCGGCTAATTTTGTATTTTTAGTAGAGATGGGGTTTCACCATGTTGACCAGGCTAGTCTTGAACTCCTGACCTCGGTTGATACGCCCACCCCGGCCTCCCAAAGTGCTGGGATTACAGGTGTGAGACACCGCACCCAGCCTGTATAATTTTTTTAACCAATATTTATTGCCTTTTTTTTTTAAAAAAAAAAAAGAAAATATTGCCCTGTGTGTTCAGCAGTGCTGGTATTATCTACTTTTACACATAAGAAAATGGGTTCAAAGTGGCATATTGCTCAAGTTTATGCTGGAACCCAAGTTTTCTAACTTCTCGTGGAATGTTTGCATTGTACCAACTCTGGCTGCAGTATTGCATCCTGAATGTAGAAGTGGTGAGTGGGAGGGTGTGACGAAAATGACATTTCTGGAAACCCAATGGGGAAAATACACAAATACTTTTATTATCACTTTGTGTCTCTTGAGGGCTTATGAGTGGGACCAAGTGGGCTAAGGAGACAAAGTCTATATGAGAGTTCTTAGCCTTGCCATGTCAGATGGCAAGTGTCCTGTTGCTGATGACAAACTTACTTGACTATCTCTGAGGAAATCAGATTTAACTTGACTCTAGGCAACCTTCCATCTTCTGGATGGAACTGAAACTTGAGAACTCAGTGGCATTGATTGATGGAGCACACCGTTCTCATCAGATGGTACAAAGGATGTGCAAATCATATGCAAGTGGGCGAAATCTCTCAGAATCTGCCATCCTGAAACCAAATGTCTTCATTCCAGCTAGATTTTCATTTGGTGTTTGGGTGACATTCAGTGAGGTCTTGAGTATGCATATTCTTCATATGGTATTTGTTGAAAAACAGCTAAAAACTGCAATACAAAGATAAGAAGACACCAACATGGAAGTCAGTTGTAGACTTTGTCGGCTGGAGCCCAAGGACCCAGCTGTTGGCAGGAGGCCTGCCTGTCCTGGGTTGATGGGATGTGGGGCAAAGTGAACCTCATGGGGGCCTTTGACTCTCATGGTTACTTTTTCCAGGAAAAGGCTGCTTGACTAACATCGGTCCATCTTCCTTTTCCAAGCATTTGCCACTGAGGAGTGCAATGGTAGCATGGAAAGCTTTGATCCGTCTGATACCTTATTCAGTTCAGATACACCAATGCCTTCGTTGTGCAGTATTCTAATGGTGTTTTGTTAAAAACATAATACATGTTCACTGCAAAAAATTAGAAATTAAAGGAAACTGTAAAATTATTTTTATTATTAAAGTTTTGTAACCTACTCTTCCGTGTAAAACTATTTGAATGTTTCACCAAATTTTGAGATAAGATTTAAAAGTATTTGTTGACAAGTTGGCATTCCATCAGATGGATGCATGCCAGCTTATCCAGGCATCTGTTACTGATGAACTTTTAGCCTGTTTCTTATTATGTAATAGGTTATGCTGCAAGGAAGTATCCTTGTACTGAATCTTTGTATACATCTCTGCTTATTTCCTTAGGGTAAATACTGAGAAGTGGAATCACCAATTCAAAAGATATTTTAAAAATATCTGTTGGATGAATTATTAACTTTTGTCACTGGTACATATATTTTCCCTCATTTATTCTTTAGCTTTGTTGATAGCATTTTTGACATTCAGAAAAGTTTACTTTTATCTGGTCAAATTTGTCAAGTTTTTATTTTATGCTTTCTTCTGCTCTTGTGGTTAAAAATGTCTTCCCAATCCAAAAATAAAATGACAATTAAAGTTAGTTTTAATCATAGACTTAATTGGAAAACAGTGGAATTACTAATTGGCAGCAAGTGTTTTGAGGAACATACAACCATGAATTAAATGTGGTCTAGTCTTAACCAGATATATGCATCAGAATCACCCGTTTGAGCTTTTAAATGTTACCAGTGCCTGGGTCATATCCCAGATCCACTGAATCAGAAAATGTTTTTGAAAAAGACCTTCCATAAGCCCACAAACTTACAAAGGAGGAGAGCCAAGTTGCACATGATATATACATATATATTTTGGCTTGAGTTACTCATTAGATTTATTGGCATGGCGGGTGCGTTTTGTCACAGTCAGTACATCTGTTCGCTAGGAGAATCAGGCTGTCATTCTAGCTTCCAGAAGAAAGGAGATTCAGAACAGTGTGTGCTGGGGGAGCCCCTGCAAAATTGCACTGGTGCCTAAAAGCACCAGTCTCACAAGTCAGTGTTACCTATTTGACTGGCATGTGATCATTTCTGACTTCCATGCTGATTCTCATGCTTGTCTTAGGTGTTACTAACACTACAGCAAGTAGCTTCTTAAAAAGAAAAAACTTAGAAGATACAATATATTTAAGAATACCTTACATTCATATAATTCTTAAAACCAAGATTCATTGCTGTTTGATATATAGCAGAATCTCATTTGAGATGGAGGGTTGACCTTGCAGATAATATTTGCAGTTTGGGGAAAGAAAGTCAACCAAAAATGTCCACTTACGTATTTGCACAAACTTGAACGCTACTCATGAGTTAATATTGAAAATACATCCCTGTTTCTCTAGCCTGGAGCTGCAGGCTTTCTCGTTAAAGATTTTATAAGGAAATTTGCCTTTGTATCAGCCTACTTTTTTTCTTTCCAACTTTTACTTTAAGTTCAGAGGTACATGTGCAGGATGTGCAGGTTTGTTACATAGGTAAGCATGTGCCGTGGTGGTTTGCTTCACAGAGCATCCCATCACCCAGGTATTAAGCTCAGCACCCACTAGCTGCTCTTCCTGATGCTCTCCCTCCTTCAGCCTATTTTTTAGTGGCATTCTGTGTTTTAAAGAAGCAGCAGTCAGTCTGCAGGAGAGGAGAGGGAAGGTGCAGGCAGGCCTGGGCTTTGGGTAAGTAACTTGGGAATCTTGGAGCCTCAGAAATGATGATGCTGATGATGACATTGACAATGCTGACGTTGATGCCACCCCAGAGGTCTGTGAGGATGATAGGTGTGGTCATCTGCCTAGTGTCTGGCTGCTAGTAACCACTCCATCGATGTCGGTCCCACCAGCCCCCAGTCTGTGCACTGCAGTGGATGATTTGAAGTGGGGTATTTGGGAGACAGAGGGTTCCCAGGAGAAGTCCCTTTCTGTTTCTGAGGTCCTCTGATCCATTTGAGAGGGAAATTACAAATGCCCCCAAATGAAAAGTAGATAATGGCCGGGTGTAGTGGCTCTGGCCTGTACTCCCAGCACTTTGGGAGGTTGAAGGGGGACGATCACTTGAGGCCAGGGGTTTCAGACCAGTCTGGTCAACATAGTGAAATCCCTTATCTACCAAAAATACAAAACATTAGCTGGGCATGGTGGTGCACACCTGTAATCGCTGGTACTCAGGAGGCTGCAGCAGGAGAATCGCTTGAACCCCGGAGACAGAGGTTGCAGTGAGCCGAGATACATACATATATATGTATATATCATGTGCAACTTGGCTCTGCTCCTTTGTAAGTTTGTGGGCTTATGGAAAGTCTTTTTAAAAAACGTTTTCTGATTCAGTGGATCTAGGATATGACCACGGCACTCCAGCCTGGGCGACACAGCAAGACTCTGTCAAAAAAAAAAAAAAGGCCGGGCGCGGTGGCTCACGCCTGTAATCCCAGCACTTTGGGAGGCCGAGGCGGGTGGATCATGAGGTCAGGAGATCGAGACCATCCGGGCTAACACGGTGAAACCCCCATCTCTACTAAAAATACAAAAAATTAGTCTGGCGTGGTGGCGGACACCTGTAGTCCCAGCTACTTGGGAGGCTGAGGCAGGAGAATGGCGTGAACCCGGGAGGCAGAACTTGCAGTGAGCCGAGATCACGCCACTGCACTCCAGCCTGTGCGACAGAGCAAGACTCCATCTCAAAAAAACAAACAAAAAAAATTACATAATGTAAAGACCCTGAAGTATAAAGGGTAAATTTTGAATTATAGAGAGTACATTTATTTCTTATAAGAAATGAAAAAAGGGAAAGATAGGCGTGACTTGAAGTAGTTATTACACTAGTTTTTATATCCTTTTCCAATATTTAAGTATAAAATACTTAAACTAAATTTGAAGGCATCTTAGAGAATTTCAAGAAGAAGAAAAGGACCATGTTGCCAACATCTGGCTATTATAACTAAGAGACTAAGGATGTGGCCGGGCACTAAGTGCTGCTGGCACAAGACGCCACCCACAGTGGAGTGCGGGGAGCAGGGAAGCACCAGAACTGCTCGCAGAAAAGTTTTTCTTGCATAGCCATCTTCGTGCTAAGGGCAGTGGGTGAGGCTTTGACTTGAGATAAAAGCTGGGCTAGAAAGCTGGGGAGGATCTGGGCGTGGTGGCTCACTCCTGAAATCTCAGCACTTTGGGAGGCCGAGGTGGGCGGATCACCCGAGGTCAGGAGTTCGACACTAGCCTGGTCAACATGGTGAAACCCTGTCTCTACTAAAAATACAAAATTAGCCGGGCATGGTGGCACACGCCTGTGTTCCCAGCTAATTGGGAGGCTGAGGCAGGAGAATCGTTTGAACCCGGGAGGTGGAGGTTGCAGTGAGCCGAGATCACACCATTGCACTCCAGCCTGATTGACAAGAGTGAAACTCCGTCTAAAAGAAAGAAAGAAAAGAAAAAGAAAGAAAGAGAAAGAAAGAGAAAAGAAAAAAGAAAAGAGAAAGAAAAGCAAGCAAGCTGGGGAGCAGGGTTGGCGACTGTGGGTAGTCAAGGGCTGCATGGTGGGCAGGAGGCCCTCAGCGGGGGTCCTGGGCCAGTTGCTCCAGGTCTCCTTGGCCCTCATGGCCTCCTGTAAGATGAGGCGGACTGACTGGTTGGATGGTTTGGTCTGTCAGGCCCCTTTCTGCTCCAGTCTTCCATGGCGAGAAACCTATTTATTGATTATTGCAGACCAGAAAAATTGAAAGAGGTTGAAAGGGATTCTGAGTTCTTTTCTGGCCAAGATTCCTCCAGAAGCCGGCAGAATGAGGTTCTTGATCATCATCCAGGGGGAAGAGTTTCTCTTTGGGCTTTACTCAGCCTTTCTTGCAGTCTCCCGGCTCTTGTTTGCAGGGCAGGACCATGGCCAGCTCCCTACGAACGTGAGATCAGCAGTTTCTCTTTCTAACCTTTATCACCCGGGATACCCCCTGTCCCCACTGCAGAGCTTTCACATCATGGCTTCCAGAGCATCAGATCTTTCCAGCCAGGGTCCTCACCTACCCCCCTAAACCTAGAGGGGAGTCTCAGGTCAAAGTGTTCCATTTGGGCTGCAAACTCCATATAATGGGTTGCAACCAGAATTCTAAAACTAAAATGAGTAAAATAAAAAGTACCATAGTGCTTCCAAGGTTGTAAGGATATGTATTATTTGCTAAAACATTTGCTCACTTCTACATTCATAAGTGCGTGTGTGTGTGTGCGTGCACAATGAGTTGCAGTGAAAAATACATTTCTTACTCTTGAGTTGTCAGAAGAATTTTAAAAGCAATGAGTTCACAGTCCCTTATCGCAAACCTGAAAGTTTTAAGTTTGGCATGAGGTCATTTGGCAGCAAAACACAACCTCATGTAATTTAAGATTATTTATACTCTTTGTTTATCTCACTTGCTATGAACATTTGTATGCTTAACTGCAGAATGGAGTTGTACCTTTGACCCCAGTGGGTGTGTTACACTTGATTACTTTTCTAAGGGCGAAAAAATTCTGAACCGCAGGGTTTTTGCATAAGAGATTGTGGTGGATCTGTATAAGAAATATAACGCTTTTCATTCATTCAGCAAATATTTATTGAATGCTTACGATGACCTTGGCATTGTGCTGGGTGTCAGATAAAGGAGGAAAAGTGAGTATGAGAGGAGGTGTTGGGGGACTTGAACAGTCCCATGGGCAGGATGGATTTGGGGCCACCAGAGCTGGGCTTCAGTTTCTTCAGTTTCACATGCAGGTAACTCACCCGGCCCCACGGCTGCAGGGCATCACTGCAAATGGCTTCCAAATGTCCTGCTCCACATTTCTAACTCCTCTGTAAGACTTAACACCGGCATCTCAGGGCAGCACATGTAAAACCAACTCCCACTGCCTCCTCCCCTATTCCTGCATCTTTAATGGTACCATTGGACCCCCTAGCCTGGACACAGCCTTCTCTTTGTCCTTGCTACTGGCATCCAGTCATCAGTCAATTCCTCTTGAGTTTTCTTTTCTTTTTCTTTTTTCTTTATCTTTTTATCTATCTATTTATTTATTTATTTATTTATTTATTTGAGTCAGGGTCTCATTCTGTTGCCCAGACTGGAGTGCAGGGTGCAATCTTGGCTCACTGCAGCCTCCACCTCCCAGGCTCAAGTGATCCTCCTACCTCAGCCTTCCAAGTAGCTGGGACTGTGGGCATGCACCACCACACCTGGCTAATTTATAAATAATTTGTTTTTTGTAGAGATGGGGTCTCACTGTGTTAGCCAGGCTTGTCTCAAACTTCTGGACTCAAGCGATCCTCCCACCTTGTCTCTCCCAAGTGCTGGGATTACAGGTATGAACCACCACTCCAGGCCTTTGTCTTGCTTTTTCTCTAGCAATAGCCCTTGCTTGGTTCCTTTCATGCCATTCCTGGTGCCACCTGCTGGTACAGACATGCATTCCTACCTCTCACCTAAGAGAGAGGATGGCCTAGAAGAGAACTTGGAGGAAGCAAAGGTTATAGAGACCTGGGCTCGAGTTGTGCCTCTTTTCCATTACAGCTGGGTTAACGTAGCACACAGGATCAGTTTTCTCATCTATCAAATGGGGTTGATTGCAAGTATTTCATGAATTATAGTTAGGAATAAAACTATATCCAGGACACATGAACACCAAAAACAATCTTAAAAGATAAGCCCCAGATGGTAGGCAGATATTTGCAGGACATAGAACCAACAAAAGATTGGTGTTCAGAATTTATAAAGAACCTCCTTCAACCCAATAAGGAAAAAAAGACCCAATTTATAAAAGTGGGCAAAAAATATGAACAGGCACTTTCTGAAGAGGAAATCAAAAGATCGGTGTATATAAAAAGATGTTCAACCTTATTAGCAATCCAGAAAAATGCAATTAAAACAATAACATACTGTTTCATATCTATCATATGGCATAAAATGCAGGCAAGTGTGTCAAGCACTAATAATGCATACTGCTGCTGAATATGTAAACTGGTTTACTCTCTTTGAGACACCTACCATCTGCTGGTGTCATTGCCAGGACTATCCTTTCCAACATTGCTTTTAGTGGCAAAAATGCTGGAAATTAAGAAAAAAAAAAACCATTAAAAAGCGACTGGAAGTGGGTGCAGTGGCTCACACCTGTAATCCCAACACTTTGGGAGGCTGAGAGGGGAGGATCACTTGAGTCCAGGAATCTGAGACCAGCCTGGACAACATAGTGAGACCTCATGTCTACAAAAAATAAACTAAAACTCAGCAGGGCCTGTTGGTGCACACCTCTAGTCTCAGCTACGTGAGAGGCCGAGGTGGGAGGATCGCTTGAGCCCAGGACTTTGAGACTGCAGTGAGCTATAATTTGCACCACTGCACTCCAGCCTGGGTGACTGAGCAAGACTCTGTGTGGGAAAATAAAAAGGAGACTGGATAAATTGCAAATATTCATTTAATAGAATACTATAATACTGTCCAACTGTTAAAGCCACATTTGTGTCATCATGGATAAATGTGAAAAAAAGTTGAGTGAACAAAACAACGTAGAATATCTACAGTACAAAACCATTTCCATAAAATTTTAAAACAAACTATTATATATGTTTATGTGTGTGCATATGAATAAGTATATATCTAGTAAGAATAGTAGAATATGCATGGGATTGATTAACAAAAAATTCAGTATAGCGGCTCCTCCAGGAAGGGGAAGATGACGGAGAAGACAGGTTTTACTGCACATTAAGTAATTTATTTCTTGAAAGTAGAACTATGCAAAACGCTAAATTTTGTCAAAGCTGAGTGGGTGTACATGTGCTCCTTGTAATATTATTACCTTTTATTTATATTTGTTGAAATATTTCATTTTTATTTTATTTGGAGACAGGATCTCACTCTGTCACCTAGGCAGAAGTACAGTAGAACAGTCATAGCTCACTGCAGCCTCGAGCTCCTAGATTTAAGAAATCCTCCTGCCTCAACCTCCCTTGTAGCTGGGACTATAAGCATGCATCAATACACCCTGCTATTTTTTTTAACAAGTTTTTTTGTAGAGGTGGGGTCTTGCTGTATTGTCCAGCCTGGTCTCAAACGCCTAGGCTCAAGCAATACTCCCATTTCGGCCTACTAAAACACTAGGATTACAGGCATGAGCCACTGGCCCAGCCTACTTCATTTTTAAAAAGCACTCAACCCCAGGCTGGCGTGAGTGTATGATAAATATTGCTTTCATCCCATGCAGTAGGTTTCTAAGGTTTTCTTTTAGCTGACTTGTCGAGTTGCAGTCCCTGCATCTGGCACTCTAGATCAGACAAGGTCTGAACACGCTGGTGGGCCACTTGTGGCCCTCCACTCCCTGGTTTCATTCTAGCTTTATGCTCCAGTGGACCTGATGTTCCAGCCGTAGGGTCCCAGGTCACGTCCTATGCTTTCCTGATCCCTTTGCTTTGGGTTGTGTGGCTTTGTTGGCTGGAATCTCCTGTCCCTTACTCTGACTATATGACACCCCTTTCAAAGCCTACAAAATGTCACCCCATCAATCCATCCATCATGCATTTATTGGGCATCTTCTATGTGCAAGGCACATACAGCCTACCCTGATTTGCCCTGCCACAAATAATCACACCTTTCACAAAATCACATATTGCCTTATACCTCTAACATGGAATTGATCACATTAAAGTTCACTTAATCTTGCTAGGCTAGGCACTGTAGGGCAGATACCATTCTATTCTATTTTAATGCCTTGCACTTACAGGAGCTCATTAAATATTGGCTGAAGAAATAAATGAGTCTCAGATTGTATGTCTAGAACGTTGAAATCAGTGTTAAGATTACAGTTTAATCCTCATCACTTGAATCTAAATATTTAGTGTCTTTAGCTGATTGATTTTAATAGGAGTACCATGCACTCCCTCTTGTCTTTGTCACCTAAGGAAGGAAGGAAAGGTGTTAGGTCCTACTCTGGCCATTCAGCCCTTTCATTTACTGAGAGCCTAGATTCCAGCGTGTACTTCAGGTATGATTTTGCCTCTCTAGGGACATTGCGCTTGGTTGGAGAGGGAAGACAGGGCCACAAAAAATGAGTAACGTGACAAAGCAATGTGAGATGTGGACCAAATAAATAATGCTGGCATCGTGATCTGAAATTGTCCGTAATGAAACAGTTTGCTTTATGCTTGACTGTGTAAGACCATAAGGGGATCTGGGTCAGAATTATCATTTTATGTCAGATTGGGTTTCTGTGAAATCCTTTTTTTTGGGAAGGGCTCAAGTAGATATTTAACAATATCTCTTTTACATCTAAGGTGATACAGAGGTGTGGATTTGCAGTGGTCTTCTGATATCACAGTGTTACAAGGTGTCAGCCTGAAATATCTTTCTGACCTGACACTGAATAGAATTTTCTTAGCATTTTTTCAAACAGCCATCTGAATTCTTGAAGCTACTTATCTTGTTTGCATCCCTTTCTTCCTACTACATTCCTGGAAAACAATTTTCAATCTGACAGTGGCAATACTTTATGTTTTCAACAAATCAGGTGCAAGTTGTTTGTTTTAATGGCTTTTCCTTATCCAGGTAGGCTCTTCGGAAACTTTGGGTGGATGAGGTCTTTATGCAGACTTCACCCTTTAAAGGACAGAAATCTCTGCTCTCTGCCTCCTCCTTCTCCTCGAGCATTTCTAGTGACGGAAACTCACTACTTATCAGTGGAGATGACCTTTGCGTGTGAGATCAGATGTTCACAAACTGAAGAATGGGTTGGGCTCTCCCCAGGAAGTTGCTGGATATGTGACTCTAGGATTAGCTAATTCAGTAGCTCAGAGATGACATTGGAAGTCCAGGTTCCCTCCATCTTTTTGCTCTGCCGTCTTCAGAATGTTAGGCTGGTTCCCTTGGTGGTTGCAAGATGCTTTCATTGTTCCTGGTCATCATTTTGAGACCTGACCATGTCCAGAGGAAGGAGAGGAGGTCTCTTCCTATATCTCTCTTTAAGAAAGAAGAAACCTTGTCCATAAGCCTGCCAGCCTTCTCCATGTCTCCTTGGCCAAACTTCATCACGTTGCTGTGCGGAAAGTTAATCCCTGGCCAGAGGAATGGGACTGCTGAGATTGACATGAGCAAATTGGAATTCATCCTGAGCCTGAGGTCAGTGCCCTTCCCCGAGGGGTGGAAAGGAATCAGGATCAGGGTCCTGTTAGCAAGGAAGAAAGGGAGAAGAGCATGTGGACGGTTCACCAATAGTGGAGGCCAAGTGGGATCTTTGCTGGGACAGTGGTTGAATGCCTCCTCCAAGGGTAGACTTAGCGATATTTCAACACCAAAGCCTCACACTGTGGTGTTACAGGATTGGAGAGGAGGAAAAGAGGTGAGCTATAGAGGAAGACTTGTAGAGTGTACAAGAGTTTAGAGCCAGAAACAGAGTAGAGTGAGGGCAGGACTGGGGAGAGAGTTCAGAGGGGAGTTCGGGGTTAATTGATTCTACTTGCCCACACGTCAGCCCTGGAAGTAAAGGCAGAGTTTCATGGGGCCCATCTCAGCTTCCGAGAGACCATGGAGCCACTGCCTGGAGATCGCTAAGAAGGTGGGACTGATCCCTGCGGGACAGGACTGGCCGGGTGACCTCCGACGCCTCTGTTCTGTTTCGAATATTTCTAGTGTTAAATCTTTTCAGAGGATGCTGGCAGCAGCCGTGCCACTGCCTCTATTAGCAGCAGAACAAGCTACTGTGCTTACTTTTCATTTGAAGTCTCCCTTTTCACTGGAGAGGCAGCAGGATCTAGAAAAGAGATAGGATCAGAGTGGGACACTGGAGACTTGGATTATATTCCTCCCGCTGCTGGGGGTTTACTTTGTAGCTGAGGTAAGTCACTTAACCTCACCGCATCTTTCTAGTGTGTGCAACTTGACTTATTGTCATTGAAAGCTTTTTATTCTATCTGACATTTTACACTTGTCAGTCTAGGGTTGCCTTCATGTGGGCTGGGCAGGGTGTAGTGTGTTCCTCCCGTTAGGAATGACTTTCTATGGCTGTGATGATAAAATGACAAGGTGTGAGGCTGATGAGCGTCTCCGTGTTGAAAGCCCACCTCTGCTGAAGGCTGCCATTTATGGATAACAGCGAATAGCACCCACTGTGTGCCAGGCACATCCTCGGCCCGGGCTTTGGGCTGGGTCTCATGAGTCCTTTAATATCCAGAATGTCCTGCAGGTCAGGCCAAGTACAAGCTCTATGTTTGCCTGTAATGTGATTTTCTTTCTCAGATAACTAATTTACATTTAAGCAACTGTTCCTAAGCCAGTGAGTTGATGCATTAGCAAGAATCTGGATCAGAATTATGAATTATGCTTGTTTTTTTTTAAAAAAAAAATATATATATATATATATATATTTTCTTTTTAAAAAAACACAATTGAGTTCTGGTCCTATTCTTCCATGAGGGAAAGTGGGCAGCTGGCGGGACCGTGAGAGTGTCCTCCGGGGCACTCGGGCCCCCTGCCAAGGAGGAGACTTTGATTAAGAAGCTTAGAGCTTAAGTGAGTGATTCTCAAATTCTAGTGAGCACAGCAGTCATCTGGGAAGTTGTTGGAAATGCAGATTCCTGGGTCCCACCTGCAGACATTCTGACCCAGTAGATTTTCAGCATTCTCAGACTCCCTGAGTGACGCAAGGTAGGGCATCTGCAGGCCCTTGCTCCGGCGGCAGTGGCTTCGAGCTGGGGTATGAGGAGGAAGGGGAGAGACTGGTGGAACCAGACCATTGCTGTCCCAGGGCCATGCTGACGGTCTGAAATTGGACTCTTCAGAGGAGAGGCCTGTGGGAGGCCTGCCCGATGCTGACCAAGGCAGGGCAGAAGGGAAGCCTCATGGGAGACCATCCTATGGCGGGCATTCTTTCCTGGGCACCCCAGTGAATAATCTCCCGCTCTGGCCCCCTCCTCGTCCAGCAGTGCCCACTCCCCATTCTCCTGCCTCTGGCCAAGATCACTTAGGAGATTGGTATGAGGATTAATGCAGCCCATGCATGCACAAGCACAGACATGCACACACACACACATGCACATACATACACACACACACACACACCTCTTTCACCTCTGACAAGCATACACTTGGCACTCTCCGTGGGCTAGGTCCCCTGCAGGAGGATGTGGGCTTCTTGAGAGCAGCAACCGCACCCCATGGCATGTGGCAACCAGAGCAGGCACTCCAAGGACCCTGTGAGTGAGAGCACGTGCTTCGCCTGTTGCCACAGTTAGAGAGACAATGAGGCTCCCACCTAGCATGGGGGCCGCAGAGGAGGATCTGAGAGGGTGATGGGAGGAAGTCTGTGTGATGCCCACAGAGATCTGTGCCAACTGCTCTTGGGTGACAAGAAGGGGAGGTAGTGCCTGGGAGGCCAGGGAGTGCTGCAGAGGAGACCCTGGAAGGAGGAGGCGGAGGAGGAAGCCAAGGGGACGAAGGAAGGCTGGCAAAGGCTGGATGGAGGGATGAGCTGGGGGGTGGGAAACTGCAGGTGCACCTGGATGCAGGTGGTTGCGGGGCATTTACCCTGGGGATGGTGGTGCACCTTGGATGCTGTTCTTCAGCAGATTTCTTTTTGTAGGAGTAAGGCACTGTTTTCTTAGGAGCTGACCAACTGCAAATATGTGAGGAAGACCATGGACAGTAGAGCTCTTTCCCATCGAGTGTGAGTAACCTTTCCCTTCCCTCCAAGCTGGCAGCAGTCCCACCTCCAACATAGAAAAGTATGGAGAACCTTCTCTGAGCCTTGGGAAATAGCTAAAATGTTACTGGCAAGTGCTTCTTTCTAGAAGGGAAAAAATAGCTCCCACACATTAACTCTGAAAGCTGAAGTCTGGTAACTTATCTCAAACAGACTTGGACTGAATAAGAAATGCACCAGGCTGGTGGGTGGAGCTCTAAATTTACACCTTAATCTCATCATTAAGATCGGATAAGATGTTTCATTAGCGGTAGGTGCTATGTAAATATGAAGTGCTTTCTGAATAAATATTTTCTTTTTTTTTCCTTCCAAAATTAGGAAATGCTCTATGGTAAATAGTGCAATTCTTAGACAGGAGAGTTTTATTTTAAAATGACGGTATAAATCATATCTGAATTCTGGGAAGTGCTAAGTGATTCAGCCTTAAAGCAATATAGTAGTTTCTATTTGTGCCCTGGAAAGTCAAGCATGGCTGAAATCGTATGTGGCAAATTGCTCAGAATTACCGGGAGCAGTGTACGCAGATGGCGTTCTGACCAGATTTCCAACTCTCTTGGTTTGGTAGATATCAGTGGTTGAAGTCATAACCTAATTAGGTCAGTAAGCACTGTTTGTGGATAAACCAAACTGTGGGAAGTCCGATCTGGAAGATACCCAGGCAATCACACAGTGGAACTTAGTGTATCATTGTGGAAACTGAGGCTTAGAGGAAAGTATCCAAAGCCATGCGGTTGTGGATGGGGCAGACACAGGGCTGGAAGCCAGGACTTAGGGATTCCCATTTAGGATCCCTTTTTCTCCAGATTCCTAATGTTTTTCTTTTAATGTTACTTATTATAAAAATAATATAGTATTAAAGGAGTTTTTTTTTTTAACGAAACAGCAAACTTACAATCTGTCTCAAGAACTTTATTCATTTCTGCATTTCCTTGCAAAAATTTAAAACATGTAATCATAGTGGGCATACAGTTCCATGTTCTCTTTCTTAATACATTCAAATCACTTCCTGATATGGTGGTGTGCTTTTGACAGTTACTTTTACAGCAGCTTTCCAGATCTCTTATTGATACTAAGCATTCCCTTCCTATTGGACACTTAGATCGCTTTCAGATTTTTTGACTTTTACGTATAATTGTGAGATAAATATGCATTTGGCTTTTTCTCTATGAACTCATTCCTGTCCTCTCTCCTCATTGAAGCATCCCCAGGCCCCCCAAGGGGAAACCCAGCCCAGCACTGGTGAAGTTTTGCATTCCGAAAATGCAAAACTTGAAGCGGGGAATAGCTCAACGGGGGGTGTAATAAAAAGAGAATCCGGTCCCACATGAGGATGCAGCCACCTGTCAAGTCCCAGGGGCGATCGGTGTGAGGGCGCAGTGGTGACATTCCCTGACAGGTGGCTCCCAGCTGCCTTTCAGGTTGTGCATCCCCAGAGCTTTCCTTGTAATCTGGGGAAAATTGCACCGTGGGTCGGTGTATGGGGAGGTAGGGGAACAGGAGGCATTCCCATTCCTTCCTCACTCCTGTAAGGCCTTCCAGGGAGTCACTGAACTCCAAGTGGTGCGACTAGGTGAATGTGCTGAGCCATGTGTGTGGTGGATAATGGCAGTGTGCAGAGGAGCCCCACGGGCACTTTGAAGTGCTGGGCTCCCACTGGCTGCCGAGACTCGGAGAGGGAGGCTTGGAGAGTGGCCTAGTTCTGCAGCAGCCCCCGAGTTCCAGAGGAGACTCACAGGATCAGAAACCTCAGGGCAGGAGGATTCTAAAGCACACGGAGTGCTGTGCGCTGCCTGTGCAGAAAGGGCTGGGAAGGTGAGGCAGGGAGGAAGCCCTGCCTAGGGCTACCTGGCCGCAGCAGCTATAAAGACGAGAAATAAATACAGAAATAGAAATAATAGAAATACTTGAGGCCACTGCCTGGGACTCCACTTTCCTGCTCTTGGGCTTGTCTTCAGTTCTGCAACCATGAGACGTCAGAGCTTTAACATCACTCAGTCTCCTGCTCAGGAGAGTGTTCGAGGACGGCCCAAAGGCCCAGCCCAGTGGCCAGGCTCTGTCAAACCTGAGCCGTGTCCCAGTTAAAAGGAACTGAGGAAAGCCAGGGTCCTAAGGGCAGAAGGGTGACTTTGGGGACTGCTGTTGGGACAGAGGACTCTTGTTTGACTTTCTCCCAGGCTGCAGGCTGAATCCCCCATTATTTGGAGGAGGAGGAGCCAGGTGGTCCGCCACCTCAAAGAAGCATGTAACCTAGTCAGAAGGACAGACAAGACCGTCAGAGACAACGCAAGAACACCAGAGGCAAGCTGGGTCTGGCCACTCTGTGGCTTATGCAGGCCTCTCTGGGCACTGTTTGCCCGGTGAAGCTGCCAACCTCTTTGGAGAGGAGAATAGAGATATTATCTCAGCTGAGGTTTACCAGCTGTCTTAACCAAGCCCTTCCAAAATTGACCAACTCTTGCTCCCACATTCGTAACGGGGTGCAAAGTGATTGCACATGATATTGAGCCCCACGTAGACTTTGGGAGATGTTCCAGACTCCTGGTTCTTAGCAAGATGGTAAAGAGTGGAGCTGGGCTTCAGAGATGCCCCCCGAACAAACAGGAGAGGACCACCTTTTCTATGTACAGAGCAGAAATTGGCTCCTTGAATTTCCTCTGCCCAGGTCACAGCTCCTCACCCGACGGCAGCATCTTCTGGCAGTGGAAGGAGGTGAGTCTCTGTCTGCAAAGCCTACACCAGCCTGGTCTGACTGCTAGCTCCCCTCCAACTGGCACCCTTGGGCATGCACTTCCTTCCAGGTCTCAGGCGAGAGGGTAGGCAGACAAGAGCATCCTCCAGTGGGAACAGAACCGTGAACCACCCACTGCCTGTCGGGCTGGTTGGCATCCAGTCCCACCTCGAGGGGCAAGGACCATTTTCCTTTGTTGTCTTTGACACAGGCCAAGAGGCAGCAGCCCAAGTGACACCAGGGAAACAGTGGAAATTCCACTGATTCCTAATGAACAGTTGCAGAATAAGCCTCTGACTGACTAGTGCACATTAAAGCTTCTCTCTCTCTCTCCACTGAACTGACAGAGACTATTCTTGTTTACATCTCCTTTGGTTGTAAGTTTCCCTTTCAACTTGATGATCAGAACTTGGAGTCAGAGCCGTGGGGAAAGGAAGAAGAATTCAGGCTGAGTGAAGTTACTGCCGAGGACTTGTCCAGACCTGCTGGTGTGGGAATTTCCTGAGATGGAAGAGCCCCAGGAGAGGAAGCAAGGCAGATGCATTTAATTTCTCGATTAAAATGAATTAAATGTCCACATTTTGATGTGTGATCAAATCACATTTGAAACACACTGGGCCAAATATATTTGTGATGAACTGTCGTGCAGATAATGAAAATCATTTCAATAAAATTCTCATCCGTGCTAAGACCTTAATCAAGGGATAACCTATTTGACATTGGATGACAGATAACTGTGTAATTCTACCCCTGCAGGAACAGATTCATTCCATATGAGTGTTTAATGCATTAGGAAGCCGAGGTCAAGCTAAAGGTAAAGTCCATCTGCTGGATTTTCCTGGTACCTTCTAGTTTTCTGTGGAAGCAACAGTTTTCACAGAGGGATTTTAGTGCTTTTCTTAAGTATCCTTACTTTTCTCAGAATCCGGCTTTAGCAAAATCATGCCATTTTGAGGTAGACGGCTTCTTGCAGTCCTTAGAACAGTATGTTGCTGCTACCTAAAGTTAATGGTTTCACCTTTATTGAAAGTTATGCAGTGGAGGTCTTTGTCCCAAATAACTACAGACCTTTGAGTTTTCTTCTTGATTATTTGCCATTGATATGTCCTGTGAATTTTTTTCTCCTTGTCATACGGATCTTCTTTTGTGATCCACAGTTTTCACGTGTGTACAGTGGAGGTGATAATATCTCTATTCTCCTCTCCAAAGAGGTTGGCAGCTTCGACTGGCAAACAGTGCCCAGAGAGGCCTGCATAAGCCACAGAGTGGCCAGACCCAGCTTGTCTCTGGTGTTCTTGCGTTGTCTCTGACGGTAGTGTCCTTCTGACTAGGTTACATGCTTCTTTGAGGTGGTGGACCACCTGGCTCCTCCTCCTCCGAATTATTTCCTAGCGTAAGCCAGTGCTCAACAGAGACCTCTTGGCCTACTGGCTGGACAGAAGTAGGCTGTGAAGGTGGCTTTGGAGGCCACCTGGGGGGCCTGCCCAGACTGTCACTGTGATGATGAACTGGGGACAGACTCACAGCAGTGGCAAGTGTTGACTTTACATCTCCAAAGTTTTGATTATCACTGTCTGCTGTTTAGAGAACAAGAAATAGATAAATAGTTAAATTTCTACAATGAGCCCAATAATCAGGTCAGAGGAATTGCAGAAGATATCTCTTTTGACATGTACTGATCTCTTTTTTTTCTCTCTTTCTCCACCCTGTTTCTAAAGCCTGTCCTTTCCTATAAAAAGACACCTCCCTGATTTGGCATAGGCTATAGCTTGGACAAATTGTGTGAGAAGAGATCTCTCTGTGTTCGTTTGCTTGAAGCTCTCTGATTATGGGGACTTAATGACTAGGGGAGCCCAGGGTTTTCTCTTAAGGCAAAGGACCAAAAGTCTGTGTCATCTAAGAAAATTCAAGTGGGTGTGTTTTTTTTTTTCTTGCTTTCTGAGGTGGGTCTCTGCAAAGAGTTTAGTGAATTGCTCACTCGAAAAATGGACTGATCTCAAGCATGCACCCTTGTTTAGAGGTGTTTGGGGACCTTTTATGATTATTTTATTTTTCAACTTTATTTCATTTATTTATGTATTTATGTATTTATTTATTTATTTTTTGAGATGAGGTCTCACTCTGTTGCCCAGGTTGGAGTGCAGTGGTACAATCATGGCTTACTTGCAGCCTCGAACTCCTGGGTTCAAGTGATCCTCCTGCCTCAGCCTTCTGAGTGGCTGGGTCTACAGGTGCACGCCACCATGCCAGCTAATTTTTTAAAACTTTTTTGTAGAGATGACAAGGGGTCTCCTTATATTGCCCAGGCTGGTCTCAAACTCCTGGCCTTAAGCAATCTTGCCACATTGGCCTCCCAAAGTGCTAGAATAAGAGGCATGAGCCACCGTGCCTGGTCCCTTATTGGTTTATCACAACAACGTTACCTGGTCTTTCTAACACAATTCCAAGAAGTACATAAAGTAAAACCGATATTCTTTCTTCCTTGCCCATTTTCCTGATGCCATTTCCTTTTTCCCCTTCCAGAGGCGACAGCTACTAACAATTGGTGCAGTGTAGACTTCCAGATGATCTTATATGGATGCTGCATCAAAACCATATGCAGATAGACAGATTTTATTTTACAAAAATGGGATAATAGTCACTATATTGTTCTGCAATTTGCTTTATCCACTGTGGACAGTTCTTAAGTCAGAAATAGAATTCTGCTTCTTTATTTTTAAAAGCTGCGCTTACTCTATTGTTCAGCATACTTTAATGCGCCAAAATGTGTTCATTTATTCCCCAATTGATACAGTTAGGTCATCTCTCATTCCCTGCCTCTGACACACACACTTCCTCTTGCCATTGCAGACAAGCCAGGAGACACACACAGAGCTCTGCCCCCTGGTATCTCCTGCCCAGAGGCCACTTTTTCATGGGAAGAAGGAGGTGTTTCCTCCCTGGGAGCAGGTGGCTAGGGATCTGCACTCTGTTCTCCTGCACAGCCTTCTGCCTAGGAGGGGCAGAATTCAGGTTGCAGAAGGGTTGGGGTTCTTATGGCCCTGCAGCGCCCTGTTCCTCTAGTCTTGCTCCTTCTTCCTCGCCCCGGAGTGGTCCTGAGGTGACCCAGGTCCCCTTTGCCTTGGCCATTGGAAGATGTGTTTGGCCATCAGCCTAAGTTGGCTGAAATTGACGGCTCATGAGGATGAGGCCTCTGGCCCCCCTTGGGAGGCCTTGCTTGCCATGGGAGGGTATGTCCACTCTTCTCCTATGGTGCTGAGACTGGAGGCCTGTGGGGCTGGATGGGTTGGCGTCACTGTCCTCTCTCGTCATTCTGGGCCTACCCAGAATTTCCTAACGGGTCCTGAAGGCCAACTGCTAGCACCTTCCTGGACTGCTGCTGAGCCCAGCCTTCGTGCTGTCATGGGGGGCCTCCATCAAGCACCCTCTTGTCTTGAGACTCGCAGGAAGGGAGCCACAACCCTCAGGTCCTGTCAAGGCTGCCACTCTCACACCCCATTGCACTTCCTTCCTCAAATCCTCTCTTCCTTAGGACTCAAGGATTCACTAGTGACCTCAAGGTTCCTGGCAGATGGGAAGAAGCCTTGCCTCACGTGGGGTCAGCAGCACGTGGAATAGTGGGGAACACACAGGCAGAATGGCAGACGGTACCTGGTGGATCCCAGCACCAGTATTTAAAAGCTGCATGCCAGCATGAATATTTGAAAGCTGTGTGTTCTTGGGCAAGTGGCAGGAGCTCTCTAGGTCTCATTTCTCTGTAAGACAACATCCCTTAGACTCATGGTGCCAATTGAAGTTGACAATGTCGATAAAGTCTCGGGGCACACAGTGAGAAATTCAATAAGTGTCAGTTCTTCTTTCCCTCTGGAGTTCCTTCCCCTACTTCATCCTTCCAGATGAAATTTTAAAAATAGGTCTGTCTTCCCAGTACACTCCATGAGACTGAATAAATCCTAGAGTCAGGCACCAAGAGAGGCTGCAGAGTATGTTTTCCCAGAGGGCTTTAACAGCGCCACTGTCTGAAGTGGTTTGGGGTCAGGCTCAAGGTCAGCATTGAGGTCCTTCCATGGAGGGTCAGTGCTTGTCAGGTCTGCCCACCCAGAACCTCCCCTGCCCAGCAGGGCCAGCCCGGCGGCCAGTGCAGGTAGACACCGGGAGGCTGCTCCCGGATTGAGCCTCTCTTCTGTGGATCCCCTGGGTCCCCGGTCTGATGAGCGTGCCAGGGTCCCCCTCTTGTGACTACAGCAGCAGCAGACTCCATTTCTGCTGACACAGATTGGAGCGGTTGCCATGGGGACCAGAAACTGTGCCCAGATGCATTCTTGCAGCTGGGAAGACAGGATGGGACTCCTCCTGGAGAGGCTGGAGGGTTCCCACTTAATAAGAGGGAGCTGGGCGGGGAAACAGCCACAGGCTCCTTCCTCAGCTGTTCAGCAGCTTCAGCCAAAGACCAAAGGGAGTCCAGGCCTCGAGGGTCACCTCCTCCTGGAGATTTACAGGGCCCAGTCTGGTGCACAGTGAAGCATCAGGACTTTGCCTGACCCTGAGCCACCAGCTTTCTCCCATGCCCTCCTCCTTGAGTGAGCTGCATGTAGAGAGGAACTGTTCACTGAGGGCCACAGTCTCATACTCAAAGTGCTTGAGACTCCACGTAAGGGAGATGACCTCACAGAGCGCCCCAGGGCTGCAGGCACCCCATGTGACCCTGCAGCCACTCTCAGGAGGGGCCATGAGTGTCCACACTTTCTGGATGGTGCTTGAAAAAATGAAATGAGTCTCCCAAGGCCACACAGGTAAAGAGGCCACGCTGAGGCTTTGGACCCCAAAGCCACTGCACGCTGCTGCTTGGGCTTCCCGGCAGCTGGACACAATGCTTTATGCTTGTGGTTTTTCTTAGAGACAGAGTCTTGCTCTGTTGCCCAGGCTGGAGGGCAGTGGTGTGATCATGGCTCACTGTAGCCTCAAACTCCTGAGGCTCAAGTGATCCTTCTGCCTCAGCCTCTTGAGTAGCTGGGACTACAGGCATGTGCCACCATGCCCAGCTAATTTTAATTTTTTTGTAGAGATGGGGTCTCACTGTGCTTCCTAGGCTTGTCTCAAACACCTGGGCTCAAGCAATCCTCATGCCTCAGCCTCCAAAGTGCTGGGATTACACGCATGAGCCACCGCGCTCAGCCAGCTCTCCATGCTTTGAATGGACGAAGGAATCAAACTATTACTTGTAAAGGCCTGAACTTTCTTGTCCTTGGGATTCAAGGTAGCAGTGGGCACGGGACTGCCTGTCCTCTGCGGGCCCAGAGTTGGCCAGGCCACTCCAAGGAGGCTGCCATCGCTGCCTGCGCTGGCTGAGGCCCCGGATCCTGGCTGGACTCAGCTGGACCCTTCCTTACTGTCCTCTGTGGCTTTCTTCGGGGCCTGCCCTGTGCTGGGGGCGCTTTGCTACTGTGTCATTATTAGGTATTGGCATCAATTTATAGGTTAGAAAATTGAAATTTAGAGAGATGAAGGAGGCTGAGGTCGCACAGCTCACGAAACTCTCACCTAGTCCCTGGCCTGACTCCAGGCCTTGGGTTCTTCTAGTGCCTCATGGCGTCACTGCTCCTCTGCTGATGGGGTAAGGGTCAGGCTGGGACCCAACAGGCAGGAAATATGGATTCAAGTCACGATCGTAAAATATGGTAAAATATGCATAATATAAAATCTACAATCCTAACCAATTTTAAGTGTATGGTTGAGTTGTGTTAAGAACATTCACCTTGTTGTGCAACCATCACCACCATCCACTCCAGAACTTTATCGCTGTGTAAAACTAAAAATCCACACCCATTAAACAGCACCTCCCCATTCCCCTTTCCCTCAGCCCCTGGCAACCCCATTCTACTTTCTGCCTCTATGAATCTGACTCCTCTATGGACCTCATATAAGAAGCATCATATAGTATTTGTCATTTTGTGACGGGCTCATTTCTTTCAGCATACTATCATCGAGGTTCACCCGTGTTGTAGTGTGTGCCAGAATTTCCTTCCTTTTTATGGCTGAATAATATTCCAGTGGATGGATGGACCATGTTGGGTTTCTCCATTCATGTGTCAAGTGACGCTGGGGCTGCTTCCATCTTTTGGCTATTGAGAATCATGCTGCTGTGAGCACAGAGTACAAATATCTCCTCAAGATCAAGTTACGTTTTTTTTGGGTCGGGGGGACAGAGTCTCGCTATGTTGCCCAGGCTGGAGTGCAATGGTGTGATCTCAGCTCACTGCAACCTCTGCCCCCCAGGTTCAAGTGATTCTCCTGCCTCAGCCTCACGAATAGCTGGGACTACAGGTGCTCACCACCACACCCAGCTAATTTTTGTATTTTTAGTAGAGGCGGGGTTAGCCAGGCTGGTCTCAAACTCATGACCTCATGATCCACCCACCTCAGCCTCCCAAAGTGCTGGGATTACAGATGTGAGCTACCGAGCCTGGCCAAGTTACTTTTTTGAATCAGTAAATTGAGAACAGTAGTATCTACTCCATCCACCTGCCAGATTGCTGTGAGGATTGAGTTGTGAATGTGGCTGGAAGTGCTTTGTGCTTAGGGTAGGGGTCATGATAGTCTTTCCTGTCATCAACCTGGGCTGGGAAGAGTCAGCTTTTGCCAAGAGGAATCAAGCACCTACCGGGTGTTTCTGGGAACAGTTTCCTCAACCCCTAACCCTGGAAGGAGCTTCACTGGCAGAAGAGAGACTGACTTGGACATAGTAAAGGGATTGCTCGGAGGGCAGAGTGAGCAAAGTCCAGGCTCTTTGTCGGTGCCCCATCTGCTTACTTCCGGAGTAAGACCAATCAAGGGGACTAGGCTCAGATTTCTCACTGAGGGACTGTGGCGCCTTGTAGACAACCACGCTTTTTTTCCCCAGAGTTCAAGCCATGGCAGGGTTCCTGTGCTCCCCACATGATGGGCTCCTTATGGGAGCCTCTGCAGGGCGGGGGCAGCATCCTCTTCCCTCCCCACCTGTACTAGTGCCCCAGCCTCCAGGGAGGGTGCCACCAGCCAAGTCCTGTGGGCCATTCAGAGCCTCTCCTCTCCCCAGGCTCTGCTCTGCGTCCTGGTCTGGTCTGCTGCCCCATGGGGACACTGCAGAGTTTTCCACTGCCCTAGAGCAGCTTTTCCCAGGGCTCTGCCACTCTGCTTCCCTCATCCTGGGTCTCAGTGCTGTTTTGCTCATCCTGCTCCCAGAGGGCAGCTGCCCACAGATGCTCCAGCATGAGAACTTCATTCAGCGACAGTTTGTGATCCTATCACAGAGGTCTGGTGTGCAGCCTCTACTTTGGAACCCCAAAGCACCTGGGCCCACCTCACTGGTAGCACATTCCACTTCGCCGTCTCTCTGCCTGTCTCCCACCTTGGACTGTGTGCTTCCTGGGGCAGGGGTGATGTCTCCAGTGCCTGGGTTTGCTCTGGTACATACCAAGTGCTCAGAGAATGTTTGTTGATGGAATGAAGGACTCCCCTACTAGACAAATGCTTGAGGGATGGACCTCCATAATCACCTTCATTTCTTTCTTCATTGCCACATTCGGCATAGTGTCTGGTATCTGGCCAGTGCCCAGGAAATGATTGATTGAATAAATGAATGAAACATGAGGCCAGAGCCTCCATCAGCTCTGGGCAGGGCTGGGCAGTCTTGCAGGCTGGATCTTGCTGGTGCATCGTCAGTGTCACTAACTCAACACTTACCACAGTGACCTGGCAGTGGCCATGGGGCCACGTGGGGGCTCCTAAGACAGAGGAGACCCAAGGCCGGGAAACGGCACACTAGACAGAGGGAGCGCAGCTTCTGCAGTTCCCTGTGGCCTGGCTCCTTCCTTTCTGCTCCTGCTGGAGCAGACAGAGCAGCCCCATCGCTGGGGCCGTGAACCTCGGAGAAATACTCAGATTCCCTGTTGCTCTAAGAATAGGCTCAAAGCTGCGTCTTTGAAGATCTTAGCTTTCTGCTCAAAAGCCTTCAGCAACTGAAAGTCTCCAATTCCTAGTCTTCTGTGATGTCCCCCAAATCTCTCTCTCTGCTTTTTTTTCTTTTTTCAATTCTCTTCTTCAAACCAGCCGAACAGACTGCTGGGTGTTCTCTGTGTGTCTGGCTCATTTCCTGGCAGCATTCTGGATTCCACTGCCTGGACTCCCAGCCCACTGAGTGGGTAGGGAAGCCCTGGGTCACCTGCCCAGATTGAATAGTCGGCCTCAAGGGCTTTCGCTTTATTCTGGAATGGGTCCCTGTCTGTCTGTTTGTTTCTCACTGGCCCCTCTCTGTCTGCCAAAGGCCAGCAGAACAAGCTTCTTGGCAAGGCTTCCTACTTCTTAATCCATTTTCACAACCTGTGATTGAACTACGTGCAGTGCAGGTATCAGGATTTAGTGACATCTTTTAATTCTCTATTATTGATGAAAAGTTTTGGTCTGGAAAGGAAAACTGGCTTTGGGATTGATTTTCATCAGTTTAATTCATCTTCAGTATTGATCAGTGCATATGTTACAGCGAAAGACTAAATCTGGGCTGTTTCAAAGGAACAGGGAATGTTATTACCAGAGTGTCCAGGTTTGGGGCATTGTCCCAGGACTGTTGACACCTTAGGCATGTCTCACTCTGCCTTGTATGCCAGTCCTTCATATACAGGTCTTCTTCTCCTCCAAAGACTGTGAGGTCTTTGGAGGCAGGATGCATCTCTGAAATAAACTGACCCCCAAAGACCCAATGTAGTTCCTAGCACATAGGTGACCCTCTGCCAGTGTTTGCTTAAGTGCGGTCTCCAGAGTTCATCAAAGCCCTTAATTATTATGCATCAGGAGGGATCCCAATACTCAACTCATAAAAGGACACATGGATTCCACAGGGACTCGGATTTTGGGAAAGGTGACGATATCAATCAGACAAGCTAATGAATGATTGCCTTTCTCAGGAAAAGATAGACAGGACCCTAAGTCTGAAATGTGCTAATCACAGGGTCCTTTAGCATGTGGGGGCAACTTTTTGTTTGTTTTTGAGATGGAGTCTCGCTCTGTCGCTGAGGCTGGAGTACAGAGGCGCGATCTTGGCTCACTGCACCCTCCGCCTCCCAGGTTGAAGCAATTCTCCTGCCTCAGCCTCATTAGTAGCTGGGATTACAGGCACCCGCCACCACGCCCGGCTAATTTTTGTATTTTTAGTAGAGATGGGGTTTCACCATGTTGGCCAGGCTGGTCTCAAACCCCTGACCTCAAGTGATCCACCCGCCTTGGTCTCCAAAGTGCTGGGATTATAGGCTTGAGCTACCTTGCCTGGCCTAGCATGTGGGGGCAACTTTGGCAGGCAGCCTCAGGCACAGTTCAGACACTCTGGCCACACCTGTTTTGCCCTCTGACCACCAGTGTACCCCCACCCTGACCCATGTGTTGTTGCCTGGCAGGGGTGGCCCCCACCTTCTCTACCCAGAGTCCCAGGGGCATGGAGTTCTCTCCCTTCTCTCTCCACTCAACATGAGACGTGTGGACTTGTGGCTTCATCAGTGCAAGATGCATGACCTTGGGCAAGTCTCATAACTTTCTGTAAGCCTGCACATTTCCTTGTGCAATGTGGTTGTTGAGAGGAGCTCTGCTGCCTCTCCAACAGACCTTACCAAAACAGAGAGGGGGTGGAGCCCTGCTGTCTCTCCAGCAGACCTTACCAAAACAGAGAGGGGGTGGAGCCCTGCTGTCTCTCCAGCAGACCTTACCAAAACAGAGAGGGGGTGGAGCCCTGCTGCCTCTCCAGCAGACCTTACCAAAACAGAGAGGGGGTGGAGCCCTGCTGCCTCTCCAGCAGACCTTACCAAAACAGAGAGGGGGTGGAGCCCTGCTGCCTCTCCAGCAGACCTTACCAAAACAGAGAGGGGGTGGAGCCCTGCTGTCTCTCCAGCAGACCTTATCAAAACAGAGAGGGGGTGGAGCTGAGAGGACGGTATTGGCTGTACAGGTGATTTCTCATCACTGATGTGGGTTGACTGTTGGGTGCCAGAGGGTTAGCTAGAGATGCGGTCACCACAGAGAGCTTGCTCCTCTGGGAAACAGTCAACCCACACACTGGCTTTTGGACACATTGTGTTAAAAAAAATTGGGTGTTTTCTATGTATTTATCTTGGCTGTGTGTTTGTATATTATTCTGGACTTCGAGCTCTTTGGAGGTCTATATATGATCTGATTTTCTTGGTGTAGTGCATATATTCAGAGGACACAGTATTAGGAAAGGAAGAGTGATTCCCTGTGATGTGAACAGAGAGGACTTTCACTTGGGTTATTGCCCAGTGGGGAGAGGGTGCTGGGCCACCTTAAATCACCTTCTTGGGTCCCAGCCTGACCTTGGGCCTCGTATTCATTTGCTAAGACCATCATAACAAACAACATAGACTTGGGGCTCATAGACTCGGGGCTCATAGACTCCGGGCTCATGGCCTCGGGGCTCATAGACTCGGGGCTCATGGACTCGGGGCTCATGGACTCGGGGCCCATGGACTCGGGGCTGATAGACTCGGGGCTCATGGACTCGGGGCTCATGGACTCGGGGCTCATAGACTCGGGGCTCATAGACTCGGGGCTCATGGACTCGGGGCTCATAGACTCGGGGCTCATGGACTCGGGGCTCATGGACTCGGGGCTCATAGACTCGGGGCTCATAGACTTAAAGGTGTAAAATGAGGTTGTATGAAACCCTGTCTCTACTGAAAATACAAAAAACTAGACAGGCATGGTGGCGCGTGCCTGTAATCCTAGCTACTTGGGAGGCTGAGGCACGAGAGTCCCTTGAACCCAGGAGGTGGAGGTTGCAGTGAGCCGAGATCATGCCATTGCACTCCAGCCTGGACAACAATAGCAAAACTTCATCTGAAAAGAAATTTTTTTCTTCAGTACCTCCAGGGCCCTAAATGCTGAGCAATGACCACACACCCGTGAGGAAGCTGTGCCTGGGCTGAGACCTCACACCACCTCACTGCTTTGCCCACCCAGGGTCCAGCTTTGAGAATGTGATATGAGTATCCATTAACAAACATTTGCTTTGTTCACGACCCTGTTCCAGTGAATGAGATGAACTGGCCAGGAGGAGATGGCCAACCCTCTGTGTCACCACAGCCGTACCCACTGTGTGCCAGTGACTATGTAGCTTCTTGGGATAGCGCCCCAGTGATGGGTTGGTTGATTTGTTCATTCATTCCTTGATATTCTTACCTGCCATGTACTCTTGGTCTGGTGGGTTCAGCAGGAGGAATGAGGGGCAGCGGGCAGGAAGGCAGAAGGCTTCCGTCTTGATCCTTGGTTTTCCAGTAAGCTGGGAGATCTTGGGCAAGTCACCTAATTATTGATTCACGATCTCTAAATTAGGAAGCCTTTTCTACTTTGCCTCCTATGTAAGGATTTTATGAAGTTCAAATGGAATCATCTGTATAAGTGTTTTATAAACTGTGAAGTGCTATGTAAATGTGAGGAATCATTACATTCACATTTTTATCCCATTTGACCTCCTGCTGTTTTGCCCATTGGGATCTACTAGTGAGGCACTGGCATATTTCAGGATGGAACCAGCCTAAAGACTAGCTTTGGGGAGAGCCTGCTCACTCATTACCTGGTTTTGTGTTTCTTTATTTTGCTTTGCTTTTTAACCACCACCACCCCAAATTGCCCCTTTCTGATCTTCTCCTCCTACCCAAAAATAGGTCCTAAACCCTCAAAGTTTCTTGTTCTTGACTACATATGTGAAATCTAGCAAAAATGTTCCTTTAGAGTCACTGAGGAAATATTTTTTTCAGTGAAGTGTACTGCTACAAACCCAGCTTCTCTCTTTTACCTAAACCTCTCAGCAGGGATTGATGAGGCGTGGATGAATAACATCCATGTTCTACAAAAACATAAACCAAGACGCAGGGCAAATACATGAGTAGTGACAGTCCTGGAGACTACGGGGACCCTAGATGAAAGACTCTTGTCCTCCAGCACTGCCCTGAGGGTCTTCTTTGTATTTCTCACACATCTGTGTTGTCAGGACTCCCATGTCCAGAACCCAGAAGCCAAAACTGTGGGGCCAGGGGAAGGAAGAGTTCTGCTTAATTCATGGCTCAACTTCAGAAGATCCCTTTAGGAAACACTGCTTGGGAAATGCCTGCAGAAGGGCGGAAGTCATGAGGCAGCCTGGCCTCTATTGACTAATCCTTGGGTCAATATCAAGGCCCTCCTGAGAACATTAAAATACCCAAGGTTGACTCCGATAGTTTTTCTCTGATGTTTTCCTAGAAGCTCTCCTGTCACAAAGCTTAGCCTGTCAGTGAGTCTGGGCCACGCCGCATGCTACATCCCCTTCTTGGAAATCCAGTTGCACAGTAGTGCACTGAAGGCTCTGGAGGCTCTGCAGTAAAGAAATCTTGACCCCTGAACTCTCTTGCACCTATGTTCCCCTCTCCCTCTTTATTCTGTTTGCTTATTGATCCTCTCTGGAGCCCTCTTCTGGAAATGTCAGTGGGCTGATGGCACTCTAGGGTGCTTTCTTTTATGCTCAGCTTGGGGGCAGGGGAAGATGGCAGTTGGGGTTAGGGGTATGCCTCTTACATGACCCATCATGAGGGTCATCAGAGGAAGTGGAGGAGGAGAGCAGACAGGGGGCACAGCCATGTGAGCTGAAGCCTGTATGACCCCGAGGTGTGGCAACACAGGCTCTGGCCAGGCTCCAGGGAGGGCCTTGCGGGAGAGATACTGTGGGTGGAGTCAGTGGAGACCGGGAGAGCTGGCATCCTCTGGTGGGGGATGGACCAGGGGGGCTGCTTCTGCTTCAGACTGAGAAAGAACCCCAGGGCTTCTGGGAGGCAGAAGGCCAGAGTCGGTCCCTCCAAATGTAGATTTTTTTTTTTTTTGGCATATCTTTTCAGGTTGGAGAGTGGAACCTGCCTGCCTTATCAAAGACAGTGGGGCCTCTACTCTTTATCCCATTAAGGAGGATCCTAGGGCCATGTTTCTGGGCTGAGCCGCCCCACTTGATGGCAGTGATTGTGGTATCGGTCTCAGCTCTGCTGATGGGGCAAGACTGGGGGAAGGGAAAACATGGAAGGCCCGGTAATCACTCTTGTAAGTTAGCCACAATCAGGACCCCGAGGTTGGGCTGGCCATGGAGCAGTGGGAGAAGTGCCCCATTGAAAAGGAGCAGCCTGGGGAGGGGCAGATGGGAGAATGTAGGTGCAGGAGTGGATTCGGATCAAGGGAGGAGATTCTTCCTGACGGGTGCCTTTCTGAAGGAAGAAATCAGTTATGACCAGTTTAGCAGGCACCGAGGGGGCAGGGCCCACCTTGGCCAGGGGTGGGCTGTTCGCTGGTGGGAGCCCATGTGGGTGTCACACCATCAGTGTCCAGCTGGCTGGGTTGGCTGCAGCTCCTGTAGGAGCCTGTGTTCCTGGGAAGCCTCTCTCTGGTGAAAGGCAAGGTGGGCAGGCTGTGTGCAGAGGAGAAACCCACGCTGCCCATGTCCACACAGCTGTGTGGGCACCAGGACCTGCCGAGATGCCATCCCAGGCTGCCTGAAGCAGTAGCTTTCTGCAGAAGAGACAGGGAGGAGAAAGCATTGTGCAGGCACGGAGCAGCAGGCAGGGAAAAGAAGGGATTTTAGTAGATGGCAGGGAAAACAGGGCAAGAAAAAAATGGGAAATGGCTCAAGAATTGTCAGGGTCCCAAACATCTGTGTCAGGACACTAATGGCATTTGGGCAGGACAGTCCTTCATGGAGGGGACCATTGCTCACTGAGAGATGTTCAGCCTGCCCAGCCCCCCACCCACCGTATCCCAGGGATGCCCTTACTCAGTCATCAAGATGACCATAGCCGCCCCCAGGCTGCCTCTAGAGGAGGTGGTCACCAAGGCCCCCTTATCTCCGACGGTCTGAGATGATGGAGCTGGGAGGGGCCCTGGGAGGGCGAGGACAGCCACTGGGCACTCAGTCTCCAACTCTAGGGCCACAAAGAGCAGATGGGCTGGGAGAGGCTGTTGAAGGTGAGTTTTTCCCTAAATCAACACACCACTATTGAGTCAGGTGCTGAGGCCGGCCCTGGAGACAGGAGGAAAAGTCAAATGTGACCCTGAACCCCAGGGAGCTCAGAATCTAGCAGGAGAGGTGGACGAGCAACAGCAACCACCCCACATTCACTCACTACGCAGACCGATGAGGGCATCCTGTCACAGCATTACCCAGTGAGCATGGGCGCGGCTGCAGTCATGGGGAGACCCCCAGGCTCAGTGGTGCAACCCCAGAGCAGTCCTGTGTTCCAGCTGGTAGATGGGGCAAAAAGTGGGAGGCACATCCACCTCTGAAACGCCTGCTCTTGGAAGTGGCAGAGACTCCTCTCCCCATTCTCTGGACCTGCCATGTGGCCACATCCAGCTTCAGGGAGTTTGGGGAGGGGGCCCGGAAAGAAGAGGAAACTGTGTGTGGGCACACACCAACCACCTGTCTCAACTCCCCTCAGCTGGTAACAGGAAGAGAATCAGCACTGTGGGTGGATTTTTCTCCTGGAGAATCTTTACCTTTCAAGAAATGTCTATTATCGCTTGGCCCATGTCTAAGATAAATAATGTTTCACTGTGAGACATAGTCAATAACCACCAAAATATTTTACTAATTTAGAATCCTAGAACGTTAAGGCTCAAAAAGCCCTCAGGGATGGTCCAGTTCAACCCTTTTGATATTCAAATGGGACTCTGATGCTTCGAGGAGAAGTGCCTGGGTTGAGATCACCCGGGTGGGGGGCTCTGCCCAGGCTGCCACAGTGGCTGCTCCAGGTGTCCGGGAGGCAAGGGAATCCACAGAGGATGCAAGCTCAAGCCAAATGTGCAGGTTTATTTTAGGACCTCAAGCTGCCGCCCCAGGCTCTTGCCCTTGCCCCTGCTGGGAGAGTCAGAGCCGCCTCCTCCTCCTCAGTGAGAATGACTCAGATGCCCGCGTCAGACATTCTCCCCTCCCCACCAGCCTGGGTGACGTCTCTCCGAAACTGTCTGCTCCCTAAGACACAGCTTACAGGCAAGATGAAGCAGTGTCGCACAGCCCTGTCGCCTCACTCATCCTGCCCTCAGGTCTTGTTTCTGCTTCTTCACAGCACCACCCCCATGAAGCTTCCACATGCACCTCTGCAGACCCATCTCGCACGATGCAGTGGGAGCGAGCCCTTGTGGTGAGGTGACAACGGCCCACATATCCCTCAGTGCTGGGGGATGGGAGTGTGGGTTCCGGGGACCACTGTGTGCAGACACCCGTAGCTCAGGTGGGCCTCTCGACTGTTCCCCCAGCCTGTTGCAGGTGGGGAGAGTAAGGTCTGGTTTTTGAAGACCTGGATGTACGTCTTCGGTGAGCTGCTTGAGCCTCAGCTGCCTCATCTAGAAAATGGCCACAATGATTGTAATGCCTCAAAGAACAGTGTATGAGAATGTGATTTGTAAACTCTAAAGTGCTGTCCACGTGCTTTGGAGGAAAAGCTTTCCTCAGGACTGGCCTCGTGAGCTGGTCAAGCAGACTGTGGGACTGGGGCTGTCTTGATTGATTGCTGACTTTGAGTCAGCCTGGGCGGGTGACGTCTCTATTGGATAAATGCGAAAACCAAGGCTCAGAGTGGTTAAGCCACATCCACAAAGGTGCAGAGCCTGCCAGGAGGCAGAACCACAACTAGAATGGAGCAGCTCTGTCACTGTACAGTCCAGGACTTGGTGGCTTATGTCCAAAATCAAGAACAGACAATGTTTCACCAGGGACAGAAATGTCAGTGTATTCCTGAAGATGCAATAGAAATGGTGGGAGGCAGAAAAATTGAGCAGACAGAAATGAAGGCTAAAAATAGTCTGTTTCGAACAGGCAGAGACCAGATCAGTTTGACAGGAGAGAGGGGGTGAGAAGGTTGTCCAGGACTCTGGAATGTGCCTCCCTTGGGCAGAGGCAAGCCACAGGGAGGGCTGTCTTAGAGATAAGAAGGGCTGCTGATTGCTAAAGAACCCATGGGTGCAATTCCCTGGAAGGAAAACTGAAGCAACGGAAAACGCCAAAGTCAGGGTGCATTTGGGGGATGCCAAAGAAGGCGGGGCTTCAAGATGGCAGGGACTTCAGAGAATGCAGAGCCCCCTCTTCCCCAACCCCTTTGCCATTTTATAGCTGGCTAAACTGAAGCTTGAAGAGTGACTTACCCAGGAACCCAGGTACTGTGGGCACACATCCATTGCTTAGCCCTGCCACATTGCCATGTTTATGGGGCACCTACGACGTGCTCAGTTGCTAGGGAAAAACGCCACTGCCTATTTGAGGACAGCTGCTGTGTAGTAGGAAGGCAGGAGCCAGCCCTGGGCTCAGCGGAGGATATTCCAGTTCCCAGGCTGAGTTATCAGGAAAGGCTCCGGAAGAGACCGGACTTTAGCCCGGCTTGGAGGGAAAGATGGAGTTCACGTGGAATGAGAGGAAGGAGTAAGTTGTTCGCAAGCCAGGAAAGAATACTAACCTTCTCGAGGCTGTCTCCCAAAGCAGGGATTTCCCAGGATAAAAAAAAAAACGTATTAAGTAAAAATGCAAATAGAGTGAAAGAAAAAAAAATAAGTAGATGAGACTGCAGTTGGTGTGGCTGATATGACGCTCATCACGGCCACAGAACCTAAATGCCTGGGAAACGTTGCATCCAAGGATAAAGTAATGTCCTCAGTGCAGGCAGAGAGCTGGGTCATATGACGAAGCCACCGAATGGTGGAGCTGGCCAAGGATTTTGAAGATTACATGATAGAACCCCTGGAGAGTTTTTCTAAAGAATAAGGGAACTGACAAGATCCATAAGACAACTTCCTCTCATGGTTCATAGTTACGAAGTGACTATCTTGTAACTGTGGTTAGAAAAAATTCAGCTCTATAATCCTGTGTTTCCTTCTTTGCCATGGGTGCCGGGGAGCTCAGAGCTAAAGTATGTACTCCATTGTGTTCATTACCATGAGTCTAGCCTTTTAAAAGAAAGTTATAGTCAGTCTTCCTTCCACACACATATCCCATTTAGCATGTCTTGTCTTTATTTTTACAATAATGATTTTTTTAAATTTTATGCTGTGTCATATCCTTTTAGCAAATAGGCAGGATGTAAAGAAATATTTTTAAAGTAGTTCAAAGACTTTCTACAAGAGTAACAAAGAGTATAGACAAGTACAGTATGCTTTCTAGTTTTAACCATTGAGGTTTTTGTCACTTCTTCTGTTTTCCTTTTTGCTTTGTCTTTAACACTATTTGCACTTAGCTCAGGGTTCCATTTTGTGCCCAGTGACAATAAGTATCCTTAACCTGGGATACATAGATTCATGGACCTTGCCATTTCCTACAGTGGCTCACATTCTTTCACGTTACAAGTTATTTTTATTATTTGTGTGCCTTCTGTTGTGAACGATTACAATTCTTTTCGGAAGTGGAAGAATTATAAATGCCTGGAGGGAAAAGAGAATGAAAGAATAGAGTATGCAAGTATCTGAAATGTCTGAGGAAACTTGACAGAAGTTGATTTATATTTGACAGATGGCAGAAAATGAAAAGTTTAATGAGGGAAAAGCTGAGAACAAGTCAGTGACAATTCTTGCGGTATGCTTTTGACTAAGCACTTTATTTCTTTCTATAAATTATTCTGCTTCCTTTCTTTTAAGATGTTGGGGGCTTTCTTCCCTCTTGGCACGATAACGGATTAGGAACTATGTGATCAGATGATGGCCCATGACCACGAGGGGTAGAAGAGTCAGGATGAAACAGCTGGTTAAACAGTTTTAGTTTGTTTTTCACAAGGCTCTAATTAACTGAGGCAGAGATGGACAGGAATGGAAAGGAAAGCTTTAGCCTCTCTTTCCTAGCTGAAAGATTAATGGGGAGGGAGTGTGTCTCAGAAAATAAGTGGGGTTGTGTTTGGAGCACTGGGAAGGGAGGAAATGCATGAAAGATGAAACCATTTATTGGGAAAGAAACAGGAAATGGGGCAGAGCAGAGTGAGACTGTAGGACGCAGGAAAGCAACACGAGGAAGTGATACATGAAAGAGAGAGAACCCAAACGCAGTAGAAAGGGAAGGACTGATGGATGTTGATATAGAAGAGAACTTCGGAAGGTTGTATGAAATAGAGGCGGAACAAGGCACTCAGTAAGCTTTTTGTCAGACCCGATGGCAAGTTCAGAAGATTGAGGGAAATTATTAGCTTGAGGAAAAAGTTCAAAGAGAAAGAGATGCATTCTGGGGCCATCAGTTAAATCCCAGTGTCGAGTAGCCTCTATGGGGAGATTTGACGAACAGCAAATGGAGAGTATCTGTGGCCAGGTGCAAGTTGCAGGTGGGAAAGAGAATGGGGGGATTCCAAAAAATGTTACTGAGCCAAGCGTATCAGGAATTCTTAGAACTCCTCATCTCCGTGGATGTTCCTGGCATCGGCCTCTCCCCATATATTAAAATTTAACCCTTACTGGTACTTCCCCTACCCAAGCCAGGCTTGCCAGCCATGTTTTGCATATACATGTTTGTGCTGGACTAATGCTGGGTGCTGTAATAATAGATCAATGCCATAACATAATCTCAGTAGCGTAATAGGACTTTTTTTTTTTTTTTTTTGAGACAGGGCCTTGCTCTGTCACCTGGGGAGCTGGGGAGGAATAATGCAGAGGTGAGATGGTGAGATCGTAGCTCAGTGCAGCCTCCAACTCCTGGATGCAAGTGATCCTCCCACCTCAGCCTCCCAAGTAGCTAGGACTACAGGTTCACACCACCACACCTGGCTAATTTTGTTTTGTGGGATTTTTTTTTTTTTACTTTTTGTTCTTTCTTTACATTTTTTTAACTTTGATTTGTTTTTCTTTATTAGTTCTGTCCCTCTGAAGACAAGCTAATCTTATTTTATGTTACCTTATTTATTTATTTATTTATTTATTTAGGTAGAGACGGGGTCTCACTTATGTTGTCCAGGCTGGTTTTGAACTCCTGGCCTCAAGTGATCTTCCTGCTTTGGTCTTCTATGGCAGTAGGATTACAGCCATGAGCCACTGCACCCAGCCTTAATAGGATTTAAATTTATTCCTTGTCCATATAGGAGTCCAAATGCCAATTTGTGGCTGGCATTCCATGTGAGGATTCAAGAACCCAGGCTCCTCCATCCTCCATCTCCAGGGGCTCTGGAGTCCTTCACTTCTAGCCAATGCATGAAGAAAGAGAATAGAGAATTACCTGTGGGGGAATTTCAGTACGACGTCTGGAAGGGACACCCACTTCCACTCACCTCCCATTGGCTAGAACTCAGGCGCACGGCCACGCTGATTGCCAAGGAGGCTGGGAGGTGGGGCTGGCTCTGTGCCCAGGGAAAAGAGAGAACAATTTCTGTAAGTACGTAGCTGTTTATGTCACAGTATTTAAAAAAAGAGTTTGTTCCATAAAATAGATGAAACTCTAACTAAAAACCAGATCACATTAAAGAGTAATTATGTTTACTATTGTGGGATTCTTTGCTTTTAAAAGATCTAGATAAATTGTTTTAACTAGAAGCTCTCCCTTGCTAGTGCATTTAATCAGCCAATCAGCCCCTGTTTTGCCTGGGTCTTTGCTGGATCGGGCAGGTAGAGGAGAGATGGTGATAATGAAATACCTCCTGACCTCATGGAGCTGGATGTATTGGTGTGTGTGCATTTGATTTATAAGATCTTACTAGGGAGATAAGGAGAGTTGGGGCTAAATGAAGGAACATACAAATAAAGGCATCAACCTAGGAGGAGATCTGATTCCATTTATAAATATTCGGCTTACAGATCATATGTCACAGTTGGCCCCCTGGGTCTTTTGAGAAGCCTGCAGCTCCTCCCCACTCTCTGGCCTTGGCTCCCAGGCCTCTTGGCATGTGATAGTTTGTGTTGCTCTCTGTGGTCCACTTCCCCCAGCGCCTGGGCACGGACTAGCCCAGGGCAGGATGGGCCGATGTGTGCAGCTTCTCCTCTTGTCCTGTCATACTTCCAGATGGGATATTATTTGCTGTCTGCTGTCAGGTCTGGTTTCTCTGAGCATCCTGGTTTTCCCATCCTGTCTGTCCCATGGAATGCAGTGCTTTCAGATGATTTTCCCCTGGATGTATGAGCCAGTCACTGTCCTGGTTTCACCCTGTTAGAATTCTTGCCTTCTCTTTGGAGGGAGGAGCAGGGCCAGCCGAGGGACACAGGCAGGGAAGCTAAGAGCAGCAGCAGCTGATGCTGGCCGCGTCCTTGCCTGACCCAAGCACACAGACTCATTTTAACAGCCTCCAGTGATGTCCTCGCCCCATCACCGATGGCTGCCCTCCTGCCTCTTCTTCAGCCCAGCCCCCTTCCTTCTTCTCATTCTTTGGGCCAAGTGGGTTTAATGGGCTGGCCTCGTCCTGGGCTTCTGCTCCTGGAAGAGGGGAATGGATGTTTAATTCTCTTTCCTCTGTACTTTCACAGCCCCCAGGACATGCCCTCCCACCAGGCCAGGGTGGTCTTTCAGGGCATGTTGAATGAATGAATGAATGAATGAATGAACGGATGTGCATGAGGGAGACACTCACCCAGACAGGCCTGTGCTTCTGCAACATGGGATTGTCAGATGGTGGCTTTTAGTCACAGTGTCTGTTCCCATTTTTACTGGTTCAGAAATTTTTTTTTTTTTGAGACAGGGTCTCACTCTGTCACCCTGACTGGCATGCAGTGGCATGATCACAACTCACTGCATCCTCAGCCTCCCCAGGTTCAGGTGATCCTCCCACCTCAGCCTCCACAGTAGCTGGGACTACAGGTGCACACCATCACGCCTGGCTAATTTTTGTATCTTTTTGTAGAGATGGGGTTTTGCCATGTTGCCCAGGCTGGGCTCAAACTCCTGGGGCTCAAGCAATCCTCTCACCTGGGCCTCCCAAAGTGCCAAGATTACAGGTGTGAGCCACCACACCCAGCCGATTCAGAATTTTGAAAACAGCACTCTCCAAGTGGACATCTATTCTGCTTTAGCCCCAGCAAGGAACCTTTGCCATTCATGGTGCTGTGTCCCAGCTGTTTCATCCAGAGCTGGCAGACGGGCCATCTCCAACCCTCAGCCCTAGGTAGACGTTGGCTTCAGAATACAGGCTTTAGACCTGGCTCCAAACCCAGCCTTGGAGATGTTGGGCAAGTTGTTTCTCCTTGTTGAGCCATTATCTGTAAAATGGGGATAGGGGATAAGAATATTTACCCTTCATCAGGGTTTGTATCAGGATTAAAAGAGGTATTTCCCTTATGGCACACTTGCTATCACTGGAATTATTTTGTCTCTCCTCATCTACGAGACTTGTTCTCTGCTGCATCCACAGAGCCCAGTGCAGGGCAGGATGTAATAAGTATTTATTGGATGAATTGCCAGAGAAACACCAAACTCAGCATTTGGCGCCTAGTAGGCAGGCATTGAATAGCGGTGATTCCTGTCCACTTTGTCTTCCCTGTCTTCCCCTTCTAGACTGCGAGCTCCTTTGTGTACGGGAAGTGTAACCTCCTCTTTGTCAGGACTTTGTAACCTCTTAGTCCCTTGTATGCAGGAGAAAAACCCAAACAGACCAATAATCATGTAGAAACGAGTCCCTGGGCATCCGAGGATCAGGTCAGGGTCTCCCACAACTGTCCCCCTGGGAGTACAGGGAGCACCCCTAGTTCCCGGCGGGTGGCGCCATCAAGGCACTGCGGGGCTGCGGAGGAGGCAGGGGCTCTAGGTTTAGCATGGTCTAGGGAAGGTCTGCAGTGCAGGCTGGATGCGGGGAGGCCTGGAGAGGTGGAGGCGTGGAGGCATGGAGGCAGGGAGGCGGGAGGAAGGGAAAGCCCTGCTGCTGGCTGTCTCCTCCCCACACTAGCTGTCTCACCAAAGTCTGGCTATTAGTCACTGTCCAGATGTCACTTCCCTTTACCTGCTAGCACCCCTAAGCCCAGAACTTGGGGTTCTCTTTATCTCCGCCTGCCACCCTCCCCAAGCTCTGATCCAACCCTGAGCTTGTGGCTGCTGTGGGGAGTGGAGGTAAAAATGGTAACACCAGAAGTGCACTTACATCAGAATGCTTTAAAAAAATGGAATTATTACTCCCTGGAATGAATTTTAAACCAGACCTTATTGCCTGTATCTGGCCACTGTCAAGAAGGGGAATCCCCTGAGTTGGGCGAGCTATTGGACTTAGAGATTTTGTGAAATGCCTAACACCCATCCTGTCACCTTCAGGGACACTGCAGGAGCGTTGTTTTTTAGGTGCCACCCTGCGCGCCACCTCCCTTCATCCTGAACACTCCTGGATCCTGGAAATGCTCTTGTCCCCGTGGACCGCGCTCCAGCGGGGTCGCGCAGGGGGTTACAGCGGGTGAGAGGGAGCCGCGGGACGGGGTCCGGGGGGCGCGGGCCGGGGAGCCGGGGAACAGAGCCGCGCCTGTCCCGCCCCGCGCCCGCCGCACCTGTCCCGCCCCGCGCCCCCCGCACCTGTCCCGCCCCGCCCCGCGCCCCCCGCGCCCCCAGCGCCCTGCTCCTCCTCCACTGGCACCGCCGCGCGCCTGGAAGAGGAGCCGAGCTCTTGTCGCTCGCCGGGCCGGGTTGTAAACAAACACTGGAGCGGCGCCGCCCGCGCAGCAGATGGCTCCGCAGCTGCCTGTCGGGCGGGGCCTCCCTCTCGGCGCCGGCGCGGGGACGCGGAGCTGAGCGCTGCCCTCGGCCGGGGACTCCCTTCGGGCGCCAGCCCGGCTCCAGTTCGCTGGGGGCTGGAGAGGGAAAACGCAAGCCAGAGTCTCCGGGGCGCTCATTCCTTTTACTTCCGTCATTCGTTCCTTCATTCATTCGCTCAACAAAGATTTCTGAGGCGCCAGGACCGCGCTGGGCCCGGCCTACACCACGCTGGCCAGCGCAGGGGGTCGCAGCTTGGGGAGCGCAGGGGCAGAGCGCCCAAACCGCGGGAGCCCTCGAAACCCTGGCCGCCACGCCGTGGATGCAGGCTCTGGGATGCTGGGCCTGAAAAGCTCTTGGTCTGGATAGGAGGCCCTGGGATTGGATTCAGGCACAGGTGGGTGAGAGCCTGGTCCTGCCCCGCTTTCTGGCCCAAGGGCTTGGGCCGCTATTTCAACTCTCTGAGCTTCAGTTTCCTGTTCTGTAAAGCGGGGATAATCCCACCCACCTGGCTGCGAAGTTGTACAGATTAAGAACAATGTGCATTTGTGTTTTCTTCTGTACACCTTCGCGTTTTCTAAATATCCCACAGTGACTATACATTCCTTTCTTTTTTTAAAAATTTTACTAAGTTCTGGGATACATGTGCAGAACATGCAGGTTTGTTACATAGGTATACATGTGCCGTGGTGGTTTGCTGCACCTATCAACCCGCCATCTAGGTTTCAAGCCCCGCATGCATTAGGTGTTTGTCCTAATGCTCTCCCTCGACTTGACCCCAGCCCACGACAGGCTCCGGTGTGTGATGTTCCCCTCCCGGTGTCCACCTGTTCTCATTGTTCAGCTCCCACTTATGAGTGAGAACATGTGGTGTTTGGTTTTCTGTTCCTGTGTTAGTTTGCTGAGAATGATGGCTTCCAGCTTCATTCATGTTCCTGCAAAGGACATGAATTCATCCTTTTTTATGGCTGCATAGTATTCCATGGTATATATGTGCCACATTTTCTTTATCCAGTCTATCACTGATGGGCATTTGGGTTGGTTCATTTACGTAGCAAATAGCCTTTGCTATTGTAAATAGTGCTGCAATAAACATACGTGTGCATGTGTCTTTATAGTAGAATGATTTATAATCCTTTGGGTATATACCCAGTAATGGGATTGCTGGGTCAAATGGCATTTCTGGTACTAGATCCTTGAGGAATCGCCACACTGTCTTCCACAATTACATTCCTTTCAAAATGAGAAAAAAAATGTTGCAGGAGATTCACTCTCCCTCCCTACTTAAAAATTCACCCATTCCGACTTAAAGATACCACCGCCTCCCACATGGGTCACGCTGGGTGCTGGCAGAACACAACTCAAATGGGGGAGACCCAGTCCGATATTTAGTCCTCGAATATTCTAGAATAGATCCTGGGAATAAAATAAGTTGGGGATGAAGGTGGTCATTTAGAGTTAAAGGCAACACATGTGCCACAGACATATGACAAGACACAGACACAATGATTTTCAAGCTATTTTCTTTCTCTTCCTTCATTTAACAAGCACTCATTACACCTTCAATGTCTGTCAGATGCGGCAGGTGCTCAGCGCTGTGATTCATGTCTGTGCATTGTGTCCTCAGGAACTCCTCATTTAGTAGTAAGAGGTAGGTATGAATGTAATAAAAGGTTAAAAAAAGGCCCAAGGCCCCACTGAAGGAGTCAGGAAGAGCATTGTGGAGGAGGTGAGGTTTGACAGGTGGGCATTGAAGGTGAGGACAGGAACAGATGGTGACGTCAGACCAAGCTTGGACACAGTCGCCAATGGAGCCTGGGTCCTTCCTTCATTCCACCCAACACAGGGACTCCTGCTGAACAAAACTACACCCGCCCAGCCTCTGTGACCGTGGGAACTCATGGGAATGCCTCACATGTGTGAAATGAGGGCAAAACACTTACCTCAGCGTGTTGTCGTGAGGATGAGCCACGACGATGCACTTGACAAGGGCAGAACACTGGGACTACTGGACAAATGTCACTTCTCGTCCATTTGTTCATTCATTCATTCGAAAGGTGGTTTTTGAGCCTCTCCTTTGTGTCAGGCCCTGTTTGTTTCAAAGCAGTGAACAAAACAGACAAAAAGCCCTCTCATGCAAGCTTACATTCTAGTGGGGGAGGGAGACAGAGAATACCAGAAATAAATAAGGTATCTAGTGAGTTAGACAGTGACAAGTGTGACAAAGACACATAAAGCAGGCAGTGTGGAGTAGGGGGGCTCCTTATAGAGTAATTGATGTTATTCCTTATTCTTTAGTTTGGGTGACAAATAGGATCCATGAAGAGAGGGAGAGTCATAGGAAAATGTTTTGTGCTTCGATTGGGTCGGGGCATCAAGAACGGCTTTTGAGTAAGGATGTGATTTGGGCTGTGCTTCAAGATGGTGACATGGCTGCACCTTGTACGCAGATTGGACAGGCAGCCAAGGACAAGGCGTCAGACGTGGGCTGGTGGGCACCAACGTGGGGGTAGAATCCACCTTGCCTGTGGGTTTCTTAGCCTGGACTGGGAGAAGTGAGACTAGAGACCTGAAGGGTGAGACTAGAGGCCTGAAAGGGGCCAAGAGAGCTGCATCCTCCCAGCTGATCCCCTGGCTGGAGCCTGAGCAGACGGGAGGAGCAGGAAGGCAGATGCACCCAAGACTGCAAGACATGGAAAAGGGCTCAGGCTCCCTCTCCCATTGAAGAAAAGGTAGTGGGGTCACACAGAGTATGAGCACCCTTCAGACTTCACCTAAATCAATGGTGACATTAATTGCTGCACTTGTGTGGCTGCCTCTGTAGACCACTCAGCTTCCAGAACGCAGTGGCCCCAGTGACCTGCCCTTCCCCAGTTCCGGGGAAGCTGGGGTCAGACAGCCAGAGGTGCCTTTATGGGGGTGGTGCTCTTTGAGGAGTTGCATTTGGGGTAGATGAACATCTCCAAACCAAGTGCCAAGAGCCTGCCATGTGCACAGAAATGTCTGCCCACCCTTTTGACACTTTCCGGGTGAACACAGGGGATGTTTACCCAGGAGTTCTCAGAAGAGCCTGTGCGCTGCCGGCGTTCTGGAGCAACTGGGGAACCCACGTTTAGCAATGTGGAGAAGGGAAGGAGATGGGAAAGGAAGGCACTTGTGGGAAATGTAAATTACAGCAATGTAAATAAAGAGCTTCCCAGTAAACGCATAAATAAAAAGCAGGCAGCAATCCCCTGGGAATAGTAATCAGGCTCATTTTGCTTCTGCCTCCCAGTCTGGGGAGCGCAGCAGGACGCCTCCGGAAGCCTCTCTCATCTAGCGCTCCTAGAGGAGGAAGCTCCCCAGCCCCAGCAGCACTGGGTCCAGGAGGAGTCGGGACGTCGTCCACGGCCTCCTATGGGGCATCCAGCAGGGGGCGCCGGTGAGAAGTGGGGCGGGAGAGGAATCCTGAATCGAGACCCAAGGGCTGCACAGGCCCGGAAGCAGGGGGAGGGGGCCTTCAGACAGGCTTCCTGTTGTTGCTACTTGAAATTAGTTTGCCTGGAACACAAAGTGTATGGAGCGGGGGTATGAAGGAAATCAGGTTTTACGAGGAGGTTGTGTGACCAGAACTGTGATCCAGGTTCCCCAGCCCAGGCCTTCTTGCCCACCCCCGACCCATGGCTTTCCTCCCTGTGCAGTGGACTTCGGGGCCCGCTGTGCTGCCTCTACCAGGGGAGGTCACCACGAGGCTGTGCAGGTCATTCTGGAAAGCCCATGTGCCCTGTGCAAGCAAAGTCCTAGGTGAATCCAGGAGGCCCCCGTCCATGCAGTCACCTCCAGCTCCAAACCTGTTATTTGTCAGACAGAGCTGTCCTGGGACGTGGATTTGGGGGCAGCGGCCAGACTTCCCAGAGGGGCTGCTGTGCTGTGAGGCGGGGCGGGCGGAACCCCATGCCGCTCCCTGCAGGGCTGAGGGAGGCCTGTGGCTCTCCTAGACCCAGGAGCCTCCTCAAAGACACCCCTTGACCTGCCTCTAGGCAGGCTCCCCTGAGCCCTCAAGGCCCCGACCTTGGGCTCTGGCCTTGGCCTGCTTACTCCAGTTTTAGCAAGAATCCTGCTGGGTCAGGATTTTAGTGAAAATCCCCCACCCTTGATATCTGATCAGATGCCTCCTCCCCCACCCTAGGGATCTTATTGCCTTGGCCTGCCTGCAGCCTCCATGTTTCCTCTTAGTGATATCCTTTCATCCACCCCACGCTGCTTCTGGGCTGTGAATCTCTACTTTCTTTGTTGTCATCAGAGTTGAGCCCAATCTCTCTCACTTCCTGGAAAACTCCAGGGTAGTAGTCCCTATACTTGGGTGGCAGTCCCCCTGAATAAAGTCAGCCTTACCATTTTAATAAGTGTCGGGAATAATTTTTTATTTAATACCTCCTCCCACAAACATCCAAGCAAAGCCTCTGGGTGTGGCCATCTGCTTGTCTACAGCCCCCTCTGGCTGTGTTTTGACATTCCCCTCCTGCAGAGAAGACAGGATTGGCCTGAGCCCAGGCTTCCACTAGCCCACAGGGCCTTTGCATGAATTAGGAAAGGGCCTCTTCCTTGGGTGGCTCACCTTAGTGTGACCTGGACACCTGTATGAGGTGGGCTGGCCCTCCTCCTCCCAGGAGCTCCCAGGGCCCCAGTGAGCACCACCCTGGCAGCCCCCGCCCTCGGACCCTCACCCACACCAGCAATATCACACCCCGTCCACCCACACTTCCTTCCTCCTTCCCACCCACCAGCAAGAATAGGCAACTGTTCTGGGTTGTTCCCTCAATGGGGGCAGGAATTGGGTTTCCTAAAGGGCTGGCAGGAAGGAGAAGTGACTGCAGGTCCCTCCCGGAGCATGGCTGGGATAGGGCCCTATGAGGCAGGCATGCGTGTGTGCTTATAACATTGCCAGGTGGATTTATGTAGCTCTTCACTGCTACTGCAGGACTCTGTGCCCACCCATGCACTCTCAGATAAGTTGATCTACAACGTAAATGGCACCCCTCCCCAGGACATTGCATATTTGGGCAGTGTGCAACTTGAACACCGGTACATGGACAGATTTCTTGTACAGGGCACATAGTCCTTGAGTCAGGCTTCAGGCCTTGCAGCTTCTGGTGGTCATCAGAGGAAGGTTAGTAGTTAGGACAAACTTACTGTGCGCTCTCTCTTTTCACCTCTGGTCCTGCTCAACACTTGCTGCCCAGATGTGGCTTGCTTTGGAACAATGGCCATGTCCAGAAGAGGGAGGGGGATATGGCTCCCCTTGCATGCAATTCTCTCAAACCTCTGACTTCATTTAACCACCCGCAATGACACCTGCCAGCAACCATGACAGTGCATGCTTGGAACTTTCACCCTTTGATTCCCCACCCAGCATTCCTACCATATTTTATTTCGCACAAAACAGTGTTATCACATAATGTTAGAGGAAATATAAAGAAGGAAAAACATCCACTCCAGTTCTGTCTTTGTAGCCCATTGGTTCAGCAGTTCTTTGCATTTTCCCATGTTCCCTCCAGAAAGCATGTTTGTGCATGGCTGAAAACTCCGTATACACATGTTAAAATCATCAAATTCTAGAGTGCGGAAAGACCTAGGTAATATCTCGCCTTCTCTTCCCTGCTTAGGTGGCATGGTGGGGATGTTTGCTGGAGAGAAGGAATGGCAAAAAGTGAAGTCATGTGGACTGGGGGATGTTTTTATTTTTATCCACAGGACAGCACAAGTGAATCTTGGTCCCTGTGGGAATTCTCAGGAACAGAGGGCTAGAAACAGATTTGATCAATGAAAGCTGGTTCCAGAGAGAACAAGCCGTTGATAAATTCTAGTACTGCCAGTCAATCAGAGCTCATCTGTTTCTGGGAGCCAGAGTCAGGAAGGGGGTGCAGGAGGCGCAGCACCTGCTGGAAGCCGGTGACCAAGACCTGCAGGGATGCCGCCCATCCTCCTGCCATGAATCATTCATTACCTCCTCTGTCTGGGAATGGGGAAGAGATGCAGCTCTCTGGGAGCCAGCTTTCTTTCTAATTAGCACCAGAAGGACCTGGGATTGATCTCTGCTGTGGTTGATGGGTTTACCCTTGTGGCAGGGGAGTCAGGCCACTCACGGGAGATGGTTAAGCGTGCTGGGCCGGAGACCTTGGGGTTGCTTAATGCAGAGACTTTAGAGACTTTGGAAATAAAATAAGCCCCTTGCCCCTAGCCCTTGCCATCTATGTTTTTTAAGTAGCAAGATGACTGAGGCCTGGATGAGGAAGTGATTCCTCCACAATGGCACATGGCAGCCTATAGCGGATCCCAGCCTGCTGCTCCTGCGCAGTGTCTGCGGGGCTCAGAAGGAAGCCTGCGGTCCCTTGGGAGTCATTGGCTGCACCCTGGGTGCACAGGGTGGCGCGTGGGGGGGTCAGCTGGGCTTCAGCCCCTCCCACCTAGGCTGGACCCCGCGCAGTGCTCTCTGGCACCCCTGACTGAGCCCCTCAGCACTGTGACCAAACATGCCAGACACGCAGCACAGGCCGGGGCTTCAGCGGTGCAGGTGCCCAACAGCCCAGAAGGCTTTCTGCAGGTGGCCAGGAAGCCTAGGAGAGTTTAGCCCCTGCTAGGGGTGCGGGAGTGGGAGGAGGGCGGGCAGTAGAGGAATCCTAACGAGCCCTCTAGAGGTCCCCAAGCTTTCCCGGAGTGTGCTGCTCTGGGCTCACTCCCGGTGGGCAAGGCCATTCCAACTGGAAACAGGGGTCGGGGTGGGGGTGGGGAAGAGAGGAGAGGACACCAGCTTTAACTCAAGGTGCGGGCAATGGGGAGAGAAAACCAGGGGGAGAGAGAACTGGGCTCTGGGCTCCCCCACAGGCCAGACAGCCAAAGCCTCACGTCCAGGAACGGGGCTGAAGGAGATGCCCCCACCCTCAGCACACCCATCCCTTCACCAACTCACCCATTCAACAGAGCCTTACCTCGCGCCATCTGCATGCCAGATGCCAGCCAGTGTCGGTCCGGGAGATTCCACAGGGAACTGGACACACAAATTTCCTATCTTCGAGTTTGCATTTTCGTGGGGAAGGCCATAAACAAACAAAAGAGACATTTTCATTTCAGATGACAAGTGCTCTGGGAAACAAGAGCTGGGGGACAGATAGTGCCTTATGGGATGGGGGTGTTGTTTTAGATTCGGGAGTCAAGGGAGGCCCCTCTGAGCTGCTATCCTTGAGCAGATACCTCGGTGGTGGGAAGGAGCACATCAGATCCAAGAAGCCTTCCAGGCAGGAGACCCCAAGCGCAGCTCCCCTGGGGTGGGAACCTGCTTGGAGAGTGGAAGGAGCAGCAGGGAAGCCAGTTTGGTTGGAGCAGAGGGGGTGAGGGGTCTGGGGAAGGGGACAGAGAGGCAGGCGGTGGAAAGAACATTGGATTTTATGCTGAAGTATAAGACTAAGCGTTGAGGGGAGGGAACTTAGAGGACGAATCAACAGGTGCAGCAAACCACCATGGCACACGCATACCTGTGCAACACGCCACCGTGGCACACGCGCACCTCTGTAACAAACCACCATGGCATATGTATACCTATGTAACAAACCTGCACGTTCTGCACGTGTATCCCGTTTTGTTTGTTTGGGTTTTTTTTTGTTTTTGCTTTTTTTTAGAAGAAACACAGAAAAAAAGGCTAAGCTATTGGAGGGCTTTCAGCACTGGAGGGCTGCAGTCTTATTTCAACCTCAAATCCTTCATTCTGGCTGCTGTGTAGGGTGGAGGCAGTGGGGAAAAGCTGCTCGTGAATTGAGTCAGTTAGTATCAGCCAAGGAGATGAGAAGGGAGAAGCCGGCAGATGCAGACATACGTTCTGCAGGTGGGGTAAGAAGGATCAGGCATGGGGCGTGAGGAAAAGAGGAGCCAAAGATTTGCCTTATTTTTTTGGCTTGAGCAACTGGATAATGTGATGGTGTCCTTTACTCCTCTGGGGAAGCCCGAAGGAAGAACAGGCCTGGAGGGGAAAACTTAGGAGTTCAGTTTTGAATTTGGAAAGTTGGAGATGCCTGTGAAACACCCCTGGGGAAGTGTAGGGCTTGGAGATGTCACTTTGGGAGTCATCAGTATCTAGATAATGTTAAAATCCATGGTCGGAAGGAAAGTACCGAGGGGGAGACTGGAGAGACAGGCAGCTGCCGAGGTCTGAGCTTGCCATACCTGGAGGACAGGAGGTGGGGGAACCAGCAGGGTGATCGGGGGCCAGTGAGCTAGAAGCAAACCAGGAAGAAGAAGTGTCTGGAACCCAAGGGAAGAAAGGAGTCTAGCAGATGGGGGGTGATCCACTGAATTAAATGCTACAACAAGGCCAAGGGAGAGGGCTGCTGAGAGCTGGACATCAGACTTGGGAGGACTAAGGGCTTTGGTGACTTTTTGGCAAGAATGAGAGACTGGCAGGGGCTGCTAGTCAATACTGGTAGTTTCTTTGAGACGTTCTGCTCCAAGGCGAAACAGAGAATTAAGGGCCATAGCTGGAGGAGATGTGAGGTCAGAGGATGTTTTCATTTTTGAAATATCTGGGCTGTTATTCTGAGGATGAGGGTGACCACCAGAGAGAAGAGTGGGTGGTGCAGGGAGGAGTGGGGAGCAGCACTGGGGAATGGGGGATAGGTGTTGAGGAATGGGGCCAATGGTTCTGGGGACATGGTCATCCGTCTGTGGGGACATGAGGGAAGAACAGGCAGAGGGCATGTAAGCGAGTGGCTGGTGGTAGAAAACGGAAGCCCTTCTCTACCAAACAGCTCTTCTCTTTGAAAGAAAAATATCCACAAGTGTTCTTTTCCTGCCCAGTAGTTTCTTTTCTCTTTCTTCATAGCTTTTCTGGGATATCAAGTCAGGTTCTCTCTCTCTTTTTTTTTTTTTTTTAAATAAAATGAAAGCTCTTTCTCTCTTCTGTTTCCCTCTCTTTTCTCCCTTTTCTGTCCCTTGGATTTGGCTGGGGACCTAAAAATGTTTCTGTCAACAAACTTGTCTTTTTCTCATTGTTCTTCATAGAGTTGTAGACTGTCGGAGCTGGAAGGGATCTCCGAGACCATCATCCAGGCCCATCCCCTTATTTTACACTGATGAGGAGATCGTGGGGCTTGGAGGGACGAAGTGACTCGCTCCAACCAGGACTTAATGTGAATGCCACGATTGCTGAGATCAGCCGCGATCTCGACGATAGCTGATGTTGGCCATATTCTTGAATCCTGTCGCAGTTACATTGCCCCTCCCTGTATCTGGCACGCTTGTCTCTGTTACTCAGCCAGCTTCACTGAATCTGCGTGTCTCCGTGTGCTAGCCACAACAGCACCGGCCCTGGGAGTAGGAGGGGAATCCATTCCTGATATTCCTTTGTAAATGTTTCTGTTTTGCAAGTGAAAACCCCGAGGACTGGAGCGTGTTGCTCAAGGCCAGGGAGCAGCTCCTAGTGGAAATGCGAGATCTCTGTGGTTGCAGCAATATGATTTCCTCACGAGGGGCCCGGGAAAGGCAATGGACGCTATATTTTGCAATGGTAAATTGAGGCACAGAAGGGGGAAATGTCCTTCTAGCCTCTCTGCAGCAGACACAGTCTTTCTCTCCTGGCTGTGTGTATGCGCTGTTTGCCCCTTAGTGACTCTTGAAGGCCTTTTAAAGCTAAGTAGGAAAAGACTAGAAAAATTCTGCCCAACAGATTTGGTTAACTTTTTTTTCTTCTTCTTTCTCACCCATCATTGAGAGAATGTTTTTGGTTTTTATCAGCCAGGTGTTTCCAGTGTTAACACTGGTGCCTCCCCTGCCAGCCCACGGGGAGGTGGGCACCTCAGCCAGCCTTGGCAGCCCTTCTTGCAGGATGGGTCTCGCTGCCAAGCCTGCTCCAGGGCCTTGATCCATTTCCCTCTCTCTGGGGCTCCCCAGTAAAAAATCCCTCGTAGTGGTGTCAGTAGGGTCTTCAGCTCTTGGTAGGTCTTCACGTACAGCCACCCCTGGAGGAGGCTAATTCCCGCAGCCCCCTGCAGAGAGGCGCAGGGAGCAGCCAGCCCCGGGTCAGGGGCTGTGTTCCATCAGGCATCCACCTGTTCACAAATAGACTCAAATAAAGTCCCAGCCTGGAAGGGCTCTGAACCCTCCTGCCGGGTCATGTCCTGAGAAAAGGGGGAACAGATAGAGGTTTTGGCTACTCTCCAAACAAGAATTAAAAGAGGCAGCAGAGATGCCAAGAGCAGGTTTCATTAAGCCAGTGGGTGCCTTGCAGCCATTAGAACCCCAGGTGCCTTTTCCGAGAATAAGCTGCTCTGCAGTGCAAAGGCAGACAGAGCATCCATTCCAATGGGCTCCTGAGCAACCCAGAACCCAGAGCCCTTTCCTCCCCAGAAAAGCTTCTTGCCACCAAGGCCAGCCACTTCAGCAGGGTGACCTCCAGAATACCACCTAGGGCATAGTCACGGGATCTTGTTCCGACTCGTCTTCAGCAGACACCCTGTTGATCTCATTGATAAGAGCCTGCAGCCACCTCAGCCACTGTGCACCTGGGCAGCCAGCCAAGCCCACTTAATTGACAGACAGGCGGGGCCGGCTGGAGCGAGTGGGCAGGACAGTGCCATGGGGCAGGGGTAAGGAGGGGGAGGCCAGCGAGAGGACAGAGCAGAGGCTGTAGGCCTGGCCCAGAACCACGCAGAGCCAGGGGCAGCGCCAGGCATCAGCCACCGGGAGGTCTGGGGCTTCACAGGACAGGGGGTAGCACAAACCCTGCAGACCAGAGGCCTGCGGAGTCCAGAGTCACCCAGGAAGGGGACTCAGCCTCCAGGGCTCCCTTCATTTGTAGAGACCCCTGGGCTAGCTCTTCTCCAACCTCACCGTGCATCCGAATCCTCGGGGGCCTTTAAAAATACACATCTCCAGGTTTCGCCGAGGCACTCAGACACGTAGGAGTTGGTCCCAGGAACCTGTATTTTTAACACACGCTCAGGTGTCCTTGCTGTCTGGTATTGCTATACATATTAAGAGACCTCGATATGCGTTTCTGCAAGTCTGAAACCATTTCATCAAAGGAGCACAGGGACTCTGGTGGGCGGGGCGGGGAGAGAAGGCAAGGCCTCCAGAAAGCAGTAGTTTCCCTCCCCCTGGCGAGAAGACCTGAACTTCCTTCCTGAGTCGTCTGCCCTAAACAGCTTGATGTTTCAGAACTGCAGGCAAAGAATGTTGAGAAACAAGGGCCGGATTCCCCTTGCTGATGGTGTGAGGTGACCTGTCGGTGAGATACGGAAGTTCAGCCCCATAGTGTCTAGGCGCTAGGCTTCCCCAGGGCTGAGTGTTACCAGCTCAACAGGTGGCTTTCTGGCTGCTGCAATGACTGAGCGTGGGGGGTGTGTGATCGAAGGATACAGACAGTCCCCTTGTTATCACTCTGGGTTGCTAAAGAGGTGGAGCTATTCAGGGTTGCAATCAGGAGAACACAGGCGCTGGAGGCTGACATGTCTGTGTTTGAGAATTTTCTTGGCAAAGCAGGTAACTCCTCTAAGTTTAGAGTCCCCATCTGTAAAACTGGGACTTTCAACACTAATCAGAAGGTTGTAAAGATTAACTGAAAGAAGTGTCATCCACTGAGCCTGTTCCTGGGATCATGTAGTGAGATTCAGTAATCGCATGTTCACTGTTGTTAAGGCCAATTTTTTTATGGTAAAATACATATATTAAATTTACCATTTTAACTATCTGTAAACGTATCGTTTGGTGGCATTAAGTACACTCGCGCTGTTGTGCAACCATCACCACTATCCATCGCCAGAACTCTTGCATCTTCCCAAACTGAAGCTCTGTCTCCATCAAACAACAACTCCTCATGCCCCCTTTTCCCAGCCCCTGGCAACCCTCATTCTACTTTCTGTCTCTATGAATCTGGCTGTTCTAGGGACCTCACAGATGTGGAATCATGTGGAATTTGTCTTTTTGTGACTGGTTTCTTTTTCATGGAAAATGGGCCAATGACATATTTGAAATGTAGTTTATATTTGCATTAAAGCAGTAAATGTACACAGTAGTGGAATCACCATCCTACTCGTGAAGCCCATGAAAGCCACATGGTATCCCTGATGAAAAATTGAAAAATAAAATATTCTTAACATATCTTTTGTGTTACAACTGGTTTCATGAACTCTGCTTCCCCTCCCAGCTTTATTGAGGTGTAGTTGACAAAAGGAAACTATGTATTAATGGTGTACTGTGTGATGTTTTGATACACTGTGTATACATTGTGAAATGATTCCCGCAAGTAAGCTAATTAGTGTAGCTTCCCCTCGCATAGTTATTTTTTTCTTGCTGTGAGAATATTTAAGATCTATTCTCTTAGTAAATTTCAAGTAGACAATATGTTATTAACTATAGTCACCATGCTGTGCGTTAGAGCTCCAGAACTCTTTCATCCTGCCGAATTGAAACTTTGTGCCCTTTGACCAACACCCGCCCCCCATTTCCCTTCTCCCCAGCCCCTGGCACTCACCGTCCTCCTCTCTGCTTCTATGAGTTTGAGTTGTTTAGATTCCACACATAAGCGAGATCATGTAGTATTTGTCTTTCTGTGCCTGGTTTATTTCACTTAGCATAATGTCCTCCAGGTTCATCCATGTTGTTGCAAATCACAGGATTTAAATATCTTTTAAGGATGAATAAGACTCTATTAAACATTTATCTATGTATCTATATCTTTATCTGTCTCAGATTTTCTTTGTCTATTCATCCATGGATGGCCACTTAAGTTGATTCCTTATCTTGGCTATTGTGAATAAGCGGCTGGCTTATTTCACTTAGCACTACATCTTCAAGGTTTATCATGTTGTAGCATGTGTCAGAATTTCCTTATTTTTTATAACTGAAAAATATTCTGCTGTATGTAATAACCACATTTTCTCTATCCATTCATCCACCGGTGAACACTTGAGTTACTTCTACCTTTTGGCTACTGTGAATAATGTTGCTAGGAACATTATAATGTTCATATAAAGGGTACAAATATTTCTTTGGGTCCCTGCTTTCTTCTTTTCTTTTACTCTCTTTCCTTTTCTTTTTCTTCTTTTGAGACAGAGTCCCACTCTGTTGCCCAGGCTGGGATGCAGTGGTACAACCTCGGCTCATTGCAACCTCTGTCTCCTAGATTCAAGTGATTCTTCTGCCTCAGCCTCCTGAGTAGCCGGGATTACAGGCACGTGCCACCATGCCCAGCTAATTTTTGTATTTTTAGTAGAGACGGGGGTTTCACCATATTGATCAGGCTGGTCTCAAACTCCTGGCCCCAAGCAATCTGCCCACCTCGACCTCCCAAAGTGCTGGGATTACAGGTGTGAGCCACCGTGACCAGCCTGAATCCCTGCTTTAAATTCTTTTGGGTATATACCCGGAAGTGGGATTGGATTATATGGTAATTCTCTGTTTAACTTTTTTGAGGGACTGCATACTGTTTTCTACAGCAGCTGCACCACTTTACATTCTCTCAACAACAGCGCACAAGGGTTCCAGTTTCTCTGCATCCTTGACAACACTTGGGATTTTCTGTTATTTTGATAACAGCCATCCTACTCTGGCTGTGGCTATTGTCTCTTTTCTTTTTCTTTTATTTTTTAACTTACAAGTGATGAGACACAGTAAACGTTTACTTTCTTCCATTTTCCTTGTGGTAACCCCCAAGTCACACCAGTGCACTGCCTCTGTGGTGGAGACTGTGGAAATTCAATAAGGAAGGGAGCAGGAGAAAGATAGGAACAGGAGAAAGACCTGATGTGGTTGGTGTTGTGGAGTTTTCATGATGATGGCTAGACTCAAGCATCTTCTCCGAGCTGTCCGCAACACTCAGCACTATACACACATTGTTTAATTTAACCCTCCCAATAATTCTAGGAGGTCAGTAGTAGTATTATCTCTGTTTTATAGCAGAGGAAATGGAAGATTAAAAGAGAAAATAGTTTTATAACTAGTCACACAGACCCTAAGAAGTAGGAACCTAGATGGTGATAGCTGCCCATCCTCCCCTCTGGCATTATTGGGACAATCAAAATCAGATTGATATATTTAATATCTTTAAGAGTGGCTTGAGGCCATGCACAGTGGCTCACACCTATAATCCCAGCACTCTGGGAGGCCAAGATGGGTAGATCACTTGAGGTTAGGAGTTCGAGACCAGCCTAGTCAACATGGTGAAACCCTGTCTCCACCAAAAAATACAAAAATTAGCCAGGTCTGGTGGTGTGTGCCTGTAGTCTGTAGCTACTCAGGAGGCTGAGGCAGGAGAATCACTTGAACCTGGAGGCAGAGGTTGCAATGAGCTGAGATCGTGCCACTGCACTCCGGCCTGGGCGACAGAGGGACACTTCCTCAAAAAAAAAAAAAAAAAAAAAAAAAAAAAAAGAGTGATTTGAGGGTGGAAATGGTAACACAAAGGGCAAATAAGGGAATGTTACAAGTAAGCAAAGATCACTGGAGTTGAGCTTAGAAAGATGTTGTCTTTCAGCCTGCTACCTATCTTCTCTAAGCCTTCATTTTCTCATCTGTAAAATGAGAAAATTGGCTGGGTGCAGTGGCTCACGCCTGTAATCCCAGCACTTTGGGAGGCCGAGTTGGGTGGATCACAAGGTCAGGAGTTCAAGACCAGCCTACCCAACATGGTGAAACCCCGTCTCTACTAAAAATACAAAAAATGAGCCCAGAGTGGTGGCATTCGCCTGTAGTCCCAGCTGCTTGGGAGCCTGAGGCAGGAGAATCACTTGAACCCAGGAGGCAGAGGTTGCAGTGAGCTGAGATCATGCTATTGCACTCCAGCCTAGGTGACAGAGCAAAAAAAAAAAAAAATCAGAAAATCATTACCCTGCCTGCTTATAAGACAGCGTTGTTGGGAGGATGATCTGAGGGAATATATGTAGATGTGTTTGCCATAAAGTACACTTCATGCTGACCTTGGCGATGGAAGGGCCCCAGGTGTGTCAGCTGAAAAATCACACAATTGATGAATTTAGAAAGGAGAGCTTTATTTCTTAAGAAGGAGATCGCAAACTGCAGGCGGGAAATGCAACCACTGGTTGAAAACCAAAAGCAAGGACTTTTTTGCTGAAGGGGTTGGCTGAGAATACATATTCAACAGGTTCTGGGAGGAGCTATGAATATTCATGAAGGGGGAATGCATGCACGCATAGTAAGCAAACATGCACTTTATGTTCCATGTTCATTTTTGGTTGGAGACTTAACGTTTAAATGCATTACAGTTAGGTTCTGTACGTTAAAAGGTGAGGCAAGGACATGAAGGCCCTCAGTGCTCAGCCTCTGTAAACCAGCCAGAACCAGTCCACGGTCAGTGGTCTTATCAGGAGAAAGTTACTGAAATCAGTCTCTTGTCCAATCAAAGCTGTAGTTACAGCTGGTGGAACAGGGGTTCGGTTAGTCACTGTCTGGTGGAGCTGCAAGTGGTTTACTATTGCTTATCTTGAGGCAAGTGTTGTTTAGCTGCTGGAGAAAAAGAAGAACCCTGTGACAGTTAGAGCTTAGTTGATTCTTTAAGTGTAGGTGTGCCTGACTTCACCATTGCCTGCACGGCCTTAGGTCCTGTTTATAATTGGGTATCTTATCACCACAGAGTCTGTTCTGTCAGTCTTATGATCTCTGCTTTGGCATTAATGCTGGTCAGTTGTTTCTAGTGTTTAAATGAAAACGGGAGTATGTATAATGAGGTGCATCCAACCTCCTGTCCTGTCATGGGCGGGAACTTAGTTTTTAAGATTTCTCTGGGGTTCCCTTGGCCAAGAGGTGGGTGGGACCATTCAGTGGTTTGGGAGGCTTAGGATTTTATTTTTAGTTCTCAGGTGGGAACACCTTTTCATTCAGTAGAGATTTCCTGGACTGACCCTGCCCAGGGGAAGTGCAAGACCCAGTGCCTGCCCTCCAGGGGCTCTGCAGCTGCTGGGGCAGAGACTGAGGCTCAGGGGACGTAAAACAAACTCCTCAAGGTCAAACGTGAAGGAGGGACTTCCAGAGAGTCCTGGGTAGGTAAAGGAGGAAGAGGTCAGGGTCGGCTCCCTGAAGGAGCAGGAAGAGGAGGCTGGGTGGCCCAGGAGGAGATGGACGATTTCCTAGACTTGCAGCCATCCAGCCGCTTAGCTCCAAGCATGTGAGCTGAGTTCCTGCTGCAGGGGAGACTCACTCCCAACACCCCACCTCGCATCCTCACCAGTGTTTGAGTGCTCACGCTAAGAGTGTTCATCTTTTTTTTTTTCTCTTCCTCTTCAGTAAAGACGCATTGGGCATATATTATTTATGATAATTAAGTTAATATTTTATATTGTATAGGTTTAAATATTTTATCCTCCCATAATGCATGGAGTTTCTAGGGAGCCCTGCGTGTTCTGAGTACTCTGTGGAGGTCTCCAACCAGGACCCCTCTGGGTGGGCCCCAGCCCCCCAGGGCTGGCAAGAGCACTACAGCAGGACAAGCCTGGGGTCCACCACTGCCCTGGGCTCGTGGGGCTGGCCAATCTCAAGTCTCCTGCACCCTGCCTCACTGAGTTCCAGAGACCTGGCAGGAAGAGGAGTGCAGGGAGGACTCTTCTGGGCCTAAGTGCTAGGGAGGCCCAGGGAGCTGCCTTCCCCATTTCTGCCAAGGCAGGGGCCATGGAAGGGTCCACTGCTGGGATCCAAATGTTATCCAGGTAGCACATCCCAGATCTGGGAAAATCCGAAATCCAAATGCTCCAAAATCTGAAGCTTTTTGAGCACCCACATGATGCTCAAAGGATATGTTCATTGGAACATTTCAGATTTCAGATTTGGGATTTTTGGATTTGGGATGTTGTACTAATCCATTTTCATATTGCCATGAAGAAATACCCAAGACTGAGTAATTTATAAAGAAAAAGAGGTTTAATGGACTCACAGTTCCACCTGGCTGGGAGGCTTCACAATCATGGCAGAAGGCAAAGAAGGAGCAAAGTCATGTCTTACATGGTGGCAGACAACAGAGTATGTGCAGGGGAACTGCCCTTTATAAAACCATCAGATCTCATGAGAACTCACTCACTATCTTGAGAATAGCACAGGAAAAATCTGTCCCCACGGTTCAGTTACCTCCCACCGGGTCCCTCCCATGACATGTGGGGATTATGGGAGCTACAGTTCAAGATGAGATTTGGGTGGGGACACAGTCAAACCATATCAGATACTCAACTAGTATAATGCAAATATTTCAAGATAAAAAAAAAAAAAAGGAATCCTAAACACTTCTGGTCCCAAGCATTTTGGATAAGGGAGACTCGACCTGTGATAAACTGCCACAGTCCTGCTGTGATGTGAAGAGTGAAGAAGGCAGAACAGTATGTTTAGAATGCCTCCTATTGGTAAAAACGGGAAAATCAGACAGGTGCATGTGTACTTGCTTATTTAATCATAAAGGACCACTGCAAAATTACAGTTTGGTGTGTACCTTTGGGAGGCCAAGTGGGGTGGGAAGAGGACTTTATACACACACTTATATATATACAGTACAATGAGTGTGGGTGTGTATACATGTGTGTGGTTTACATTTGCATTTGTGTGTGTTGTGTTTATATATGTATGTGTGTGTGTATATGTGTTGGTGCAGAGAGAAAACTTCCTGAACTGTATCAATGTATTAGACCATTTTTAATGTCTTATTCCACCAGTAGCGTAAGGTCCCAGGATCTTCCCTATCCTGGCCTGGGCCAGATGGCAGAGGGGTTTCTTTCGAGCCTCTTTGAGCCCCCAGGGCCCTGGGCCCCTCTCCTCTTCTCCCTCTAGTCCCACCTAAGATGACCCACAACCCCACTACCCACGTACCAGCAGTTGTTAACTTTTTTGGCTCCTCCCTTTGCATCTGCATCATCAACATCATTCCCAAAACCTAAGTTGATTTTTTTTTTTTTGAGACAAAGTCTTGCTCTGTCACCAAGGCTGGAGGGCAGTGGCAAGATCTTGACTCACTGCAGCCCCTGCCTCCCAGGTTCAAGCGATACTCCTGCCTCAGCCTCCCGAGTAGCTGGAATTACAAGCACGCACCACCACGCCCAGCTAGTTTTTGTATTTTTAGTAGAGACGGGGTTTCACCATGTTGGCCAGACTGATCTCAAACTCCTGACCTTGTGATCCGTCTGCCTTGGTCTCCCAAAGTGCTGGGATTACAGGCGTGAGCCACCGCGCCCGGCCTGATGTCATGCTCTTTGCACAATGTTTTGTTCTGCTTGTTTTCCCTTAATGCTCTGTTACAAGCATCATCCAAGTTTTTATAAACTCCTCATGAATAACATTTCTAAAATGCGTTTCAGGGATGTACGGTACACTGAGCTGTCCCTAACGTCTCAGTGGCATCTCTCCTCTGATCCTGATGGGGGTGGCAGCCACTTCCACCAATGCTGTTTGAGAGGCTGGAATGGGCCATTGTCCATAAGGTCCACATTGCCCCTAGGTCCCTGCAGCCCCCACCTAGCACGGAGGAGATGGTCAAAGCATTTGCTTCAGTATCTGCCCGATGTCCGTAGATACCTGCTTCTGGGAGTCTTCTTCAGGCCCCCAAACTGAGATTTGGTTTTCCCTGAGTTGCCCCTGTGAGAGAGACGCTACAAGCAATGATTCTGTTTTACAGGAGGCCATTAGCTACAGCCAGAGTGTTAATGTCCCCCAAATGCATGTGTTGACATCCTAACCCCATGTGCTGGTCTTAGGAGGTGGGGGTTTGGGGGGCGATCAGTCGTGAAGGTGCAGCCCAGTGATGGTGTTAGTGCCCTGATGAGGAGGGTTTGTTCACAGTGAGAAGGCATCGTCTACGAACCAGGAGAGCCCTCACCAGACACCAAATCTGCCTTCATCTTGGACTCCCAAGCCTTCAGAACTGAGAAATGAATTTCTGTTGTTTGTAAGCCTCCCAGGCTGTGGTAGGTTTTGTTTTGTGTTTTGAGACAGGATTGCACGGTCACCCAGGCTGGAGTACTGTGGTGCAATCATGGCTCACTGCAGCCTCGACCCCCTGGGCTCAAGTGATCCTCCTGCTTCAGCCTCCTGAGTAGCTGGGTCTACAGGTGGGTGCCACCCTGTTTGGCTAATTTTTTTTTTTTTTTTTTTTAGCAGACATGAGATCTGCTTATGTTGCCCCGGCTGGTCTCAAATTCCTGGGCTCAAGCAATCCTCCTGCTTCGGCCTCTCAGAGTGCTGGGATTCCAGGCGTGAGGCTGTGGTAGTTTTGAGGGACTGAGGCAGGGCCGGAGCCTTGGGCAGGAAGGGTCCTGTTCCTGCAGGAGTGGAAAGTAGGGCATCGTGGACCTTATGGACAAGGGAGTGGAAGGTCCCCCCGGCCTGGGTCCTTACTGCAAGGTCTCACCCTTCCCAAGGAACTGCCTGGGCCTCCGTTTTCTTCTTGCTTCCTCACCTCCCGACGGTGAGGGAGGCAGAGGGTGGCGGGATGGGGATAGGAAAGTGAGCAATTGCTGGAAGGTGGGAAACCCCAGCCGGGTGGCATAAATAATTCAGCAACTTAGCAGTTAACGAGTTATGCTTTTAAGGCATGGACAGGAAGCTTGTTCCGCTAACGGGCTGATGTCCTTTTGCTCTTTGGAGAGCAGCTGTCCCCGGCGTTCGTAGAGCTGTGCTCGGGCTGCTTCCCTGTGCTTGTCAGGTGGGGGCTGTATGCCCAGGTAGGGCCGGGACGTGCACTTATTCATTTGCAGGTGCATATTCAAGGCCCTACGGTCTCAGCTGCCGTCCTTGGGAAGGGGCGAGTACAGATGGGAATTGGTGGGAGTCCTTGTGGAGGGCGTGGGCCACCAGGCTGGAACTGTTACCGCCGGGCTCTCCCCTCTCGCACCAGAAGGTCTTGTTCCATCCACCCTGGACGTTGGGGCCAGCGCGTGTTGTCTCTGTTCCAAGTTCTTTGGTGGCCCCAGCCATGGGTCCGTCAAGGCCCAATGTCCTCATCTCGGAAGAGAAAAGGCACACAGAAGTTACTCATGGGCAGTGCGCGTCCCTCATCTTGCACACACAGCGTGTCCAGTAAGCAGGGAAAGGCTGGCCTTGGCCTAACCATGGCTGTTGCAGGCCCATCTGAGGCTGCAGAGCCTTCTGTTCCAGGGCTTCATTGCCCAGCCACTCTTTGTACCTTTCCCAGGGCCTCAATCCCCCCTCTGGTGTTGCTTCCTCCTGCCTTTTGGATCTGCAGTCTCCCTCTTTTCTGTTTCACACCATGAGTGAGATCTGGAGTGGATTTTATGACTTCAGTACATTGGCTGGTGGCCTCCCCTTTGCTTTGCATTTCTAGGGCAGCTGAGTGGGGCGGCGTGTGCTTCCCTTCTTGTCCTCGGCGGTGTGATGACACTACAGGCTTCTTCCTGCCAAAGTCCCCTGAGGTCTCCCTGGCTCTCACTGGGCCTGCGCCACTCTCTGGGGACCATAAGCTCTGAGTGGCAGGGTCTCAGTGCCCACCCGCCCTGCAGCTGGGGGTGGCGTCGACAACTGAGTTGGGCGGTAAGCAGCCCTAGTGGGAAAAGAGTGAGTGTAAGCAGGTAGCTAAAGCCGCAGAAGCCCACCTAGCTGCCTCTGGCCAAACTAAGCCAATCTAAATCACTTAAATTTATTACATGCCTGAAGTCGGCCAGGCGCGGTGGCTCATGCCTGTAATCCCAGCACTTTGGGAGTCTCAGGTGGAAGGATCACTTGAGCCTAGAAGTCCTTGACCAGCCTGGACAACATAGGGAGGCATCGGCTCTACAAAAATAAAAAATAAAAAAATTAGCCAGGCGTGGTGGTGAGCACTTGTGGTCCCAACTACTCAGGAGGCTGAGGCAGGAGGATCATCTGAGCCTGGTAGTTTGAGGCTGCAGTGAGCTGTGATCATACAACTACACTCCAGCCTAGGCGACAGAGCGAGACCCTGCCTCAAACACACACACACACACACACACACACACACACACACACACACACAAAATGACAATTACTTATCTGAGTCCATGAAGTGTACTCTTCCCTTTTCCCCACAATTTATTCGTGCCTCTCCACACAATGTGTCCCTGCTCTCTGATTTAATTATACTTAAAATACCTGTGTGACCTCGAGTGACTCACATGACATCATAAGGACTCAGACTCCTTAACTATAAAATGAGCGGGGTGTCCTAAATTAGTAATTTTCTAACATTTAAAAAGCAGAGACACTTTTTTCTCAAATTAAATCCTACACAAGCTCACCGCTAAACAAGTTAGATACAAGTAACATTTTTCATATAAAGGTTCCCATAAGTTAAAACTTAGAATGTCACTTGCTAGTAAACTTGCAAATGAGAAAAACCGGCCCCTTTCGCTGACACAGAAATTTGAAATCAGGGATCAGGGATGGTAGTTAATAGTTTGTCTTAGACATTAGTCTTAGCATTCAATCTTTTTTTTTTTTTTTTTTAGATATATCTGACTCTGTTGCCCAGGCTGGACTGCAGTGGCATGATCTTGGCTCACTACAACCTCTGCCTCCTGGGTTCAAGCAATTCTCCTGCCTCAGCCTCCCGAGTAGCTGGGAGTATAGGTGTGTGCCACCACACCCGGCTAATTTTTTTTTTTTTTTTTTTGAAACCAAGTCTCGCTCTGTCATCCAGGCTGGAGTGCAGTGGCACGATCTCGGCTCAGTGCAAGCTCTGCCTTCTGGGTTCAAACGAATCTCCTGCCTTAGCCTCCCAAGTAGCTGGGATTACAGGCGCACGCCACCATGCCCAGCCAATTTTTGTATTTTTAGTAGAGACAGGGTTTCACCATGTTGGCCAGGATGGTCTCGATCTCTTGACCTCGTGATCCACTGGCCTCAGCTTCCCAAAGTGCTGGGATTACAGGCGTGAGCCACTGCGCCCGGCCCATTCAATCATTTTTACATGCGTGTAACACAGTATTGAGAAATACAGCATTGAGGCTGGGTGCAGTGGCTCATGCCTGTAATCCCGGTACTTTTGGAGCCGGAGGTGGGTGGATCGCTAGATCGCAGGAATTGGAGACCAGCCTGGACAACATGGCACAGCCCAGTCTCTACAAAAATACAAAGATTAGCCAGTCGTGGTGATGTGCACCTGTAGTCTCAGCTACTCAGGAGGCCTAGGCAGGAGGACGGCTTGAGCCCGGGAGGTGAAGGTTGCAGTGAGCCGAGATTGTACCACCACACTCCAGCCTGGGTGAGAGTGAGACCCTGTCTTAAAAAAAGAAAAAAGTATTAAAATTCTTGATCAACTCATGTAATCACATAAGTGGTGGTTGTGGATGGTAAAAAGTTTTTTTAACAGCTCAACTTATAATTGTTGGGTGAAACAGATGCAGAAATTTGAGAAGTGTTGTGTTATTTCTGTGTCACGTAGCATCACTGAATGATATCCACGCCTCGTCATAAGTATAAGTAGGATCATAATAAATACAAAAACCTGCAGAGGGCACCGACGTTTTCAGCTGGCTTTCATACCCGATCTAGGGGGCTTCTCAAGCAGGGGAGAGCTAACTGAGAGAGCTCGCCAGAGCGGTTCTAGCTCAAGCCAGTGTGCACTGCCTAGGATGGGGCACGCCCCACCCTGTGCTCACAGAATAACACACGCAGCCACCTTCCAGGGAGTTCGGACATGAAAGCGTGACCTAAGTCTGTGGCCCAAGGTGGCCTCCCAGTTGTTAAAATTTGGTATATAACTTAGGGTTCAAGGGCTGTTTTCAAATTGTGGTTTAAAAACACAGTTACGTCAACATAATGAAAATGTGCCTTAAACTTCTGTTGAACCCTCCAAAGAACACTCACCCCCAACTCTTGAGAGCAGTGTTTTTCAGATCTTAGCATGCATCAGATTAAGCATGCTAAATTCTCAAAATTTACTGTGCAGCCACCTGGCTAATTTGTTAAAATGCAGATTCCTGGACCCCACCCAGAGATGCTGATGTAGCAAGTCTGGGGTGGGGCCTAAGAATGTGCATTCCTAACAAGCTCCCATTGATGCTGATGCTGCCGGTAGCAAGATTCACATTCAACGGTTTGGAAACTCTTTGACCAGAGAAGATATCTTTGGGGTTATTCTTACTTTAAATAGGGGCACAGTGGCTTCCTCTAGGTCTCCCACCTCTCATCTGAGACATGAAGAGATTGGATTAGAAACTTTCCTAGAATCCTACAAGCTTGGAAGTGCTTCTCTCTCTGCCTGGTAAGAAGGAACTTCCAGGCTGGGTGTGATGGCTCATGCCTGTGATCTTAGCACTTTGGGAGACTGAGGCAGGAGGATCACTTGAGCCCAGGAGTTAGAGACCAACCTAGGCAACACAGTGAGACCCCATCTCTACAAAAACTAAGAAAAACAATTAGCCTGGTATGGTGGTGGGTATCTGTGGTCCCAGTTACTCAAGAGGCTGAGGCAGGAGGATTGCTTGAGCCCAGGAGGTCAGGGCTGCAGTGAGTTGTGACTGCACCACTGCACTCCTGCCTAGGTGACAGAGCAAGATCCTGCCTCAAAAAAAAAAAAAAAAAAAAAAGACTTTCACAGGTAACTCAACTCAGATTTCTCACATGCATCTGGTCAGATACACAAAGGGGAGCCCTAGATGTAGGTAGAATCAGACCTGCCTTTTTCAGGGAAAAAAATCAGACCTGTGGCATTTCAGGGAAACCACTTACTTCCCTCTCCTCAGTTTCCCCATCTATCACATCAACTCACTAATCTCCTTCCTGCCTCCTCACAGGGATGATGGATCTGAAAATGTGTGAGAAATGACACACCACTGTCTGTACACATGTAAGGAGCTGTTGTAATCAATATCTTTGAAATGCTTATTCATGCAAAACAGGATATTTCAGGTCTCCAAATTCTTCAGCGAGAACTTCGAGATGCAGCTGGGTTCTTGAAGTTCAGCTGCAGAGCAGAACTTGCTCTTAGGCCACTGGGGTTCCTCCCCAGGCCACCCTGGGGCTTCCTCCTCCCTTTATGTAGATGTGATGAGTCCCAGATTACCCCACTTCTTGGATCCTGTTTGGGTGCAGAGATTTGGCCTTAATCTTCTCTCTTTCCTGGAGTTGCACTTTGCCTGAAGTGCAAAGAGCCCCATTCATGATTTGATCTCCTGGCTCCTGCATGGCCAGTGGGGGCCCAAGCTGCCACAACGCAGGAAGATGGCTTGATGATGCTGCTGATGCTGGCGGTGATCCCGATGGTGTGAGCTGGAAATGGGGTGCTACGTCATCGTTGTCATCGTCATCATCATCATCCGAGCAGCCACCAGATAGCTTGCACCCACGCTGGGCTGGGCACGAGACTGGCTGTTTGTCATAGTTTGTCTTTCGACCTCATGGCAGCCCTTTAAGGTAAGTATCATCATCCCCATTTTACAGATGAGGAAACCGAAGCTCAGAAAGAATCAGTAACTGGCCCAGGGTCACACTACTACTAAATGTGTATGCATATGAAATGCAGAGTCTTCAGGGCACTGGCTGGCAGTCTGGCAGTCCCACATCCCTCACCCACCATATGTGGCCTCTCAGGGTTTGGCTAGTACATTAGTATCACACCGCAGGAGAAGCCCAGCTTATGCATCACTGTGAGGGAACAGGCAAGGCTGGCCGGTATGGATGGAGATGGGTGTGCTGGGTGGGGACAGAGCACAGAGCAGACCTGGCCATGGTAAATGTTGCACACACCCACTTCCAACCCATCACCCCTTCCCCATCAGAGGCAGGAGGGAGGTAAGAGAATGGACAGGCCTAGGGAGGGGCAGCTGTCCCAGCAGGGGCCTGACAGTCATGTGCTGGTATCTTTAGGGGACTGAGCTTAGGGACAAAGTTGTCTCCCATTCCATCTAGTTTTAAGCTGCTGTCAGGCTGACCTGTCTAAGGTGCATGTCACTCCCTTCCTGGAAAGCCTGCCATGGCTCTCTGTTGCCCATAGAGTAAAAGCCAATCTTACCTGCCTAGCTTCAGGTACCCATATTCTCTGGCTCCCCCATCCTTGTGCTTCATGTGGTACATTTCACCTGGAGCTCTAGACACATGCAGCTTCTTCCCCTTCCCCATAAATGTCCTGGACATTTTGCCTTGTACCTTTACCCATGATGCTCTCTCGGCCTGTGGCACCCTTCTTGTTATTTTGTTTGGCTAAACTGTGCTCATCTTTCAAAGCTGCAGCTGAAGTGCTGGCTCCTCCATGCCGTCTTCCTGGATCTTTGAGATCCTCCAGCCTCTCATTTCCCACACTGTGCAGCCTTTCCTGTTGAACTCCCTCAGCTTCTCTCTCTTCCCCTTGTCTGGCACTCACCATTCCCCATTATTCTTTTATCTCCTACACAGGCCATGTCTCCTTGAGGCATGCGTTTTATGTGATTTGTTTTTTTCTCATTTAGTTTGGTCGTGGACTGTGCTTTGCAGACAGTTGGCACTTAACACATAAGGTTGACTAAACAGGCTATGCTGGAGCAACAAGGGACTGCTCTTGAAATTTGAGGATGTGGTTATAGTCCTGGCTCTGCCATTCCTGGCTGGCCAAGCTGCTTCTCTGCAGGCCTCAGTTTCCTCATTTGTAAAATGAGAGAGCTGGATTCTATGGGTGGCTCTCCATGTCTAGTATACGGAAGAACTACTTGGGGAGCTTGTTTAAAATGTGTATTTCTGGACCCCTAGGAGTCATAATCTGAAGATACGAGTGGACCTGGGTATCTGCATAATTCACACACACCCAGAGGCTTTCTCATTCAGTTGGTTCTCAGACTACCCTTTGAGCGACTCTGTTTCAGGTCGACTTTGGGGAAAGGCCTTTCTAATTCTAAGGGGCTGGTAGAGCAATGAAGGGAAGCAGAGGTTATGGGGCAGTGCCCATAATGAGTGGGGCAGGGGCCATTAACAGTATCATCACCATCACCATAATCATCATTGTCATCGTGATCTTCTTCATTTTGTTTTTCTTCATTGTCATCATCATCATCATTACCATAGTCATTACCACCATCATCATCATCACCATCATTACCATCATCATCATTACGACCATCATCATCACCATCATCATCATCATCACCATCACTATCGTCATCATCATCATCACCACCACCATCACCATCACTATCGTCATCATCATCATCACCACCACCATCACCATCACTATCGTCATCATCATCATCACCACCACCATCACCATCACTATCGTCATCATCGCCATCATCATCATTAGCATCTCCACTGTCACCACCACCATCACCATCGTAACCATCCTTAGCACCACCATCCTCATCACCATCATCCTCACCACCATTACCATCATCATCAACCCCTTCATCACCATTACCATCATCATCATTACCATCGTGATAATCTTCATCCTCTTCATCATCATCATTATCACCATTACCATCGTCACCACCACATTACCATCATCATCATCTTCATCATTATTACCATCATCATCCTTACCATCCTGATCATCGTTTTCATCATCACAACCATCACCATTATCACCACTACAATCACCATCGGTACCATCATCATCGTTGTCATCTTTTTATCTTCATGGTCACAATCACTATCACCATCTCCACCACCAGCAAAGCCACTACTGCTCCTCAGTGCTCATGAGGGGAGGGCCAGTGTCAACACCTTTGTGGGCATTACCTCCTTTAGTCTTCTGAGGAGCCTTGTAAGGTAGGTCCTGAGAGGGCAGGAGGCAGGGCTTGGAGGGGTGTTTGACCATGCCCTGGAGCAGACCCCTAGCTGCAGTCTGCAATGGCCCCAGCTCCTGAGCCATCCTGCTGTTGGAGTGAGCCTGTACCTTCTCTGGTGAGCCTGGGGAGGGCAAACAGTCTTGCCCTCAACTTCCCTCCCTTCTTTCAACACATCTCTATTACAGCCCTGCCTTGTGCCAGACACCAGGTTTGAATTTGCTCCAGGCCAACATTTTTTTCATGTTCACAAAACAAAGATTTTATTTTTTCTTATCCCCAACCTCTTCCTCCCTAATCTAAACTCATGTGAAAATAGCATGCGTAGCTGAGCCTCGGGCCAATTTGTGTCTTTGTACTCAGCACACACACTCTGTCTTTCACACCACAAACAGCTTTGCTCAGGAAAATATGTTTTCTCTCTGCAAAACTGCCATTTTCGGGCAACACATAGAAGGCAAAAAGAAACTATTTCACTTTTTCTTCCCCTGGAAAAACCCACCAAGATGTTGTTTTCCTTTGCTTTTTCTGGAGGGGAGATATTTTTGACAGCTTTCTTCCCTAATCTGGCTCTCAGCCCTGCGTCTGGTGCCAATTTGTAAAAGAAGCAGAAGAAAAACTAGATGAGCAAAGGCAAGATTCTCCCAGAGGGGCAGTAGCACCCTAGAATTCAGGAGTAGTAAGGGACCTCTGTGGCAAACCTGTTGCCTGCCCCACGGGGGAGCCCTGTCTTGGGAGCCCTGTCTCAGAAGCCCTGAATGGGGACACGCACACCTGCTTGGAAACAGCTGTGGCTAGGCAGAGGCTGCCTGCTGGGGGGATCTCCCTGTGCACTCATTCAACAGGCATCCTTCCAGACTTCCTTAGGATAGGCTGGGGACTGGGCTGGGTGCTTTGGGATGCAAAAATAAATCACACATGGATTCTGCATCAGTACTTTCCATTCCAGTATAGGAATGAAGATACGGGCAGGGCCATGTGAATAAAGTCCTAGTTTCACTGTCACGTTTATTTTAGCCAGAGTTAGGAGAGGTTTGGAGGAGGTGGTGGCACTTGGGCTTTCTAGCAAATGTCTTCTTCTAGAATGCTGCAATCAGGCCTCATCTGAAATCTGCATGAAACCCATTTGCTCTCCATTCCTTCCCTGGCCCAGCTAAGAGGACAGCCCCTTCTCAGCAGCACAGTCCTGGGATGCTGGCAGATCCCCGCTGAGTGTCCCTGACTCTCCGGCCTTACTGTTCTATTCTCATGGCCTGTCTCCTGGAGTGGTTCTTTCTGCTGTGGGCCCCAAATTCCTGCAGCCAGGAACCCCCGTGGGCTACACTTGTCTTTGCACCTCCAGTGCCTTACTCGGACCTGCCTCAGACCTTATTGCTTACTCTCCTTCTAGTTGAAGAGAACCCACTGGGCTGGCATAAGCCCCAAGGAGAGATCTCAGGAGACCCAAGGCAAGGGTGCAGCTGAGCCGTTGGGTCACTGTGGATTAGGAGATGGAAGTCTAAAATATCCCTCATGCTCTCACGTTCTTGCACGCACTCTCTCTCTTTCTCTATTGCTCTCGCTCTTTATCTAAGCATTTTCTCTCCCAATACCAGATTCTGATTGGCCCAGCTTGGATCAGGAGCCCACCTCTGGTTCAATCAGTAGCAGCCAGTGAACAGGGTCATCTCAAACAAGACCACCATGGTTCCCCTCTGTGAAGGAAGGGAGCAGTTAGCTGGAATGGGCTTGCCGTGAGCCAGGAGAGAGCCAGTAGGTGTGCACTCTACCAACTCTGCCTTTTACTAGCTGTGCCACTTCTCAGAGCCTCAGTTTTCTAATATTTAAAATGGTCATAAGAGTACCTACTTCATAGGACAGTTGTAACAAATACCACATTTATTGAATGGTAGTGACATAGGTGGTCAATGAGGAGCCTGAGAGGGCAATTCCCTCCTCATTTTGGGGCTTTCAGATGAGGGCATTGGAGTAGGGAGGTTTCACTTCATACCATTCCCACCCTCCACGCCTAGGAGAGACTGGCTGGCTGGCTGGCAGAGGTGAGGAACTACTGCCCATTAGGGGGATGCTGTCCTAGGGGAACCTGCTGCTGTCTACAAGGGATCTGAGTCCCTCCCCTCACGCCACCCCCAGGAATGTCCCTGTCACTTGTGGGACCTGAGGTTGTAAGGGACCCTTGCAGAGGTCATTGCTGGTGGGTTGGCACTCGGGCACATGCTAGATTTCTCAAGAGGGAGACTGTTTTGCTGCGGGTTGTCACTAGGCTTACTTTTTACTTCGACATTGATCAAGGATCAAGGGTATGCAATCTGAGGATTGCTGGACACCTCCTCACTGGAGGGCATCCTGTTGGTGAGCAAGAGACACCAGCTACCAAGAGAGGCCTGTTGTTTGATGGCATCTGCAGAGAAACAATGGCAGCATGTACATTCTCAATCTGTGCAGTTTAGAACGATCCACAGATTCTGTGGCTGGCCTTGGGACCATTCTGGAAGGCCTGTTGTCACCCAGATGGAAAGGGAAGGAGGATGAGGGCAGTCCAGGCCAGGGGACTGTATGTGGAGCCACGCGGAGGTGGAAATGAGCCCAACTCGGGCAGGCAACAGAGAGGGGGTGGACTGAGCCAAAGCAGGGATCTGTGCAGAGTGAGCTGGGACAGCTGCAGCTAGGGGTGAGACTCCTGCAGTCTGGGAATACTAGAACAGAGTGCACTTTATCCAAGCAGCAGTAGGGAGCCATAGCGGGTTGTGGAGTGATCTACATGGTTTGGGTGGTATTGCTGTTGCAGATTTGTGTGTATGATGACTGGATGAAGGGAGATTGGAGGTATGGACACCACATAGACTGTTAGAGTTCTTCTGTTATGGATGGAAAATGGCTTCAGCCAAGATCGTGGAGTAGGGATAGAAAGGTAAGAACCCAAGAGAGATTTTGAAGGGGAAATTGAGAATTGAAAATTAGAATAAGAGAGGAGAGTTAGAGTGTCCTGGGTTCCAGGGGACTGGCTAAAGGGCAAGTGGAAATGGCACTGACGTGAGGAAATGGGGGGACTGGCAAGGAGGGACAATGAGGTCGTCTTCTGTCATGGCAAATGTCAGTCAACTGGGCTGCTGTGAAGAAAGCCAGAGACTGGTGGCTCACACAGCAGACACTGATTTCTCTTGGTTCTGGAGGCTGAAGTTTGGGACCAGTGTGCCAACCATGCCCGAGTTCTTGGTGAGGACGGGAGGGCACCACCTCTTCCTGGTAGTATGCTCACATGTCCTTCATTGGTTCATGCACTTCTGTTTATAAGGACAGAAATCCCATCATGGGGGCTACATCCTCATGACCTCATCTAAACCTAATCACCCCCAGAGACCCCATTTCCTAATACCATCACATTAAGGGTTGGAGATTTAACATATGGATCTGGGGAAACACAGTCAGTCCCTACCAGCGAATATGAGGGGTCTGTAAGGGTCTCCTAAAGGGACAACTGATGACAGCATTCAGAGACAAAAGGAAATGGAGATCTTTGCACAAGACCAGGTTGGGTGTGGCATTTGGGGGTCAACAGCCCAGAAGGAAAATTGGGACTATGAGAGTGAAGGGGCCTGGGAGGGATGATAGAGATAGGGCTGGGTTCTTGGGGACAGCTCACATGAAAGAGCAGAGCCTACGACACAGGACTGGGAGGGTCGCTGAGGACTCAGCCAGCATCACTGGTGTCCTAACAGGTGAGGCACCAGGCACAGGGTGGGGGTGACTTCCAGGCGCATGAGGTATTGTCCTGGCCCTTAAAGAGCTCATAGCTAAGTAAGATGGAGAGACAGGTACCAGGGAGCAGCCTAGTCCAGGGGGCCACCTGCAGAGAGTTCACATCCCACCCTGCCACCTGCCAGCAGTGTGACCTTGGACAAGCCACTGAGCACATCTGAGACCCCGTTGTCCTGTGTGTAAATGTGGACTGTCATAGTGCCTGGGCCATAGGGTTGCTGTGAGGGTCAATGGGACAAGATATGGAAAGACCTCTGCCCAGTTCCCAGCTCATATTAAGTGCTTGCCATGAGCTGTAATTATTAGTAAGCGGCAAAGGTACATCCACCAAGTGCCAAATGCTACCTGTAGGAACCCCAGTGAGATTGGATGGCTGGGGTCTGGCCAGAAAGGTGGAGCTCCTACAAACAAGAATAACATGGCAATGAGCTCATCAAAGTAGCATGCCTCTCATTCATTGCTGGTGGGAACTCAAAATAGTACAGCTATTGGTGGTTTTGTACAAAACTAAACATAGTCTTATACAATCCAGCATAGTGTTCCTTGGCGTTTACCCAAAGGAATTGAAAATTATGTCCACAAAAATCTGCATACAGATGCGTATAGCAGCTTTATTCATACTTACTGAAACTTGGAAACAAGCAAGGTGTCCGTCAGCAGGTGAACGGGTAAACTGTGATCCATGCAAACGATGGGATATCATTCAGTGCTAAAAAAGAAATGAGCTACCAAGCTATGAAAAAACATGGAAGAACCTATTCCTAAGTGAAGGACGCCACCCTGAAAAGGCTACTTGGTGTATGATTCCAACTAGATGACATTCTGGAAAGGCAAAACTATAAAGAGAGTAAAAATCTCGGTGGTTGCCGGGGTTGGAGGGAGGCAGGGATGAACAGGCCAAGCACAGGGGGTTTTTAGGGTGGTGAAACTGCTCTGTATGATAATAATGTAATGGTGGGTACAGATCATTATACATTCGCCAAAATTCCCAGAATGTTCAACACCAAGTATGAACCCTGATGTAACCTATGGACTCTGGGTGATGACGATCTGTCAATGTAGATTCATCGATTGCAACAAGTGCACCACTCTGGAGGGGTGGGATGTTGATAATGGGGGAGGAGAGGGGCTTCTAGCCCAGCCTCAAAGGCTGTAACTGTGGGCCTTGTAGGTAGGAGGCGCCAGGGGGAGGGGATATTTTTAAGACGTGTGATACAATGATGACCGTCCTCACTTGTTGAACACACGGAGTACCTACTCTCCTTCTGTTCTTACCCACAAGTAATGGAGCAAATAACTGGCCCCAGGCCACACTGCCAGTAGACGTGGTTGTCTTGGCCTTCATCTTGCTGCAAGGCCTTGAGCCACTGGCCCAAGATAGTCATCAGCTCAAGTGAGTTGCTGAAGCCTAATGTGATGTGACTTGGAGTAATTTACTACTTCTCTGAGCCTCAATTAGCTTGACTGTAAAATGGGGGTGAATGCCTACTTTGTAGCATGGTGGTGAGAATTAAATGACGAAACGAATATGAATGCTCTAGATCTGCATTGGCCAATAGGAATATAAGGTGGACCATAAATGTGAATCACATTTGGGGTTTTAAATTTTCCAGTAGCTACAATAAAACAAAAAAAGTAAAAAGAAGTAAGATGAAATTAATTTTAATTCTATAACATATTTTATTTAACCCAATATACATAGTCACATGCCACATAATAACATTTCAGTCAATGGTGGACTGCATATATGAGGATGGTCCCATAAGATGATAATACCATATTTTATTTTACCTTTTCTACGTTTAAATATGTTTAGATTCACAAATACTTACCACTGTGTTACAACTGCCTACTGTATTCAGTACAGTATTGTACTGTACAGGTTTGTAGCCTAGGAGCAACAGGCTATGCCGTATAGCCTAGGTGTGTGGTAGGCAACGCCATCTACGTGTGTAGTAGGCCAGAGCATTTAGGTGTGTAGTAGGCAACAGCATCTAAGTGTATAGTAGGCTAGACCATCTAGGTGTGTAGTAGGCAACACCATCTAAGTGTGTAGTAGGCTAGACCATCTAGGTGTGTAGTAGGCTAGACTATCTAGGTGTGTAGTAGGCTAGACCATCTAAGGGTGTAGCAGGCTAGACCATCTAGGTGTGTAGTAGGCTAGGCTATCTAGGTGTGTAGTAGGCTAGACCATCTAAGGGTGTAGTAGCCTAGACCATCTAGGTGTGTAGTAGGTTAGGCTATCCAGATGTGTAGTAGGCTAGACCATCTAAGTGTGTAGTAGGCTAGACCATCTAGGTGTGTAGTAGGCTAGACCATCTAGGTGTGTAGTAGGCAACGCCATTAAGAGTTTAGTAGGCTAGACCATCTAGGTGTGTAGTAGGCTAGACCATCTAAGTGTGTAGTAGGCTAGACCATCTAGGTGTGTAGTAGGCAACGCCATTAAGAGTTTAGTAGGCTAGACCATCTAGGTGTGTAGTAGGCTAGACCATCTAAGTGTGTAGTAGGCTAGACCATCTAGGTGTGTAGTAGGCTAGACCATCTAGGTGTGTAGTAGGCAACGCCATTAAGAGTTTAGTAGGCTAGACCATCTAGGTGTGTAGTAGGCTAGACCATCTAAGTGTGTAGTAGGCTAGACCATCTAGGTGTGTAGTAGGCAACGCCATTAAGAGTTTAGTAGGCTAGACCATCTAGGTGTGTAGTAGGCTAGACCATCTAAGTGTGTAGTAGGCTAGACCATCTAGGTGTGTAGTAGGCTAGACCATCTAGGTGTGTAGTAGGCTAGACTATCTAAGTGTGTAGTAGGCTAGACCATCTAGGTGTGTAGTAGGCTAGACCATCTAAGTGTGTAGTAGGCCAGACCATTTAGGTGTGTAGTAGGCAACACTATCTAAGTGTATAGTAGGCTAGACCATCTAGGTGTGTAGTAGGCTAGACCATCTAGGTGTGTAGTAGGCAACACCATTAAGAGTGTAGTAGGCTAGACTATCTAGGTGTGTAGTAGGCTAGACCATCTAAGTGTGTAGTAGGCTAGACCATCTAGGTGTGTAGTAGGCTAGACCATCTAGGTGTGTCGTAGGTGTGTAGTAGGCGACACCATCTAGGCATGTGTAACTCACTCTGTGATGCTCGTACAATGATGAAATCGCCTAACGACACATTTCTCAGAATGTATCCCCGTTGTTGATTGGTGCATGACAGTATAAGATATTATTGTTTAAACATGTAATCAGTACAAAATGTATTCATGAGCTGTTTTAATCTCTTGTACTGATTCTTTGATATCTGGTCTTTGATATCTCATGTGTATTTAACAGCACATTTCAGTTTGGACCAGCCACATTTCAAGTGCTCAGTAGCCACGTGTGCCTGGTGGCTGCCATACTGGAGGCATGGCTGTATATACACATAGGCAGTGCTACGCCTCCCTCCACAAGCAGGGCTAATGTCACACCCCAGAGCTTCACTAATTACTCATCCAGCTCACACTCTATTTGGTGTGTATTAGTGTTATTAGATCAAGAGCTTTATTTCATGCACCATGATGTATATTAACAAATCGTAACTCATGAATTCACAAACCTGAAATCAGAGGCCCATGCAAACACAGGAATTAGGCTTTTGTTCCTGAAGCAATTTGTGTTCACTTCTTTCCGTGTACTTACCAAGCCTGGCATTAGTTGTGTGAATTTCCATCTCCCCCAGGCCGCCCCCACTCTAAGCTTCTTGGAGGGAAAGTATGTGTCTCTGGCTTCCTCTATCCCATTGGCAACCCCTCCCTGCACCCCAAGTGTCTGGCTTTCAGCAGGCCTTAGCAGGTATTCAATAGGTATTTTTTGAATAGACTCCATTAACCAAAGGCATCGGCTCCTCTTAGAAAGGAAGCATATTATAAAGAAAAGGCTCTAAAGTCAGATTATGTAAAAATGTGTTGAAAGGCACAGGGACATCAAACGTAACCACTGAATTGAAGTTTTTATTCGAGTAGACATGAATCTGGCGGACATGAGTACAGGGTTCCTGTGGATGGGTGTGTGTTTGGGAGAAGAGGCAGGAACAGAAGTGTCTGGAAGTCTGTCACAAGCATTTGAACATATGATGAAATAAGTCCTGCTCACCCCTCTGTGACATGCTCCAGTCGGCTCCAAGGCCTCGTAGAAAGATGGGGGGATCCCTTGTTCCCATCACTGCTCACTTCCTGGATCAATCAGACTGCACCACCCCTCCTGTGGACTTTGGTTACTGGGAGCCACAGGGCCTGAGGCAGCCACTTTAGAGAGCCGGTCTTGACCACCTAATGGTGAGTGTGCGGCCAGGCCAGTCACAGGTGCTGTCTCAACTTGGGATGTGTGTGTAACTCTGGGAGGAGTAGGGATGGATGGTCCACTTCTGGAAGTTCCCAGGGCCCCAACACCCAGGTTTTGCAGCCGTCTGCTAGTCTGCACTGTCTTTAAGAGGGATCAGTTCTAGATTCTCTTCCCCATCCCATCTGTGACTTGGCCCTCTTGGGCCTCCCTGGGGGTCAATAGAGGAAATACCTTCAACAGATGGTGGAAATGTGGGAGCAAGGTTGCCTCAAAATAGTCAGGGTGATTCGGCCTCATGGGCATAGTTCTGACAGTGCCAGCATGGGACAGATGAAGTCTGGGAGAGGCCAAGCCCTGAGGATAGTCAGACACTTGGTAGGTTGTGATATTTGAGTTTATTAATAAGAAAGTAATGGCTACCACTGACTGAATGCTTATTAGGTGCCAGACAATTGACTAGGCATTTTACCTGGATTACTTTATTTAAATCTTAGAGCATCCCTACATCATGGGTTCTGTCATAGCTCCATTTCACTAATAAGGAGACAGATGTGGAGGTTGGGGAGTTGGTCCCAGGTCACCCAACTGGGGAGGGCAGAGGTTGGGGAGGGACAGGAGTCAATAACCCAAAGTCATGAAATGAGAAAGGAAGTAAACACTTGGATGGAGAATCACACACACACACACACACACACACACACACACACCTCCTAACAGGTATGTTGTCTGCAACAAGGCAAAAATAATTCATTAATATCTCATTTAAACTTGAGGGCGAGGGAATTCCTGAACCACCTCTCTGGAGCAAATAATGGAAATTGGAAATTGATTGTCATTTACCTTTGAGGAAGACTTCGGGATGTGCCATGTCTTTGGTATAGGGCTGCGTGGTGTTGTGACGCATGTGAAGAAATACATCCAAGGACCTTCCTAAGCTCATCTGCAGCCACAATTCCCCCACCCTATTCTTCTCGTAGGGTTTTAAGTTTGCTGTCTGCAAATGTTCCTCATTCCGGAGTCTTTGGGAACCAATCCACCTAGCTGGAGAAGGACATCGTACCCTGGTAATGAAGACAGGCATAGAGAGGCACAGGGTTCAGGAGGGGACAGTCAGCACCGCAGGTGGCTCCGCAGCAGGTGAGAAATGATCCGCAGGAGGCCTTCATGGAGCCAGGGGAAAGACTGTGCTCCCAGACATGCTGAAGGCAGAGTTAGCAGTCCCTCGCTGTGGGGTTCCTCAACCCTAAATAAAGGGGAACAGGCCAGACCTTTATGCCACCTCTCACCAGCTCCTCCTCAAGTGGCCCCCACAGATTCTAAGATAGAAAATCTCTTTAGAAAGCAGTCCCAGGTGGCACAGTGGCTCACACCTGTAATGCCAGCACTTTGGGAAGTTGAGGAAGGAGGATCCCTTGAGCCCAGGAGTTTGAGACCAGCCTGGGCAATGCAGCCAGACCCCATCTCTACAAAAAATAAAATTAGTCGGGTGTGGTGGCACTGCCTAGAGTTCCAGCTACTCAGAAGGCTGAGGTTAGAGGATTTCTTGCTGTGATCATGCCACTGCACTCCAGCCACCAGCCTCAGATGACTTCGGGGGCCTGTGAGGTGCCTCACTGCTTCCAGGGCAGAACAGGGTCTGGGATCTGCAGAGGGTTCTAGTGCCTGCTCTGGGAGCAGCCCTGGGTGCAGAAAATGCAGGGCCAGCTCAGTCTAGGAAATGGGGACATGGAGGGAGGGCCCTCCCCAGCTTTCCACCTGCCCATTTTCTCACCGCCAGCTGACTCAGTGATTGAGACGAGTTCCTGTCTCTGGTTTTGTTCGGCACATCAGAGTCTGCGACTGAGCCTTTGGTCTGGAGTTTGAGCAAACTGGAGCTGAAATTGCCTCGACAGATACCTTGGAGCACTGACACCGCAGCACCAGCCCTGCTGTGGCCAGGAAGGGAGGGAGGGGACTGCCTTTCCTGTGTGTCTGTGGGTCACGGCCTTGAGTTAGAGCCCCGGGCCTCCTGCCCTGGGACGTGGAGGACCTTACACAGGTGCCTGAGGAACTAAATGTTGATCAATGAAATATTTATAACAAATAAAAAAGTGGAAAATATTTCTCTGCTTTTGTAGTCTGAATGGTATAGTTGAAAAGACCCAGCTTTAAAAATAAAAAGCTTGGGTCTTGGTTCTACCACTTACTAATTGCAGGGCCTTGCGCAAGATAACCTCTCTGGGCCTCAGTGTTTGCATCTGTAAAAGGGGAATAATGTCACCCTTCTGTGGGTCGTAGGGATGGAAAAAGATGACACTGGAGGAAGCGCATGCATTCTCCTCTGCTCCTGCCGCCCGCTTCACCCATTGGCTGGTGACTGAGTTTGGGATTTTGACACTTAGTCTTTGTCCCATTCATGTGTCTAAGACCTAATTTCTGGTGTTTGTATAAGGTCATTTTGTGGTCTCCCACTTGGAGTGGGCCCTCTGCCTTGGACCCAGGGGGACTGCTTGGACATGTTTGAACAGCAAGAGAGTTTTGAGTCGCTGCAGGTAGAGCATAAGTACCTGTGTCCACATGTAAATTTGCTCTCCCCTAGCAATGGCCATGATCACCCAGGTGGAACAATGGGGCTTGGTTACAGCCCATGCACCTTTCCCAGGGATGCTAAGGCAACAGCGCTCTGCAGCATCTTTCTCTGAACTGTTTGTGCTACTGGCACCTACTGTTTTGTGCCATAGTTACATGAATGAGAAGGGTTGGACCTCTTTAAGAGAGGGCCCCTTTCTATCTAGGATGCACTGTCTGTGGACTGAAAGCTCTCCAGGGCAAGGGCTTCTTTGGTTATATTTCTGAAAAAGCTCCCCAGTGGGCCATGAACTCCTTCAGGCCAGTGCCTTTGTTTCTTCCCCTTTGTTTTCTGCAGTGTGCAGTCCAGTGCTCAGCTGGAGACAGAGGCTAAGGAAATGCAACTAGAAACACAAAGTAAGCAGCTGGTACCAGCCAGCAATGATGGTGGGAGGAAAGTAGGAAGGAGGAAAAAGGTTTATATGGAACAAGGCTAAGTTCAGGAAGCCAAGGTCAGGGAGACAGGCTTACCCTAAAGTTCCTTGAGGGCAGGGATTGTGTCTTATCACGTTAGTATCTCAGGAGGCTGTCAGTCTTAGCATAGTTGAATGAAGCAGGAAAGTGAAGAGAGAACATTTGAGACTCTGAATGGATGAAAAGAAGCACCAAGAATATATAGCAGTCATGATCTCTGATGTGCTTGACAACAAAGTCTCTATGGACTCTGGAGCGTTTGGGATCCTGTGTGCTTTGGGCTCCTGGGTCCTGAGCAGACCCAGCCACTGCTCTCTGAGCTGGGTCTGTTTTCTGCTTGAAAGGGACAAAAGGCTAGAAGCTACTAATGAATTGTGCTGGGCCCTGAAGAAAGAAATGACTATCCATTTATATTTGTGTTATGAATGTAAACCATTGCTTAAACAAGGCAGTGTCTCTGTCCATGGGTTTATACATTATACATTAAGCTCATCCTTAATCCGATGGAACTTATGGAATCCAGCAGCAGCTAGAAACTCTCAGCAGTCCATCACTTTAGCTGTACCCCTTGTTCTACTCCAAGTGCAAGAAAAATCTAAGCTTTTTACCCACATGAGTGTAGGAAGAGGGAAGACAGGGTTCTGTATAACTCTTCCTCTCCCTGTGAGACCTGCAGTGCCTTCCTGTAAGAGGCTGCAGTGTCTTAGGACACAGAGTTTCTGGTCTGAGACTCTGAGAGAAGCCCAAGATTCCTTCCTAGGACAGCTGTTTTATGGAGATGGTTTAAAATCTGAGGAGACTAAGGCTTGACGTATCTTAAAGCCAGAAGCATTTGCCTCATAGGACCCCCTAGGGTCCCTTTGTAAAAGGTGAGCCTGAACCCCCATTTCCCAGGGCCAGATTGCATCATCTCCACAAGTAGCTCACCCTTAGATAGTACCTACTCTGTGCCAGCCACTATGCTAAGCAATTCACATATACTGACTCTCTGATCATCACAACAGCCCTAAGAGATAGTTACTCATGTCACTGCCATTTTACAGCGGATGAAACTGTTGCACAGAGAGGTCACCTGGCCTGCCCAAGTGCACACAGCAAGTTTAGGGGGAAGCATACTTCAGTAAGGATCTCAAAATTTACATTCTAGACCCTCATATTAGGAAAAAGGCATAAGAGTTCAAAGTTGACCTGAAAAGCCATAGCCCATGAATGCCAATCAAGGCCTCCTTGGCTGAGATTTTGAGGACCAAAGGAGGGAAAGGAAGCTCTTAGGGGCTGGGGTGTTCCCTTCTTGGAAGCACCCAAAGGCTTCTCTCTGTCAAAGCCCCAACTCACCGATACATGTGTGATACTTCCCAGGCTGCAAGCACATTTCTTTCCTCGATGGGTTCTTACAAGCACCCTAAGAAGGACGGGGAGAAGCAGCACCGTTTACAGGTGAGGTCACAAGGAACTTAGCACAGGGCTTGCCACATCATTGGGACTCAATTCTTATTTGTCAAATGAATTACTGAATGACTAGATATTTGGATGGATGGATGGAGGGATGCATTTCTGGAGGGATGGCTGAGTGACAGGAGAGTGGACTTGTGCTTCCGTGTCGGGATGCACAGACGGTGTCGGCTTCCTACACTGAAATCATATGAACTCTGGCCAAGCCCTGGCTCCACTGAGAGCCTGAACTCAACTCCCAAGACCATTATTTGAAGTCCCCTCATCCTATGCCTGCCCTGTAAGTCCCCATGCTCCACGGAGTCAGGGCAGAAGCAAGCACTTCACAGACAGGGAAAGGGGACTGGGCCTTGGGTGGGTGGGGATGAGGCCACCATCTCCTGTCCTCTGCTCTGACAGGTCCCGCTGTTCCTTGGAGAGGCCTGCCATTCCTTCCTGGGGGAAGAGTGCCCTATCCCTTCTCTCCAGTGGATTATCAGTGGCGGTTCCTCCACTATTTATAGCCTGCCGCCTCTCTGCCCCACTCTGGCCCGGCTGGGAAGTGAGCACCACAACCTCTGATCGGATTTCTCTTTTCTGGGTTTGAGCTTACACGGAAGTACAGCATCCTCAGAGGCCACAGCTTCTGAGCCTCACGGGTGCCTGATCAATGCTCCTACTTTTAGCTGAAGGTTGGAACCAATTAACCGTGTTAGCCTCTGCCTCTGAGGGCTGTGTCTGCAGGTGTGGCTGGGGCCTGCCAGGGTTACGGCCCTGCAGCCTCAGCTCACCATGTCTTGGCGGTCAGAGCCAGCTGCCACACTGCTCACACCACCTCTAGGTGGAAACTGGGGCCCAGACCTGGGCCTGGGTACAGCTGGAATGTCACCTGCGCGTTCTAGCAGCCTGTTCCTGAGTCCTGCCTCCTGTGCCTGTGGCCAGGCTGCCCTGTCTCCATCCCCAGAGGAGGCAGCCCAGCAGCCCACCTCCCTCCAGCCAGTCACAGCTCTGAAGAGGTGGGATGGAGGAAGAATAGTTACAATGGGTGGTCCCGAAGTCCAGAGGCGAAGGGTTCAGCTCCCCTGTTCTTGTGTCTTTACCAGGGGATGGAGGCTTCCCTGGGTGAATGTGAAGTGTCTGCCCATTCAGTCTCCTCACTCATCTTTGGTGAAGATCTTAGAAAGCAAGTCAGAGAGGAGAGGGAGGGTGGGTCAGTGCCAAGCAATTCACATTGGCTTTTGGCCCCATGCTAGACCCTCTGAGGGGTGAAGGGATAGGAAAGTGAGTGAAACATGTTGGTCTTTTACGGGCCCCAGGCCATGGAGATGACAGCCACACTTAGATCTCAGTGATGCATGGCAGACGCTATTCTCTAACAGGACTCCAAAAGTGCCACCAGGAAGAAGGAGTGAAATTTTAACTGGGGGAGTGGGTGAGGGGGCCTGAGGATGAAGGCTGAGCTTGAGGAAGTGAACACGGAGCTAGGGTGGCCCAGGCAGAGGGTCATCTCCAGATGAGCATGGTGGCAGGAGAGACAGAGCACCTTTGGGAAGCAGGAAGTGGTCTGCTGAGGGTATGGCATGCAGAGTGGGACAGGAGTTCTTAGGGGCAGCAAGGCAGGTCGCTAGGTAGAAAGGAGGCTGAGGCCAGGGAAAGGAGCTTGGGTCTTTTTTTTTGGCAATGGGGAGCTATTGATGGTTTGGGGCAGGAGCTTAATGGACCATGTTTCAGGAAGAATCTTTTGGTGTTCTGTGTGTTCATGTGTGTGTGTAAAACTTTGCTGAGAAAGACAACATTTCACAAATAAGGATCCATCCCTCCCAAGTGCATTCTCAAAGATGGCCTAGAAGAATGGAAAATCTTGGTATTACCTGTAGTTTCTCCTGGGGACACCAAAAACTTCTTTGGTAGTTTTCAGCTCTTGCCTTCATGTCCTTTGTCCTCCTCTCCCTGGGGACCCCCATATTATGGAGGGAAGTGCTAGCCTGGAGGCCCGGTGGTGGAGGTATCTGTCATCTGGCCTCCCTCTCTTGCCATCGCTCCCTTCCTGAGTTTGTGCAGGGGAGGAAGGCGCTGGGATGCTGCCTGTCAAATATCTCTGCAGGTGAGGAGCTGTGCACAGCATTCATCTCAGGAGCAATTTAGACCTCCAGGTCTCATCAGGAAGGAGGGGTATGAACCGGGCTTCTTGAGGTCGCTATGGTAACCAGTTACAGTCTTAGCTGATGGCAGGGAGGGAGTTGGGAGTCAGGGGCTGAGTCACCCTGAGGGGGAGGCTGTCCCTGGGTGGGTGGGGGGGATTCAGGTCAGACAGAGGGAGGGGCTGCTGACAGCAGCGTAACCCTTTGACATCCAGAGCTGCTCCTGAAGGAGGGCTGTCTAACTCGGGGATTGTCACATGTGTATAGGTTTGAAGTCCACGCCCAGAGGACCGGGGTTGTGCACCTTTGTCATTTCAGGTGCCTGGGGACAGGTATAACAGAGGAGATGGGAACAGGAGAAATAGATGGGCTCTCAGAATCCCTCTCAACCTGGCCTCAGCCAGCTTTCCTCCTCTCTGAGCACAAGCTACACCCCAGCACCCACTGTCATCTCAGGATCCGGGGATCCAGCCCCACAAAACTGCTTCCTGGACCAGGAGGAACCAGGCCCTCTATTCCTATGGGCACCTACTGGTGCCTCTGACTGATGTGGTTTTTCTTCTTCTGGGAACCTCAGCCCGTCCTCAGGACCCAGGTCAAATGCCTGCCCCTCTCGTGTTTCCCAGCACCCCTCCCTGCCCTCTCCCAGGGCACTGCCACATGGATCAAGTGAGGCTCTGTGTGGGTGTCTCTGATGCCCACCATAATGTCAGCCCCTCTCGAGCAGGCCCAGGGTCTCTGAGTGCCGGAACCCAGCCACAGGCAGCTGCAACAGGCTCAGCAGATGCTTGAAAGAATGAACAAATGTCGTGTTACTTGCAGGCAACCTTGCAGCCCTGGAGCTGCGCTCAAACTGCCTGCAGCCAGCACTTGAGTTTCCAGGCTAAGCTGCCGTTGTGGTTAGTTCCAGGGATTTAAAGCACTTTACAGTTTGCCCGGCGTAAGCAGCTGAAAACCTGCAGCTTCGTGTCTATTGAGGAGGTTGCCAAAGCCTGGGTACTGTCCTGGCCAGCCTGGGGTCCGGGTTGTCCCTTCAGGACATATACCTATATCTATACGCATATCCATCCATCTACCTCCTATCTACCCACTGCCTACCTATCTGTGGCCTATCTATACGTGTTACAATGTTATATATCATCTCTATCTATCTCTGTCATCTATATGTATCTATCATCTATGCCTTTTTATCATCTATAACTATCATCTTTATCCAACCATCTATCATCCACATCGTATCAATCATCCATCTGTCTATGATCTATCCATATGTATCTATCCATATGTATGCAAATCTCTACCATCTACATCTTTCATCTTATCAGTCTATCTAATCTATCCGTCTAATCTCTATCTAATCTCTCTAATCTATCTCTAACCTGTCTGTCTATCTAAAGGAAAGGTGACTTGCTCGCTGAAGATCTGGGTGGTGGAGGGTCTCCGAGGAGGTGAAATTGAGGAGGGAACTGGAAAAACAGAAGAGGAGAGGCCTTTTGGGCTCGGCTGGCCCGAGAGAGAAGAGTGGTGGGGGAGCAAGGACGCGCCGGCTCAGAGCGGGGCAAGGAGGGGTTGGGGAGCAAGCGCAGGCCAGGACGCTCCCCAGTGCTGGCCGCGGAGGCAGAGGCGGAGGCGGGGCCGGGGGCCTGGGGCGTCGTCATCCGTGGCAGTGACGAGGAGGCGGGGCCTTGGAACGCCCCCTACCGAGGGCCCGCGCTGCAGCCAGCCGGAGGGCGGCGCTGTCGGGGCGCGGACGGGGACTTCCGGGTGGCAGCCAGGCAGGGATGGTGGGAGGGAAGGCGTGGGCGAAGGCGCTACCCGCTTTGAAGCAGAGGGCTCAGGATCTAGCTTGTTGTCTGCGCCTCGAGAGACCCCGCCCCCAGACCTGCGCTACTCCCGCTGCGTCCGGTGGCACTAGGACCCCGAGTCCCCGGCGTCCCCGCGGCGCACACTCCCCCAGGGTCCTCAGCACCGCACGCCAAGTCGCCCGCAGCCGTCGCGCTGCCTCGCGGCGCGGAGCCCAGACCCTCCCCATCCAGGGCGCGGGGCAGAGGGACGCAGAGGCCCCCGGCCAACCTCCGCGTCAGGGTGCGGGGAGGAAGGTCCCGCCGGGGGACGGGGCTTTTAGTCCAGCTGGCCGCCCTCTCCCACCGTCGGGCTGTGCCAGGGGAGCTGCACCCCCACGGTGGGATGCGAGGGGGCCACAGAGCGGAGCGCCGCAGGGAAGGACTGGCGAGCTCGGGGCTTGTGGGGGCGCAGTGGAAGAGGGCAGGGATCGCCGACGGTGCGGGGCGTTACCGGGGGTCTGCTGACCAAACCGAGCCGGATCGTCTGAGCCCTGCTGCCCGCCCTCATGGAGCCCGCCTGCAGCCGAGTCCGCAGGAGTCGGGACTTTGGACAGAGGCGTGGGTCTGAGCTGGCACCGCCGCCCACCTTTGGGGCGCCTCGGGCACAGCACTTCCCCGGCGAGCCTCAGCGTCCTCCGCGGACTGCTCTAGATACGCCGAGCCCACCCTCAATTCCTCTCGGTTTCCCTCCTTCCCCTCCCACTTCTCACCTTAATCTCACTCCCTTCCTGTCTTACCCCGAGCCCGCCCCCGGCTTTCTCTGCTCCCTCGCTCCTTCTGGTTCTGAGCTCAACCAGTCTTTGGAGGGCCTGGGGGGCGCTGGGTCCCGACCGCAGCCAGCCCCGCTTCTTGCCTGAGGCCGGAGAAGCCCAGAGCCCCCTGGCTTCAGACACTCATCCCCTCGGTCAGACCTGGCCGGCTTTCTCTGCCAGCGTCCCCCTCTCCTCCCTCTTCCCCTAACTCTCTTCAGAGTCCCTCCCCGAGGTGGGGGTGGGGGGTGGTTTCTAGCAGATGTGGGAGTTCCGGGCAAAGAAGCCTCCAGTGCGTTTAGACACGTCCTTGTTGCTATAAATATTCTCCTTCCCCTAAACCTTTCCTAAATAATCTCAAAAATCTGGACCGAAAAAAAAAATTAATCCCTCTTTCCAGAGAGTTGGGCATCCCGGATGTGCTCAGAAGAGTAAAAATAAAAGTGCAGCATGAGAGGATTTCAGAGTAATGCTAAGGAAGTTGAAATTGGAACTAAAAGAATTTGGGTTACTTAAAAAAAAAAAAAGTGCAGCTCACAGCATTTCCCGAGTGAACACGGCCAGATGCAGGGCACCCATATCACGCGATCAGAGGCGCCCCCAAGCGCCTCCTCCCAACCCAGGTCCCGGCTTCCCTGATCGTAGATGAGTTTTGTCTGTTCTGGGAATCTGAGGGAACAGAATCATCAGTCCCTGTCCTCTCACGTCTGCTTCTTCGGCTCAGCATCTTGTTGGCAAGTTCCATCTGCGTTTTGCCTGTGGCTGAAGATGATTTGGAATTTGGATAACCTTCTGATGAAGACATAGCTTTTCTCTCTGAGACAGTGGAGGGGCAGCAGTGTGGGTCCATCTTGTCTTGGATTCATGTTTTTCATTATTAATTTTGGATTCAGGGGGTACGCGTGCAGGTTTGTTACATGGGTATGTTGCGGGATGCTGAGGTTTGGGGACCCGGAGGTCCCAAAAGGGCTTTTTCTCACGGTCTTCTGGGTCTTATGACTAACAGAGGATCCACGCTGCTACCCATGAGGCAAAGGCTTTGCCCCATATCTGTGTTGAGTGATCCTCAATCATGGGACCTACATTTTGTTAGCAAATTGCCTTTCCTTTCCCCCAGGGAAGACTTTGAGCTGAGACTAAACCTGGGAAGGTGCTGCTGAAAAGCTGTTGGGGGAACCTGCCTGCACCTCCTGGCCTCCAGGAGGGAACCCATAGGAAAGGGGAGGCTCCAACCTTACTGGAAGTGTTTGCAGGGCCTGTTGTGTAATTAGTGTCCTTGGGGAGCCCGCAGGGGGTTTTCCTGCCTTTACGGAAGGATCATTCACAGGCCAGCACAGGTTAATAGTTTTCCTTTAGAAACTTTCCTTTTGTGGTTGGTCCTGTGCCTGCTTTTGAAAATCTGGTCATTTTTAAAACAGTTTTTCCAGAAGGGGCGCTAAGGGCCGCTACACTCCTTTGGAGTCTTTTCTTCCTCACACATAATAAAGATTGAGATTACATAGGGAGGATGAATGCTTAGGGGCTCTGAAAATATGGATTATGCAAATGAGCTATTTAAGGACCTTTAAAAATGCTGACCCGGTACCAGAGTATTTACTGGCTGTTAAAAAATGTGGATTGTCTAAATGGGCATTTGGGGACCTTTAAACACAGATTATGATGGATCTAGAGAGCCTAACAAATCCCTTCTGGCCCGTTAGGCCTGTCTGCCGTGCGAGTAAAGGCACGTTTGGACAAAGCTGACTTTTTAACGCAGTGACTGGGAATGGATTTGGGTCTGTCCTGCGGGCCTGGATGTTGGTGGCTTCACAGGGACCCTCCCATGAGGGGCTCCGGTACAGGTGGGCTGGAAGGCAGGGCCGTGGTCAGGATGACTCAAGAGGTCCCAGGACTTCACACAGCAAATTCCTTCTGTGTAAGGAACCCTGCTGAAGTAGGTTTTGACTTTTGTTTAATTCATTCTGCCAAACATGGGTGGGGAATTGGTATAAACATGAAGGTGCTGGTTTCCAAACCAGCTAGGGGAGGCCCTCCCATCCCCGCTAATTCTAGGAGCACTCAATTAATGGATGGGGACATTCCCACCAGCAACACAGATCCGGGGCCAGATCTAGGCACTGCAATTTTTAAAAAGGGGGCGTATTATATTATGTGTCTCAATGAATTTGTGGCAACAAATTGCTGGCACAAAGACAGTTAAGTCCTTTGCCATCTGGAACCCACCTCTGCCAGGCTGACCCAGACAGAGTCCCTAGAGGCAGCTGGGGAAACCTAACACATATCTCAAATAAACATGAGAGCCGGCATCCTGAAGCTTCACCTCTGTGGCCCTCAGGGTTCATGTTCTTAGATCTCACTTTGTGATGGGCTAAAGTAAACCTTCCTCCTGTCTCTCCTCTCCTCTCCTTAAAGGAGAAACCTTTAGAAAACCACATGGTGGTGAAGGTCAGCCTCCTCAGCCTCATCTTAGAGACCATGGGCAAGTCCTTCAACCTGTCCAAGCCATGGTGCCCTTGTCTGTACAATGAAGATATAGATGGTATCTGCTCTTAGGGTCACTATGAGGATTAAATGCCTCATGGTGTTAAGGGCTTAATACATGTTAGCTTGGAAACTCCTGTTCTCATTTGAGCTTGGCACCCAACCTGCTGTGTGACCTTGGGAAATTCACTTCCCCTCCCTGGGCCTCGTTTCATCTTCAAGCCGAAGGATAAGGCATGTCTACAGGCAACTATCTTGTTAGAGCTCTCATGACTCTTACATGCCAAGATACTACAACTTGGCAAGACACCACCTTTTTCCTTGGGGTATCTGGGATGTCAGCAAGGCATTGGACGAAAAGTGTCCTGAAAGTGCAGAAGCTTGTTAGAATGGAGTTGCATTTATTATGGCCATTGATTAGACATGGCCTGACATGGGATAAAATGTATTAGTTTGTGGCAGTTAATGAGCTGTTAGTGTACTTCTGGATGTGTTACATCGGGGCCAGGATGAATCCAAAGAAAAGATTAAAACAAGATTAGCCCAGAAAAAAGGAGGGGATGCAGATTGGAGGAAAAGGAGAGGACAGTGGAGGGGGCCTGCAAGCTAGGGGGAGGTGAGGGGGGCACTTTTTCTATAGTTTACATTTCCCAGCTCTTTTCCTCCCCCATGGTACTGGAAATGTCTGGGTAGACTAGGGATGTAGCCAGGGACTGCTGTCGATGGTGATGGTGATGGTGATGATAATAGCAGCCGTAACAACTACACTCACAATGATAGATACTAACAGTTATTGAACTCCTGCCACATGCAAATGGTGTTATGAACACTTTACATGTATTAACTCATTCAGTTTTTCTTAAGATATAGGTGCTGTCATTATCCCCATTTTACAAATAAGAAATGGAGAGCCAGAAAGGTTAGGTAACTTGCCAGGTTAAATTTATCTGCATAGCAGTTCCCTAGCAGCTGAGGTCCCAAAGGGGCTTGGGGGTTCATTACTGCCCCTTCTGTCCCCATGCTGGCTGTCAGGGCTGGGGAGTGGGGTGGGGTCCTGTGACCTGAATGACAGATGAGTGGTAGCTTCTGCAGTGCTGGCCCTGGGCACAGTTGAGGTAGGCGGACTCCTCCATCTGCTTAGATGGGGACTGCGAGGCCCTGCCTGTTGTGTCCCAAATTCTCCTCTTCAGAGTCCTTAGTGGGGCTGAGAATAGCTCAGGGCTCCTGTCACAGACATGTGGACACCCCACCTGTGGAAGCATTTTGGCTCATTTGTTCCCTGCCACCTCCTGCACCATCTCCAAGCTTGTGGCTTCCAGCAGGTGCACACCTGAGCTGCCACACTGCACTGGCCTCCCTCCCTCATGCTATCCCCCTCCCCAGTGCCATGTGCTGCCCTGCAGTGGACCCAGAAGCAAGTCCCAGCTCTTAGCTCAATGGCTTCTGCCTGAAATATTCTTCTCCTGTCACTCCCACAACCAGTTCCCTTCCTCCTTCAGCTCTTTACTCAAACATCTTTTGAGGCCTTCCCGCATCGCAGCCTCTGTCCCCAGGCATTCCCTGTCCCTTTCCCTGCTCTATCCTTCTCTGCAACACTTATTGCCATCTCTATTACTTACCTATTTGTTTGCTGTCTCTTTCGTGTTAGATTAAGTTCCACATAGCCAGAGGTTTTTGTCCTGTTTCTTCTCTGCTGTTTTCTTAGTGTCTGGAATAGACCTGGCACTTAGAAGAAACTCTGTAAATATTTGTTGAATGAATGAATGAACAAATAAAAAATGAAGGAAAATGTTCAGGACCCTCCTCAGCCTGGTGCTCACCTGCTTTCCAGCCTCGTCCGCTGTGTACCTGTGCCCTTCTGGTGACAGCCTATCCACTCTGTCACTGCAGAGCAGGATGCCACCTCCCCCGGGAAGCCTTGCTGGCCACCCCAAGAAGGGCTTCCTTTCTGGTGGTTCCTGTGCCTCTCCTGCGTGCTGTGTGATGGCACTGTTGTCACTGTATTGTTGAAATGGTTGTTTCTGTGCTAGTCCATTCCTGTAGGTGGGGACTCCTTGAAGCAGGGACAGTGATGTAGGGAAAGGAGCATGAGTTTGGAGCCAAGTTCAAATCCCAGCTCTGCTGATGACTGCTGTAGGACTTCAGGCAAGTTACTGAGCTGGCCCAAGCCTCAGCTTTCTCATCTGTTAAACAGGGATAATAATAATCTTGACTGATTGGGTTGCTGAGAGATGCGGAGACAATGTATACAGTGTGCTCAGCAAAATACCTGGCATAGAGAAGGCGGTCCTGGCCCTGGGCACAGTTGACATAACCAGCGGTCACATGAGTGAAAAGGAGACACATCACTCAAGCCAGTCTTCAGCCCCACTCATACCACGACTGTGGTGGGGAGCTCCGTTCTTTGCCTCTTGTGACTTCCTGGTTTAACTTTGTGTCAATGTCATGACAGGAAAAAAAAAAACGGTGGGGAGGGGCCACTGTTTTAGAAAAAAAGGTAGTAAAGAAGACTGTCAATGAAATGGAAAGCACGAATCTTGGAACTGGGGGAAAAGTTGTTTTAAAGCTATAAAAATCATTTTGTGGAAAATTACGAAATGTTGAATATTGACTGGTTGTTATTTGTTATTATAATAAATCAAAGATAGATTTCTTGGTTGGGATTTTAAAAACAAATGTCTGATGAGTGTCAGTTGTGTGCTAGGCATTGTGCTAGGGCATTGTGCCTGTGTTGCATTACTCAGTAGTCACACCAACCCATGAGGCAGGTACTGTTGTCTCATTTTATAAACAAGAAAATGAGGCTTAGAGAAGGGAAGTCATTTGCCCAAAGTCATACCACTAATAAGTGCCTGGGACCAGTTTTTACTATTACTATTATTATTGGTATGGTTTGGATTTGTGTTCCTGCCCAATTCTCATGTCAAATTGTAATTCCCAATGTTGGAAGAGGGGCCCGGTGGGAGGTTATTGGATCATGGGGGTGGACTTCCCCCTTGCCAGTCTTGTGATAGCAAGTGAGTTCTCATGAAATCTGGTTGTTTGAAAGTGTGTAGCACCTCCTGCTTCTCTCTCTTCCTCCTGTTGTGGCCATATAAGAGATGACTACTTCCTTTCACCTTTCACCTTCCACCATGATTGTAAGCTTCCTGAGGGCTCCTCAGCCTTGCTTCCTGTACAGTCTGCAGAACCAAGAGCCAATTAAACCTCTCTTCTTTATAAATTACCCATTCTCAGGTAGTTCTTTATAGCAATGTGAGAACAGACTAATACAATTATTTTATTTTTGATAAACACTTTAATTTAGAACAGTTTTAGATTTATAGAATTGTTACAAAGGTGTTACAGAGAGTTCCCCTACACTCCATACCATTTCCACTCTTAATACTTCACATTAGTGGGAAACATTTGTCAATGATTAATGAAGTAATATTGATACATTAGTGTTAATTAAAGTCCATGCTTTATTCAGATTTCCTTAGTTTTCCCTGATGTCCTTTCTTCTGTGCCAGAACACCTTCCAGGATGCCATCATGTCTCCACAGACTCCTCTAGATTCTGGTAGTTTCTCAGACTTTTCTTGTTTTTGATAAGCTTGACAGTTTTGAGTGCTGGTTAGACATTTTACAGAAGATCTGGGACCAGTTTTGAACCCAAATTTGTCTTAGTTCTAAGCTCATGCTATCTCCATCAAACCTGTAACTATTTTTTGGTTGTGTTTTGCCTTTTTTTGAGACAGGATCTCACTCTCTCACCAAGGCTGGAGTACAATGGTATGATCTCTTCTCTGCAGCCTCAACTTCCCCAGGCTCAGGTGATCCTGCCACCTCAGCCTCCCAAGTAGCTGGGACTACAGGCACACACCACCATGTCTGACTAATTTTTGTATTTTTTGTAAAGACAGGGTCTCTCCATGTTACCCAGGCCGGTCTTGAACTCCTGGGCTCAAGCAATCTGCTCACCTTGGCCTCCCAAATTGCTGGGATTACAGGTGTGAGTCACCATGCCCGGCCAAACCCTATACCTTTTCAATGAGAGGGCGAAAGAGACATGCACCACTTACACACACGGAACTTGATTGATTGATTGATTGACTATGGAATGATTAGCTAAAGATCAAGAAGCTCCAGAACAGGACCTCCCACCCCACTCCCCACACAGCTGCTGACTACCCAGGAGAGGTGTAATTTGGGGCCTGGCTTTTTGTCTGTGGTAACAACACCCCTATATGCCACTTTAGACAACAATCTAAAAGGAAAGGATCCTTCAGGTCCTTGCTCTTTCTGAGTTGGAAGACCTTTGTGCATGTCAAGAGATTTCCCTCAGCCTTGGTAGAGGGTGATGGGACCCAGGCTGTAAGAGCCCTAGCAAGCTACAGTGGTTGCAGGGCCTCATGCTCCTTGGGCGGGGGGGCCTGCAACCAATGGCATTCAGTGATATGAGCGCTTGACCGTGGCTCCATCAGGGCTCCTGGAAGCACTCAGCCCAGACATGTGTCCACCGGTGAACTCTTTGGAAAGTCTGGGGAGGCCGGGGTGGTGGTTCACACCTGTAATCCCAGCACTTTGGGAGGGCGAGGCAGGTGGATCATTTGAACCCAAGAGTTTGAGCCCAACCTGGGTAATGGGGTCATATGTACTAAAAAAAGAAAAAATTAGCCAGGCATGGTGGCATGCACCTGTGGTCCCAGCTACTTAGGAGCCTGAAATGGGAGGATGGCTTAAGCCCAGGAGTTGCAGGTTGCAGTGAGCAAAGATTGTGCCTCTGCGTTCCAGGCTGGGTGACAAAGCGAGACCCTGTCAAAAAAAAAAAAAAAAAAAAAAAAGCCTGGGGAGCCCCCTTTAGGGGATGCGTCCAGCCTGAGGAAGAGGGGAACAAAGAAGGAAAGAAGGCCTGGCTGTAGTCTGTGGACTTTTCATGCACTGCCTACCTGCCTCAGTGTCCGGGTGCTCAGGCCACCCTTGGGCCTTTTTGCATCATGTTGGAGCCAAGTGGCCAGTGAGGCTGGTGGGGTGGGATGGATTGGGGAAGACAAGCTAAAGAGATTGGGCTTCATTCTGTAGACAGCAGAAGCCACCGAGGGTATTTGAGCAGGACAGGGCATCGTGAGAGTAAAAGGAAAGAGTAAACGTGGCAGCCTTCCCCCAGGTGCACAGGTGAGGTCCTTCACTGCCTTGCCCCTGTGTGAACGCCTGAATGCTACAGTCAGAAAAAAGCAAACGCCTGCTTCCCTGTCTTCTCTCCCAGGGAGCACCCACACATCCAGGTCTCGCCCCATGCTGCTTTGCTCTGCTCTGCTCTGCCCTGCCCTCCCCCCACTCTGCCCCTGCCATCTGCTTCCAAGGGCTCAAGCTCCCTGCCTGCTTGTTGTGCACTCCCGAATTTTACCTCTCCTACCGCTAGGAAAAGATACAAGCCCAGAGAGGAGAAGGGGAGCTGCAGGAAGCCAGGGGACACCAGAGATAGACTGCAGGCACCTTGCCCTGCTGCCTCTGTTCCTCCACCCCCAACCCTTACAGCAACCAGGAGTAGGTAAGATCTGGGTAGATTTCCTTTTGCTTTTTTGTTTGTTTGTTTGTTTCCTGCCTCTTCCACCGAGTGTGCTTTGTTTTGAGAGGGAAGAGCTGACTCCTCCAGTCTGTCTTCCTCTGTGGGTCAGGCATAATCTGTGCTGCACGTGACTCATCAGTATTGATGGCGATGATGAGGAGAGATGAATGGAAACGACATTACTGGCTGTGTTTCTTCGTCCATGCGAGAGGCCGCAGTGGAGGTCTGTTGCTGTAGGCATGATTTTGGCTTTTAGGCATCAGATGATCCTTGAGACCCAGGCTTTGCTGCTGAGCGACAGAAGCTTGCACATTAGCCCCTAGTCTTGAGGCAGGGATATTGCTTAAGATGCACTTGGCTGCAAGGAACTGAATGCTGAAGAGAGGCTCAAAAACAAAGGCATTTAACTATCATACATGACAAGACACTGGAGATGGACAATGCCAAGAATGGTCTAGCCATTCCAAAGTGTTTGGATGTTGAATTCCTATCTCTATGACTCTCCTGGCCTATCCCTCATGGTCATACATTGGCTGCCACAGCTCCAAGCATCAGAACAGCATCCCAGGCTGGAGGCAAGAAGACAGATACAACAAGACTTTTTTTTGTAGCAGCTCTTTCCTCTTATTCAGGAATTAAATCCTGATCAGAAGCCAACTGGTAGGGTTCCTCTTGGGGTCCATTACCCAGAATTTGGTCTTATGTCTGTCCCTACGCTAATCATTAGTAAAGGGAAACAGGATGAACTGCTTGACTTGGACCAATCATATTCACGCCCTGAGGCTAGGGAAAGAATCTACACTCTGTGTTGCAGCTAGAATAGAGATGGGCTTCTATAAAGAAAGAGAGAGGAGGCAGCTGGTAGCTGGTAGGGTAACCTGCAGCAGCAGCCACAGGGAACTCCATATCCAGCTAGAGAGAGCCATCTGGCTTGGTCTGTAAGGTCTCCAAGGACAGAAATCCTACAAATTCTGTTTGTAATGGCCCACTTAGCTCTCTGGGTCCTCTGAGCCTTTGTACATGCTATTCCCTCTGCTTGGAACACCAAGCCTCACTGCCCTGGGCCCAGCCTGCATGTCTGCAGACACCAGCAATGCAGGGACATTGTCTTCACTCTGTGTGTACCCACAACCCTGTTCATCTACAGATGCCTTACTCTATTCCACTTGGTGGTTTACTTTTCTGTCTCTCATCAATAGAATATACATCCTCACAGGACAGAAAAAGTATGTTGGTCATTGATGTCTCCAATGACTGGCATGTCTCAGACATGCAACATACGATAAGGGATGGATAGTGACAATTGTGACCATAGGGGCAGCACACTGTTCCCTCCACCCTAATAATACCCAGGCAGAAGGCCTCCTCTCAGTGCCACATTGTCCACAGTAGGCGCTGAATGAAGGAATCAGTGTCCTACTAGGCCACTAACTGGCTCTTCTGCTTCCATTTGTTCTCTCCCCAGCTCATTTCTCACCCTACTCTCTAGTGAATCAATCACCAATTAATCTCTTATTTTTCTTTCTCTCCTCTTTAATTGAAAAATTTTTAGTCAGTCACAGTGGTTCACGCCTGTAATCGCAGCACTTTGGGAGGCCGAGGCGGGCGGATCACTTGAGGTCAGGAGTTCGAGACCAGCCTGGCCACCATGGTGAAACCCCGTCTCTACTGAAAGTACAAAAATTATCCAGGCGTGGTAGCGGGCATCTGTAATCCCAGCTACTCGGGAGGCTGAGGCACGAGAATAGTTTGCACCCAGAAGGCAGACTGTGCAGTGAGCTGAGAATGTGCCACTATGCTCTAGCCTGGGCAAAAGAGGGAGACTCCATCTCAAAAAAAAAAAAAAAAAAAAGAAAGAAAGAAAAAATATTTTTATTATATATGTCTATCATACAAACCTTGAAAACTGTAGATATGAAAAAGAGGAAAATAAAATATAATCTCAGCATTCAGAGATAGCCACTGTTTAAATTTGATTCCTATCTTATAATATTTTTGCTAGCAAATTCATATATAAAATGGGATTACAATGTGATGTATTTTTCCTTAATGAACACATCGTACCATATTTGCATGTTAATACACACTCGTATCATCATATTTCATTGTGGGAAATTATAAATAACAGAAAACTTCCCATTTTAACAATTTTTAAGTGTACAGTTCAGTGGCATTGAGTACATCCATGGTGTTGTACAACCATTACCACCGTCCATTTCCAGAACATTTTCATCTTCCCAAATGGAAACTCCATGCCCATTAAATAACTGCTCCCCATCCCACTTCCCTCCAGCCCTTCCATTGGAGATATGTATATATATATATATCTATATCTACTACAGTCACTTCTTATCCAAGATTTCACCTTATGTGGTTTTAGTTACCCAAGGTCAACCATAGTCCAAAAATATTAAATGGGAAATTCTGAAAATAAACAATACATGAGTTTTGAGTTGTGTGCCATGTTGAGCAGCATGATGAAATCTTGCGTCATTCTGCTTGGGATGTGAATCATCCCTTTGTTCCACGTATGTATGCTGGACACACTACCTGCCCTATACAATGTGACTGTATGAGAAAAAAACTTAGTATATATAGAGTTCTGTACCATCTGTGGTTTCAGGCATCCACTGAAACGTATCTCCCATGGATAAGGTTGCAGAGGGACTGTACCACATTCTGTTCTACTTTCTGTTCCTATGAATTTGACTACTCTTGGTACGTCATTTAAGTAGAATCATACAATTTCTGTCTTTATGTGATTGGCTGATTTCATTTAGCATAAGGTCTGCAAGGTTCATCCATGTTGTAGCATGGGCCAGAATTTCTTTCCTTTTTAAGGCTGAATAATGTTTCATCATGTGTGTAAACTACACGTTTATCCATTCATTGTTTGATGGACACTTAGGTTGTCTCCACCTTTTGGCTATTGTGAATAATGTTGTTGTGAACATGGATATACAATTATCTGTTTGAGTCCCTGCTTTTAATTATTTGGGATATAGCTTCAGAAGAGGAATTGCTGGCTCATAGATATAATTTTTAATAACTGCAGAGGGTTCCACTGTGGATGAGCAACAAGTTTTGTTTAACCAGCTCCCTGTTGCTGGCCTGGTAGGCAGTTGCTACTTTTTGTAAACATCAGGATAATAAACCACCTGGTCAATATATCTTTGTCCCACCGGAGCTTTATTTTTTATTTATTTATTTATTTATTTTTGAGATGGACTCTCACTGTGTCGCCTAGGCTGAAGTGCAGTGGCGTCATGATCTCGGCTCACTGCAACCTCCGCCTCCTGGGTTCAAGTGATTCTTCTGCCTCAGCCTCTTAAGTAGCTGGTATTGCAGGTGTGCGCCAACATGCCAGGTTAATTTTTGTATTTTTAGTAGAGATGAGGTTTCACCATGTTTGTCAGGCTGGTCTCGAACTCCTGACCTCATGATCCACCTGCCTCAGCCTCCCAAAGTGCTGGGATTACAGGCGTGAGCCACCACGCCCGGCCCCACAGGAGCTTTTTAACATAGACTTGAGCATTTCACTGCCCCAGCCCAAGACTCCCAGGGCTCCTCATAACTCCCAGACTTCGCTCCATCTCTGCAGCTCAGGGCTCAGTGGACAAGGTCCTCATGTTCTAGTCCTGCTGTCGCTGCTCTGCTCACTCACTCTTGTGATGCCCCAGGACCCACTACTCCACAGCCACCCGCCCTTCCTTCCCCACTCTCTGCTTTTGCACCTGCTGTCTCCTCTCCTTGAAGTATATGGCCATCCCTCTTCCCACCAGGAGAACTTGAAAGCCCTCTGGACGGTTCACCTGGACTCTTTTCTCCCTTGGGAACCTTTTGCTCTCATCACAGGCAGAATTAACCACACCCTTCTCTGTCCTCCATACATATGCCTGTTAGAGCATTTATTATGTGTTAGCATAATTATTTGTTGATGGAGACAGCTTGGAATGACAGAAAGAGGGCAGAGTCTGTAGTCCAAAAGACCTGCTCCAGAATCCCAGTTCTTACAGTTTGACTTTGAGCAGGCTGCATGGCTTCTCTGAGCCTCACTTTGCATTTGTAAAATGAAGATAATAATTCCTACTTTAAAAGGATTATTTGAGGATTAAAGACAATGTATTCCCCAGTACTTACACAGATTAGGTATAATAGTATTAGTATCAGTCTGGTAGCTATGACAGTGATGACTGACACTGGTGAAGATGGTGATGGTGGTGGTTGATGGTGATGATAGTGACTATGATTGTGGTGATGGTGATGATGTTGATGATAATTATGATAATGGTGATAATGATGACATTGTTAGTGATGTAATGACGATGATGGTAGTGATGATGGTGAGAATGGCTGTGATGATAATGATGGTGGTGGTGGTGATGGTGGTGATGATGAGGTGGTGGTGATGATGATGGTGTTGACAATGATGTTGTACTTGTTCTTCTGTTAGAACCTGATCACTACAATGCCAGGTGGTGTGCAGCTTCATCTGTGCCTCCTTGGTGTCTGACATAGAGTACGTACTCTATTATTTCAAGGCTCACCTGCTTTGGCAGGTGGTGGGTTGATGCTTCCTGAATTAACCTGGTTGGCTGAACCTTCCTTCTGAGTCCTCCCCAGTTGCAAATTTTGTGAGCTGAAGCAGGGAGTGTCCCTGACTTGGAATTGTTAGATTGGAGGTTTTTTTTTTTCAGTGGTCCCCTTAGCCAGTGACCCCCCTTCTCTGGGCTTTGGTGCCCCAACAAGGGCCTCCTATCCAACATCTGATTCAACATCATGATTTTCATTCAGAAGTGCCTTGCTCTGTAACCATACCCAGATTATTTCCACCGGTGACTTTTATATCCCATCTGGAATAAACATCAGCACCTGAGGAGGGAGACTGTGTTTATTTCCCTTCTATCTCCTTTCTGCAGTACCATCCTTAGCACTGAGCCCGCACCTTGGCTATGATGGTGGTGGAAGAAGACAATGCTTGGGGCCGTTGAACTCGCACCACCCCCTGGGCCTGGGCCATCCCATGGTTGGCGTGGTGAGAATGATGACTTGTCACGTCTGTGTCCCCCATCAGGCATATTACCAAAGGCCTTCCTGTGCTGGCTGGGAGGGTGACCAGATGGCAAAGCCCCGCCCAGCCACAGGGCTCTGGGTATGCACCACACCTTCCCCATTCCTGCTTGCTCAGTGTATCGGTTGGCTTTGATTCTTGAGTCTTTTTCTCCTGCCTTCTCCTGGAGATGAAGAGAACTGCAAACACTGTGTACTGCTGCACGCGGGCCTCCCCCAGGCCAACAGAACTGCTGGGTGAGTGCTGGCTGAGCCTTCCCCTGCAAAGGTCATGGTCCAGCCTTTCCAGGCTATGCATCTTACTTCCATTCCAGCTCTTCACATCTGATTAAAGATGAACACAGTCTTTACAATACAAGGAAAGTGTGCCATGGGATGCTTGTGGAAGTCAGAGGGGAGTGGCTTTGTGGAGGAATGGTGCTGGCCCTCTCAGGATTGGGGAGGGTGAGGCATTCACAGCAGGGTGATGCCTTTGACAAAGTGCACAGAGGCGGAAGCATTTGCACTTTCTTGGCAGGGACCTGGAAGGAGGTTTTTTGTGTGTTTTTTTTTTTTTTTTTAACTCACATGGTAACGACATGGATTTGTCTTCTTAGGGCATTTCCTAAAGGAGAAGAGAAGACTTATCTCTATAATCCCATTGGCCTGGTTAGAAAACTGAGGTCTGCTGGAAGGAAGTGCTGTGGGGAGCAACGGGTATGGTGGGGCTGGAGAGGCTGAACAGCAGAGGGACCAGGGCTCTCCAAGGTCTCTCCAGGCCACAGTGAGACCAGACCCACAGCACAGTGCCGCTTGCCCCTGACCGGCAGTGAGCTGCTGGCCTGGGCTGCTCTGCCCACTGGGAGGCTGGTAGGTTCTGAAGGAGCCAGGCAGGAAGTCCTTGTGGACTTCAGCCAGCTTCTCATTAACACATGGGGCTCTCTCTGCCCCTCTGTTCTAACTCTGCCTGAGCTTTTGCGGTGCAGCAACGGCTACAACCCTCATCTCCAGGAATGGGGGGCCCTGCTGACTCTTGGGTAGTCCAGAGGCAGGGTAAGGAGAGGCCTGCCTGGCCCAGAATTGGGATCCAAGGACTGGCTATAGGGGTAGAGAGGAGTTTTTCTTTACATGTTAGACATGTTTCTGCTCAATTGGGATAAACTCCTATCTTTGCAGAGGTAATAGTTTGAATATTCGAGAGTCTAGCTGTGGTCCCTTCCTCACTGTCAACTTCAGCTTCTATTTGAGGGTGCCTCAGAGCAGTGCATTATAAAGAGGCCATTTCTTCACTAGCTGGCCCTAAACAACATTATGAAGAGGCCATTTATTCACTAGCTGGCCCTAAACAACATTATGAAGAGGCCATTTATTCACTAGCTGGCCCTAAACAAGTTAGTTTTTAGCTTTCTGAGCCTCTGTTTCTCCATCGGAAGGGGAGTTCTTCCTTCACTGAGTTGTGGTTGAGTAGGAGGAGAAAATTTGTGTATGGCACCTAACACATAGCACGTGTTCAACCAATTTTAGGATTTGGTTTCTCACTCCCCATGTGCAAAGTCATCCAATGAGGCCAGCAATTGTTCTGCATTTTCGCTCCTAAATCCAGAGTTCATACTTGAGGTTTGTTTCAGTTGGGGGTGGTGTCCACCTTCTGAATCAGAGGAAGGGGGCAGGGGACACTTGGCTGCCAGAAAAGCAAAGGCTGAGCCAAGGAAGGGGTGTAGGCATTGGTTGATGGCTGGAGGGATATACTCTCTGGACCACGTGTCCAGAAAGTGTTCGTGGAATCTCATCTGGGAATTTCCTTTCCCGGCTATGCATCTTACTTCCATTCCGGCCCTTCACATCCAGTTAAAAACAGCCTTCTCCACCATGAGAAGATGAACTAGCAGAGAGAGCTCTCGTGTAGAATCATGAGACCCCAAAACATGTAATATGTGCCTTTATTTTTATTTATTTATTTTTGAGATAGAGTCTGGCTCTCTTGCCCAGACTGGAGTGCAGTGGTGCGATCTTGGCTCACTGCAATCTCTGCCTCCTGGGTTCAAGCAATTCTCCCACCTCAGCCTCCCGAGTAGCTGGGACTACAGGCGTGTGCCACTGTGCCTGGCTAATTTTTGCATTTTTAGTAGACGGGGGTTTCACCATGCTGGCTAGGCTGGTTTCGAGCTCTTGACGTCAAGTGATGCATCCACCTCAGTTTCCCAAAGAGCTTGGATTTCAGGCATGAGCTACCACACCTGGCCTAATATGTGTCTACTGAAGTGGAATTATGTGCTCCACGAGGAAGAAAACAACATATTATGATGCATTGCTACTTGTTTCTCCTTTGCACACCATTTCAGCCTTGCAAACTGTTTCCTCACTAGAGGACACCAGTAAGGGGCTCTTTGGCTCTCCTGTCCTGTTGCCTTCTAGCTTTGAAGGAGCTTCTAGGTTCACCACCTAGAATGAGTAGAAGGAAGACAGGACCAGGGGTGAGGAAGTCTTGGTTCTTATTCAGTATTTCTTTAATAGTCTTGGTGCCTCTGAGAGAATTCATCCCATGGGTCTGTTTCTTTGTCTTTAACATGAGTGTGTTGGCTTAGGTGTTCTTCAGCCCTCCTCAAAGTGGAGTTTTGAAGTTGTCTTCACAGATGGAATGCCATTAGCCAAACCCACAGTCTGGGAAGTCATATGGAGACCGTGAAATCAAATACCTTCCTTGCCCATATTTCTCTTAATCCTTTGTTAGTTTATAAGAAACACTGGTGCTCTCCTAGTTGGTCTTAACTCTTGGCATGTGGGGAGATGCCTTCTTGACCCTGCCCCATGATTTGCATCATGGCCTGGAGCTGAGCATCTCATGCTGTCCCGAGTCACCTGCATCAACCCAACGGCATACAGAATAAGGCTCATTTCCTGATTCTTTTTATGCTACCTCCTTGTTTGGTCACATCTGCAGAACATCCTTTGTTGGAACTTTTATTTTGGTAGCTTGGTCACATCTGCAGAACATCCTTTTTTAGAACTTTTATTTTGGTTCTATAAAACCAATATATGGGAGGAGAGGATACTCCCTTCACCATAGCATTGACCAAACCCTTCTTTTCTGAAACTAGAATCTGGTGATCAGTGATTTATTTCTTGAAAAAATTTCTTCTGAAGATAAAGAAGTATATATAAAAAGAAAACTCTCACTAGTAAGTCCACTATCCAGAAACCGTCTGTCAACATTTTGCCTCATTTTATTGTAGCATTTTCATTCACATTAATGAGAACATATTCTAAATACAATTTGTATCCTGAATTTTTCTTTCAACACCATATTATGTGCATCTCCTTAGCCAACAGAATAGAATTGGAATGCCTGTGCAGTATTTTCATGCAAGAGGTGAATCATAACAGTCATTTCCTTAATGTTGGATATACAACTTGTTGCCACTTTCTCAATGGGCATAAATAATCCCACGATTGAGCCCTTCACACACATAGTGGGTCCTTAGGACTGAAATCCCTGTCCTGATATTAATGCATGCTTGATGGATTTGAAAGAATAAGGCAGCTAGACCTAGGAGGGAGAAGAAAACAAACGTTTTTGTAAGAATTTCTGTTTTCTTCCAAGCATTGAGAGGAGGGTACTTGGTCCTTTATGTTGACCCTCAGAACAATCACTGGAGCTAGGTTTTCCTGATGGGAATCTGAGACTTGGAGAGATTCAGGGGTTTGATTCTCAGGCTACACAGTTGGTCGACAGCTGTTTCAGGATTCCATCCTGGGTATATTGGGCTGCATAATTTTCTTCTCCCTTGCTGCCATGCTGCTTGGAGGCAGAAGGAACAGAATCTGTGGGATCTGGGACTGGTTGTAGGGAGCTAGTGAGTCCACCACCAAAAGGGGGTGGTCAGGTTTCAGGGGTAGGGGTGCTTCTCTGCAGAGAGCCCAGCGGAAATGGAGCTGGCTGGGAGAAGTGGAGGCAGTGAGTGTCCTAGCTGGGTGACCTGGAGAGAGCCAATCCCCTGGGGCTCAAGGCTGTCAGCCAAGGTTTGCAGCCTGCTCTGCTGGAGACAGAACCCAGGTCTCTGCCTCATCAGCTGCTGCTCTTGTCCACGCTTTGCTCTACCACTCCTAATAAATCTGAATCAAATTTTCTTGACATTATACTCATAAATTTGAAGTGGAGCTCTTACCAGGCCTGTCAGTAAGATGGAGAAGGGAGAGTGAGAAGGAGAGGTGAATTCTAGGAATTTGGGCTATTTTTAAACGCAGACTCGTTATTCTAGGGCTTGCAGGTCACTAGTACCAGAGAAGAATTCTGCAGATGTGACAGCTGGTGTTAAAACAATTAGGTTCAAAATGACAACTAAGAGGTGTGTGTGTGTGTGTATGTGTGTGTGTGTGTGTAGCCACTCCTTCTCTTTCTTCTCCTTATATTGTTGGGGAGCTTGCTTGGGAATGCCTTGTGCAAGGCTAGCTGTCTCAGTGGGAGAAGGGGTGATCTTAGAAGTGAGTGCTGGACGCTCTCTGGCGGGGGAAGCTGGCGAATCTTAGAAGTGAGTGCTGGACCCTCTCTGGGGTGAGCTGGTGACCCCCAATCCCCTGTTGTCCTGCTGCACGCATAGGTGTCTCTTCAGACCTGTTGCCTCTCCTCTGTGGCTTCAGCCTTCTCTTCTGTAAAATACAGAGTGGGGTTAGAATCTTTGTAAATTCCTCTTCAGCTATGGGAAGCATCCTGTGATTGAGACTGCAGGTGTCTCTCAGCATGCTATTTTAAGGTCAAGTTGCTTTCTTGCCTTCCCCCTCTGGCCCCGGTTGTGCCTGACATTCTAGTCCACAGTTCCAGGCAGCGCTGCTTGTGAACGTGGAGTCTCTGGGAGGGATGGGAGACAGCTTTGTTTAGCTCCTGCTCCTTCCTTGTCTTCATCATTCTTCATTATCTGGACCCAATCCCCCTAGTAGTTTTAGTTGCCAGCACCTCCCACTTTAGCCTCATTGCATTTCCACACCCTCATTGCATTTCCACACGCCTCCTGCAGAGGCTCATGACTCTAGGCTGTGCCCTGGCACATTCTCTCCCCTGGAATGGCCTCCTCTCCATAACCCTCATCTCATTTGTAAGGAGAAACTCTGTACATGCATCTTAATCATTTTTTCCTATGGCTATCTCACCAGCTAGAATAAGGCAGGGTCTGTGGAATGCTCTGAGGGGGCTGAGCTCAGACCGCCACCCCTGCTCTCTGGGTTTACATCCTGGCTGCCCTATTTGTTGGCTATGTAGCCTTGGACAGCATTTGTACCCCATCTCCCCAATCTGTACAATGGAAATAGTAACAGTGGTCACCTCAAGAGGTTGTTCTGAGGATTAAAGGAGTTAAAACAGGTCAAGTTCTTGGAGCACAGAAAAAAACAGGTATGTATAAGGTGTGTTGTTGGGCTGAGCATGGTGGCTGGCATGAACTTGGTGCTCTGTGTGTCTTTGCTAGGTGGGGTCATTTATAATAAAGCATACATAAAAGCTACGAAGGTTGTACTGATGATGGAGTTTGAGAAAAGAAATAATGAGGACACTGAATGACCTTGTTGGAAAGAAGGTGCAGACGATGAGAAAGGTTGTGGCGTACATGTGTGTGTGTTTGTTGATGTGGGAGAGGGGCAGAGTTAAAAGCAGACATTTGTTGTTATTTTATTTTATTTTTTAAATAAACGCAGGGTCTCTCTCTATTGCCCAGGCTGGAGTGCAGTGGAGCCATCATAGCTCACTGCAGCCCTAGACTCCTGGGCTCAAAGCCATCCTCCTGCCTCACCCTCCTGAGCTGCTGGGACTATAGGCATGTGCCACTATGTTGCTTAGGTAGGTCTCAAACTCTTAGCCTCCAGTGATCCTCCCACCTTGGCCCCTCAAAGTGCTAGGATTACAGGCATGAACCACCATGCCGAGCCCAGACTTTTCTTGTTAGTGTCTTCTTTCCCTAAAGCCAGCCCCTTTTTTATGGACCAGAACAGTCTTCACCCAACACACCCATCCCTTACCCCTGCCCCTCACATATATTCCCATTTACGCCACTTGTAGATACAGCAGACAAAAACCTAAGAGATTGGAGCTGGGGGTGTATGGTGTTCTGTTCTTCAAAGAGGAAAATTGCAGAGAAAACCTGTAATTGGGAAAATTTTCTTTCTTGCTCTTAGCAGTATAGAGATGTGCTCTGGTCCTTCTCACTTAACTTCTGCTGCATCCAAAGAAGGTAAGAAAAAAAGCAGAGCATATAAAAGCAACTGAAAGCTTTCCCTCAAATTACCTGGGAGCAGTAACAAAATATTGTCAGCAGCGGCAGAAATTACTGAAGAAGGAGGAGAGGGCCCGCCAGAGCTTTTGACACCAGCTCACATGCAGCTGAGGGGGCCCACTGTTCCACACACCCCCAGGAGCACCTCTTAGTAGAAGTAAAAAAATCACAGTGGGTTACAGTGCAATATTTTGGTCAATTTCTATGAGAAAGATTATTGACCTGAGAAGTTGGTAACAGATAATGATTACTGAAGAAAAGTATTTCATTTTATAAGCATTGCTGTCTTTAAAATCCCTCTCTCCATTTATATCTATATGAATCTGTAGTGTAGAATTCCAGATCCTTGGTTGTGAAAGGCGTTATAGAGAGGATCTATTTAAATCCCTTTATATCATGTAAACAAGGAAATGGAGGCCCAACAAGAGGTGGCTTGCCCAAGGTCACGGGCCAGTATAAGTTGCAAGCCATTCGTCTGATTCAACTACAGGTGCTCAGGCCTCATCTCACCATGATGGTGTTCACCAAAGCGGAAGGATTGCCCTCTCACATTTGCAGCCTCTGGCCTGGAAGAGTCTCCTTTTCCTCCATTTACTTCACCCTCTGGCCAGGTGCAGCCTTCATCGTAGGCAGCTTTCCTGATTTCTAGTTCAGCCTTGAAAATTAATGCCCTCAATTTTTTTTTTTTTTTTTGGTGGGGAGATAGGGTCTCACTCTGTCACCCAGACTGGAGTGCAGTGGCATGATCACAGTTTACTGCAGCCTCAACCTCCCAGGCTCAAGTGATTCTCCTACCTCAGCTTCCCAAGTAGCTGGGACCACAGGCATGTGCCACCATGCCTGGCTAATTTATATATATATATGTGTGTGTGTATATGTGTGTGTGTATATATATATATGATATAGGGTTTTATATGTATTATATATAATATATATATTAGATATAGGGTTATAGTAGATATAGTAAATATAGTAGATATATATATCTACTATATATATCATATACATATATCATATATAACGTATATATATATGTGATATAGGGTTTCATCATGTAGTCCAGGCTGGTCCTGAACTCCTGGGTTCAAGTGATCCACCTGCTTCAGTCTCCTAAAGCACTGGGATTATAGGTGTGAGCCACCATGCCCAGCCGACACCCCAAATTTAACAGCTCACAAATGGATTTTTCCTATCTCCTGCCTCTTACCGGCATACACTGATAGATAGTAAAGGCAAAAATGCTCTCGTCTATACATCCTGTGTGATCATGAATCATTAAGGCTTTTTGCAATGTTGACCTAGCCTGAGTCTCGCTAGCTGCAGGGCCTTCTCAGACAATGCTGTTCGTACAAGGAGGCCCCACCATAGACGGGTGAATGTGACACAGGGCTTGAGCTCATCTCTCTTTGTGTGGCCTTGGCTAAGATGGGACTTGTGACACTGGAAGTGTGTTTTCTGTGTATCCCCGTCTTCTCTTCCCCCATCCACATGTTTTTGCTGTCCCACCCACTGCTGTCCTTTTTCTGGGCTAAAATTTAGGGGGAGGCCTCATGAGCTTTGGAATTTGATTTTTATTTGCATTCTGGCTGTATTGTTAATTAGTTCCATAACTCAGACAAATTGCTAAAGTCCTGAGTTAGTTTCCTCATCGATAAAATGGGTCTTTTTTTTCTTCCATAGCTGTTCTGCTGATTAAATGGAGTAAGAAGCAGATAAGTGGAGAGTACACATTCAATGCACATTAGTTTCTTAAGGCTCGGAGACACCTGAGTGTGGAAATAACACACAGGTTACTCCCAACTCTGATCATGGACTCTGGTTCCCAGATTTGATTCTTAGAGCAGATGTGACCATGTGGGGACCAGGCATGAGGACAGGCGCCTTGCAGAGCCCACCTCTGCCCTTCCTCTGGCAAAGAATCTTGCTGCTGGTCTGCCACTCACCCTGCATTTTGAGAAGCTGGAACTCCACAGACCTAAGCCCAAGCCCTCCAGCGCTGCATGGGGGGTGTCACATCCAGAGGATGCAGCTGAGTGCCATCCCCAGGAGAGGGGCCTAGAGCCAGGCTGGGGGAGCTGGCTTAGCCGAGGCTGACTCTGAAGACAGTGCAGCAACTCAAAATGAGAGGGTCTGAAGGTGCACGAAAAGCTCAGGGTGGATTCAGATTGGTGGCAATTTCTCCAGGGTTTAGTTCTTAGGAGCCCCCTGGCAGGATGACAGTGGGAAACCCAATTGCATGGTGGGTTCTTTGCAGGGAGGACTTCAGCTATCAGTTAGAGGTTGGGGAACCATGTTCAGGGGGTGGCAAGACTTTCAGGGGCCCAGCCAAGGGGACTGCAGTTTCTAGTGGATCCCAGCTACTGAAGGTAACTGAAACACCAAACAGGATATAGGCCTCATGATAGGGCAGAGCAAGGCTTGGTGGGCACAGAGGTTTGCCGAGTTCAGGTCTGCAGCTGCAGAATTCACTCCAGGCCCTACCCTGATTGCCATGGGGTGGGCTGAGGCTGCAGGTATAGGGCTATATAGCTAAGGCTGAGTGAGGTAGGGAACCCCAGCCCCTCTTTGAATAACTGGGCTTTGGGGGCAACTGAAGCCACAACAGAAATATTCTAAAGGACCACAGAGGAGGAGCAGGAGTGGCATGAGTGGGTCAGAAGTCAAGTGGGCTGGGGGCATGTTGCTGGAAGACAAAGGGGCTCCCAGTGTCGGGTGAGCTAGGAGCAGGGCAGAAGGGAGATTCAAGGGACAGCCCCCAGCCTCTCCCCTGCTTAGTACCAGCTCCTCTGCACCCGGCCTCAGTAGCCGCAGGTGCAGGGCCACCTGCTTTTGGAACGGCTGAGCACTGCAGCGTGTCCACCCTGAAGACACAGGCCCTGGGCCCGCTCAGTGTTCAGCCTGCCACCTGGCTGAGAGCATCATCCAGTTGAAGGAGGCATGCAGAGGTGTGGGACAGCTGGGTCCCCGCCTCCTCCCTCCTCACCAGCTCTTCCCACCCGCTTTCTTTCCTTTCTTCCTTCTATGATGTCACCTCTCGCCACTGCCCTCACACCCCCGTCCCCTTGGCTTCCTGACTGCAGGGCCGCTGCTGCAAGTGGTAGGTGCTGATTAAGATGGATGGATTGGTAAGAGGCATTCAATGTGACTTGAATAAAAAGCATCCCAGCCTCGCCTGGGCGCGAGAGCTACCAGCCAAAAAGTGGCGTCACTCAGAAGATTACTTTACTACTGGAGCTTGTCCTTAAAATAGTAAAAGCCCTCCGTGTTCCATTCTGGTTGCTATTTATATAAATGTAGATACACACACATATACACTTTTAAAAATAATCTTGCCTCTCTTTCCCACCTCCCACTTCTCTTTCTCCGTGTTGTTTGCTACAGACCAGACACCCATTTTTAAAAGACATGTGAAGAATCCAGTCATTGGGAAAGGTGACATTCTATGACCTTCTCAGGTAGTTTGCCACCTCAGCTCGGCGTGGTGGTTGGTTAGCACCATTCGGGAACTTCGTGAGATCATGGAGACATCCATTTGGTGGCGTTGTCCCAGGGGCTGTGGACGTGCCTCAAGGACCATCTCCTCTTCCCATCTCCTGCGTCAGTTGCAGCATCACTTGTCTCTTGGAGACTTTCTCTCTAGATGCAGAATTGACTTGGTGCACAGTCACTGCTTGGCTAACAGGAGGGAAGAGGTCAGGGAATTGTTCAAGGTCAATGGTGAGGGGGGATCTGCTCTAGGTTCTTTCTCTTGATGTCCAATCTAGGTCTTCCTTCATGATAAGAACAAGAGGGATTAGAGTTCCCTTTAACAAGCGGATCTGTCTGCAAGGTTTGCAGGCTGCTGCTCATTCAAGGTTGAGCCCTGAGTTTCTCACTGTCTGAAGGAATAGAGACCTTGTTTAGAAGCAGTGCCAGTGAGCTGATGAAAGAAGCACATCTGCCCCTCCACACGGAGAGGGAATTAGGGACCAGTTAGACACAGAGATCTGGCACAGTCAGAGGGATGGGCTTTCAGATAGATGGAGTCTTCATTCTAATAAGCAGCCACTAAAATCTGTTGGTCTCTGGTGTGTGAATGTGTGTGTGTGTGTGTGTGAGAGAGAGAGAGAGACAGAGAGACAGAGAGAGAGAGTTAGTTTATGGTTAATGGGGCTGTAGAATTTACCACCATCTATTAATTTGTTGTAACCTCCTTTAAAAACATTTGACAGCTGAACAGCAACAGGCAGGGTGATGATGATATCATCAGGCTGCTATTTATAGATTTCCATCCCCTGAATAGTGCAGACCTTGGTATTTAGACTGTGGAGGCCTGGCGGCAGGACTCACGGCCAGGTCTGTTTCCTGCTGTACTATCACATGGCTGTCTCATGACATCTGTTGTTGGCCACCTGTATATAGACAGGAAGTTAGAATGTGGATACAGAATCTAAGTGGGGAATAGAATTATCCAGGTTTATTTTTCTACTTTTGTTTTTATAGTAGGCTTTACCCATTTCCTGTATTTGGAAGCAAAAACAGGGAAGAACAGTGTTTGAGACAATTCCAATTTAGATACATGGTCAGGTGTAAAAAGAAAAATGCTGTTTTACACAGAATGGGGCAAGAAAATTGAGAGGCAATGGGAGAAAAACATTGAAGGAATTCTGCAACTCTACCTTTAAATAAATTTAGAAATCATGATTCTGGTCTGATTTGGATCCAGAGGTTAACCACTGATTGCCCACTCAAGTCCACAGAAAACCCTGCTTAAACCTGGGTTACACTTCGCCTGGAAGATTCCATAGAGTATGCTTTTATATTGATTTGAGCTGTTGTTTTGCCTCAAGTTAAGACCTATGGCAACCCCGAGGACCCAGAAAAGATAGACTCATCGTGTTCCGGCCTTAACATCCAAATTAATCTTGAAATAGAACCTATTTCTTTGGATAGCTTCTGAATCAAAACTATCCTCAGGCCAGTCAGTTAACCAAGTAAGCAAGGAAGAGCTAACTGGAATCCAAAGTGAAAGAGGCAGTTGCAACTACAGGAAAGCTTTGAACGCTGAGAACTGGGCTGAGTCACAGTGGATTGTGACCATGGACAGCTCCCATCAGCACCAGAGCAGACTTTTCTGCACCATGACCAGCATTTCCCCCCTACTCTCACCTACTGCGGATGTGAAAAAAGCAGTAAGACATTCCCAGCTGGGGTGGCTCACGCCTGTAATCCCAGCACTTTGGGAGGCTGAGACAGGTGGATCACCTGAGGTCAGGAGTTCAACACTAGACTGACCAACATGGTGAAACCCCGTCTCTACTAAAAATACAAAAATCAGCTGGGCATGTTGGTGGGTGCCTGTAATCCCAGCTACTCAGGAGGCTGAGGCAGGAGAATCGCTTGAACTCCGGGAGGTGGAGGTGGCAGTGAGCTGAGATCGTGCCATTGCACTCCAGCCTGGGTGACCAAGTGAGACTCTGTCTCGAAAAAAAAAAAAAAAAAAAAAAAAAAAAGACATTCCCCAGTGGCCGGGCATGGTGATGAACACCTGTAATCCTACCACTTTGGGAGGCTGAGGCAGGTGGATCGCTTGAGCCCAGAAGTTCGAGACCAGCCTGGGAAGCAGGACAAAATCTCGTCTCTACAAAAAAAAATTTAAACATTAACTGGGCATGGTGGTGCATGCCTGTGGTCCCAGCTACTCTGCAGGCTTAGGTGGGAGGATCGCTTGAAGCTGAGAAGTTGAGGTTACAGTAAGCCATGATTGCACAGTTGGGTGACAGAGTGAGACCCTGTCTCAGCAATAACAGCAACAACAACAACAACAACAAACATTCCCCAGCAGCTCCACACTCTTAGTATCTTCCAGCCACAGTGTGTTGTGTCCATGGACAGCTCCCACCAGGGCCAGAACAGGCTTTTCAGCACCATGGGCAGTATTTCTTCTCCAACTACTGCCGGTGTGGAAATAACAGACATGCTCCCCAGCAGTTCCACAGTCTTAAAATCTCCCAGCCACGATGGGTTGTGACCATGGACAGCTCCCTTTGGGACCAGAGCAGGCTTTTCAGCACCACGGCCAGTACCCCAGCCCCAACTTCCCACCTGCTGGTCTAAGAGTAACAGTAAGACCTCCACAGCAGCCTCCTTCTCTAAGAGCTCCTGGATAGAGACGCGTTTGTACTAGAGCACGTCTTTGCTGCCACTGCACTGAAAATCACATGCAGGTATAAACCTCTACTCATTCAAATACCTGACTGTCACAAAAGTTTTTGTTTGCTTGTTTTAATATAGTGGTGGGGACACTGCAGTCTCAATCAGCATTTACAAGGTGCACCACTGCTGTCTGGGAGATAATGACCACCTATTGTAGATCACACGCAGAAGCAGTGTCCATAACCCGACTCCCAGTTTGGCATCTGCTCTGCAGACCTCTGATTCCCTAGATACAGAATGAAGCATGACACACTTCGTCTGATCCTGTTACACGTGGCAAACAGAGCTCAGTCAAAAGATACCAGAAGTGACAGATTAGTATGGCTAGATCATTTTTACATGACATCTGTGAGACTACTTCCCATTCATAAGGTGGCACTTCTTCCTAATAGTCTGTGACCCAGACAGAATATTTGCCTCCCATGTCACCAAAATGTTATTAATAATACTTCTGAACAGTGCTATGTGATAGGCACTATACTAAATGCTTTGCATGTATTGTTTAACATTCACAACTTCTGTGAGGTAGATACTGATATTGGTCCAGTGTTATTGATATATCTGAAATTAAAAGAGGCTAAGGAATTACAGAATGTTACCTGTTCATCAGTTGAAACCCAGATTTAAACCTCTTCTTCCAACCACTCTGCTATATGGTGAAAGCCATCATTTTATCCTTTTCTCTTCTTCCCTGGGACTTCTTTCAATTCCCGAAATGGATTTGCTTTTGTAAATTAAACGTAGCGTAGATATCAATCATCTCGGGTCTCATATGGTTTGTGATTTCGGGCTAGTTAAGTTTTAGTTAACTATGAGGTCCTATGGTAAATCACCATGGAATGGCCCTTCTGGCTGTCTTGTTTTCTTACAGACAATTCAACGAAAGGAATTATAAGAAAAGTATTAGCCCATGTAAAATTCTGTCAGCCTTCATTTTATCTCACTACTCATTTCTGTTAATCCAAGCAAATAGGTCTTTTATTCAACCACTGTGCTCTGACTAGACTTACCTGAATATTGCCCCTGTGAGGCATCACCCAGCTCCTTGTATAACCTCCACAGAGCTCATGCCCTTCCTAGGCTGCAGACATCACTACACTGTCTCCTTCTTGGCCCCTAACCCAGGTGGTCATGGTGAGTCAACATAAGCATGTAGCTTGCCTATGGGCATATTCAGTGATTGTTGGAACGGAATCTATTGCTCGTGTCAAGCAAGTATTTTATGTGTCCAGGATACTGTCCTCTGCCTTTTGCTGTGAGTTGCCTAAGACACTGTGACTTTGGGTCATCAAGAAACGTTCCACAAGCCACCGGACAGCAAAGGGAATCTGCACCTTAACTCCGCAGCAGGCCTCTGATAGAATCCAGACGTTGACTTTGTAGAATCATGGTTCACATGTTTTGAGGTTATGTTCTGTGACAAATTGGGACCATTAACTCTCTTTGATCTCTTTTCTTCCTTTGGTGCCCCAAGTTGGTGCCGATTTCTGTGACTGTGATACCTTCATTCTCCTTGGCTCTGAGCAGGTGACATGTCCCAGACAGGCCCAGGGGTGTGCCCTTGTCAGCAGTAGATCATGGACTCAGTCCTGGTCCTCAGTAGCTCTCGTTTCTGTGTGGACCTTGCATGGAATGGAACTGTGCCTAGCATTCCTTCCCTTTCTGATCTTCAGTTGCATCTACGTGACAGTGGGGGTTCTCAGTTCTCCTGCATATGGAGGTAGTGTCTGTGTGTGCTCTGTAAGGCACGCCAGGGATTTCCACAGAACAAAAAACAAAAGGTTGCAAAGGAGACCAGGATATACGAAACAAAATGACTGAGTATTTCAGAGAGAGCGACTGAGTTAATTCACCTACTCATTCATTGAAGAAAATTAATGGAACACCTACTTTGTGCCACATGCTGTGGTAGGTGCAGGGGAAACAGTAACAAACAAAACAGATTAAGAATCCATACCCCCATGGAGCTTACATTCTAGAAGGGAGTCAGATAATAGATAAAATCAATAAGGAAAATGTTAAGTGGGGGTAAGGGGCAAAAAACAAAGCGGGGGATGGGGATATGAAGTTGGCAGGTGGTTGAAGGGGAGGGTGAAACTTTAGAGGGGATGGCCCGGGAACAGCCCATTAAGTTGATTTAAATAATGTTTTTTGTTTTTTGTTTTTCAGTGGAAAACAAGGGGACAGCCCTGGGCCTGTCCAAAGTAGGAAGGACAGCATCATTAACCCCTGGGTACTCTCAAAAAAGTGGTTCTTGAGTAAAGACCTGAGAGAGGTGCAGAGTGAGCCCTGCAGGTGCTGTGAGACAGTAGCCCAGGATTCTGCTAAGAGCCATGGCAGGAGCTTGCCTGAAACATTGGAGGACCAGAAAGGAGGCCATTTGGGAAAGACTAGAGATGACAGAAGTGGTAGACAGAATGTCCTGGAGAAAACTGGGCCCATATTATGGAAATCTTGGGGCCATAGTAAATGCTTGGGGTCTTAATCTAGGTGAAGTGGGAAGTCATGGTAGGGTTTTGAGCAGAGAAGAGACAGGGTATGATTACAGTTTAACGTGGTCCCTCTCACTGTGTCCAGAATACACTGTGGGAATGTGGGGAGGAATGGAAGCCAGTTAGTGTCCACTGCACAGCAGTAATCCAGGTGAGAGATAGGGGTTGGTTTGTGCATAGTCACACAAGGGATGATGAGAAGTGGCTGGAATCTAAACATATATTTGTGGCCAACAGTATGTGATAATACATTGGATATGGGGTGTGTGAGAGAGAATTCAAAGTTGACTCTGTGGTTTGGTGCCTGAACAGCAGAAAGAATAGCTTCCCATTTTTCTCAACTGTAAATTGATAATGATTCTGCTCTTATCCAGTGGACTATTGAGAGGTTTTGAGTGAACTGATCAACTAGTAGTACCACTTTACATTTCCAGGACTGTAAGTGCCTCTTCAGGACAAAGAATTGTGGGATCCAGTTGTTCAACCCACACATAGATGCATCTGTTAACCATGTTCTGTAGTTTCTTTAAGACTTGAAGCTGCTTAAACATTACTTTCTTACTACATGGGTAATATTTATAGATTACTACATATCATGCACTTGGCTAAGGAGTTACATGCCCTTTAATCCTTAAACAAACTTATGACTTGGGAGGCTGAAGTGGGAGGATCACTTGAATCTAAGAGTTCAAGACCAGCCTGTGCAACGTAGTGAGACCCCCATCTCTAAGAGAAAACTATTTAAATGTTAAAAAAAAAAAATTGGCCAGGCATGGTAGTGCACACCTATAGTCCCATCTACTTAGGGGCTGAGGCAGAAGGCTTGAGCCCTGGAGTTCTATGCTGCAGTGAGCTATGTTTGCACTCCAGCCTGGGTGGCAGTGTCAACCCTATCTCTTAAAAAAAAAAAAGAAACAACAACAATAAAAACCTATGAAAAAGATCTTAATATTCTTACTTCATAGATAAGGAAACCGAAGTTGAATGAGATTAAAAGGAATATTGTCTAGATCATTCAGCTGATATATTTGATAGAACAACAATTTAAACCCAGGTATGTATAATTCTAAAGCTTGTTCCCTCAACTATGACATACTACTGCCTCCCACACACTTTTTTCTTGCTCAAAAACTACCAAAATCTACTATTGCTGATCATAGAATTCCACCATCTTTTGTAAGAAAAAAATTCTCATTAAACTTTTCCACAGCCTTGAGATCGTGAAGTATAAAGATAATGGTGTCGCTTTTATCTTTCATAGTTGTTACAAATTTTAAAAACCATATTTGTAGATCCTTTTATTCTGGGCATCATGTTATATTTAGAAAGGCTGTCTACATGATGAGATTATAAAAATATTCTTCTATTTATTTTCTAATTCTGTCATTTCATTTTATGTTTACATAATTGATCCATCTGAAATTTATTTAGAATACATACGTTGTGAAGTTGGTATCCACTTTTATTTTCTCCAGATGTCGAATCATCTGGGCCACCATCACTTATTAAATAATCTACTCCTCTGATTTGAAGCACCACCTTTGTCATTTATCATATTCCAGTGTGATCTTCAGTCTGTTTCTGGTCTTTGTAATATCTCCAGTAGATCTGTCTACATCTTTTATGCAAGTACTATATTGTTTCCACTATTCTGTATCTTTGTAATATTTTTATCATCTATTAGTAGTCTCCTTCTCTCCTATATTTTTCAGAAATTTTCTAAATATTCTTGCTTGTTCATTTTCCCATGTGAATTTGAAAATCAGCTTATCTAGTTAAAAATCCACTGGTTCTGGCCAGGTGCAGTGGCTCATGCCTGTAATCCCAGCGCTCTGGGAGTCCAAGGCAGGTGGATCGCTTGAGCTCGGGAGTTCAAGACCAGCCTGAGCAACATGACACAACCCCATGTATTAGTCTGTTCTCATGCTTCTAATAAAGACATACCAGAGACTGCGTAATTTATAAAGGAAAAAAGGAAAGAGGTTTAGTGGTTACAATTCATGATCTCAAGGCTGTGGGAAAGTTTTATGAGAGGTTTTTTTGTTTGTTTGTTTTTGTTGTTTTTTGTTTTGTTTTTTTGCTTTTGCTTTTTTTTTTTTTTTTAACCAAAAGATGGTAGAATTCTGTCATCAGCAAGAGTAAGTTTTGGTAATTTTTGAGCAAGAAAGAAGTGTGTGGGAGGCAGTAGAGTGTCACGGTTAAGGGAACAAGCTTTAGAATTAGACACACCTAGATTTAAATTGTTATTCTATCAAATATATCAGCTGAGTGATCTAGACAATGTTCCTTTTAATCTTACAATCATGGCAGAAGAAGTTCAGGAAGAAAGAGCAAAGGGGTGTCTTACATGGTGGCCTGCTGGCAAGAAAGTGTGTGCAGGAGAACTCTCCTTTATAAAACCATCAGATCTCATGATACTTATTCTCAATCATGAGAACCACACAGGAAAGACCTGCCCCCATGATTCAATTACCTCCCACCAGGTCCCTCCCGTGACATGTGGGAATTATGGGAGCTACAATTCAAGATGAGATTTGGGTGGGGACACAGCCAAACCGTATCACCCCCTCTCCACAAAAAATAGAAAAAGAAATTTAGCCTGGCATGGTGGTGTGTGCCTGTAATCCCAGCTACTCTGGAGGCTGAAGTGGGAGGATTGCTTGAGCCTGGGAGGTGGAGGTTACTGTGAGCTGAGATTGCACTACTGCACTGCAGCCTGGGGTACAGAGCAGGACCCCGTTTCAAAAAAAACAAAAAACCACAACAAAAACCCACAATCCATTGGTTTTTATTGGGATCATATTAAATTTATGAATTACCTTAAGAAGAATCAACAACTTTACAATGTTGGGACTTCCTAAGAACATCAGATGGCTTTCCATTCTTGAAGTCTGTTATTTGCTTAGTAGAGTTTTAATGTTTTCTTCATGCACATTTCTTCAAATATATATATATATATATATATATATATATATATATATATATATATAGAGAGAGAGAGAGAGAGAGAGAGAGAGAGAGAGAGCCATGTATTTTATCTTTTGTGTTACTTTTAAAAAATGTTGTTTTCATTTGGAAAGCTGATGGATTTTTGCTTATTAATTCTGTACTCTGCAATCTAGTCATATTCCTTTACTATTTTAATCATTTATCAGCTGAGTTTCTGGACTCTTTCCCCTGAAAACAATGATAATTTTACCTCTTCTTTCTTAATTTTTATAATTCTTTCTTTCTTTTTCCCACCACTTGCTGCCTATAGATCTGTCTTTCTAATTAAGTTGAATAGTGCCCTCAGGCCAATGCTAAAAATCTGTATTGATAATAGACGTTCCTAGGAAACTTGTAGTGTTTCCCAAATAAGCGTGGTACAGCTTTTTGAGTTGAGGGGTGTGTGTGATTGTGTATCCATGTAAGAATTTTATTATGTTTTACAATAAAGAGTTTTATTTTGATTGAGAATGGATGTTGAATTTTAGAAAATGCTTTTTCAGTAGCTATGGAGACGGTTGTATAATTTTTCCCTTTTGATCTATTAATATGTAAAGTTATGGTAATAGGTTTTCTAATACATCCCTGTATTTGTGCAATACATGCCTCGTTTGTCTAAGGTATGTCATTCTCTTGCTGTGCTGGTAGATTTTGTTTGCTAATGTTTTATTTAAGAGTTTTGCAATAATATTCCAAGTAAGATTGGTCCATAGTTTTATTTTTTATTTTGGGGAGTTTGATGTCAATGTGATGCTAGTTTTATAAAAAGAATATGTAAGGCCGGGCGCAGTGGCTCACACCTGTAATCCCAGCACTTTGGGAGGCCAAGGCAGGCGAATCACGAGGTCAGGAGATCAAGACCATCCTGGCTAACACGGTGAAACCCCAACTCAACGAAAAATACAAAAAATTAGCCGGGCATGGTGGCGGGCACCTGTAGTCCCAGCTACTTGGGAGGCTGACACAGGAGAATTGTGTGAACCTGGGAGGCGGAGCTTGCAGTGAGCTGAGATCAGGCCACTGCACTCCAGCCTGGGTGACAGAGTGAGACTCCATCTCAAAAAAAAAAACAAAAAAAAGAATATGTAAGCTTTTCTTTTTCTATAGTCTTGAACAGTTTAAATAGTGTTGCTGTTGTCTGTTCTTAAGGATTAGGTAGAATTTTTCTGTAAAACCTAGTGGGCCAAGTTCTTTCAGTGTGTTCTGCTCTGTGATGACTATTTTTTTCTGTGATAATTGTTCTCTTTACCTTTTCTATCTTTCCAGAGGTTGGTTTTGGTAATTTATATTTTTCTATAAGATAATTAATTTCATTCAGGTTTACAAATTGATCTTTACAGAATGGAGCAAATAGGCCTTGCAGGCTTCCTTTAAGGTCTTCACAGTCTGTGGTTGTTTCCCGATCACTGTTTCTTAATTTGTATGTTTGTCCTTTCTTCCTTTTTTCTTGATGATGTTAACTAATGATTTATTTTATTTTTTCCCAAAAAAAGCAGGTCTTGAATTTATCACTTCTACATTTAAAACATTTTTGATTCATTACTTTTTAATTTTATTAATTTTTAAATAATTTTAATTTTGCTCTTTTATTTTCCTTGGGTTATCTTGTTGCATTATTTTTTTCTCAAGATCCACTCTGAGAATATTTTTGTTCAGTATTATTTACAAATTGCAAGATGTTTTCATATATTCTTTCATCTGATGCTTACAACCCTGTAAGTTAATTGGTATGGGCCTTCATTTCACAAATAAGAAAATAGGCTTAGAGAAGTTAAATGGCTTGCCCAAGGCCATATAGCTAGGAAGGAGCGGAAATGGGGTCCCAGTGGAGCCAGCTGTCCCTGGTGCCCTTGGTTCAGCCTATCCTCAAACCCCAAGCCATGCCTCCCTGGGGCTGCGCTCTCTGAATACGTTCTTGTCCTTGTACCAAACTCCACCTTCCTTTGGTCACTTCAACACCTACAACCACAGCAGGTTAAGGTCACAGCATCTAGAATCTTAGAGAAACGCCAGGGCCTCTAATGCTGGCCACAAATCAGCTTCAGATTCTTTTGTAGACTTGCACCCACATCACTTTCTCATAAAACGATCTGACTCCGGGAAGATATCTCCCGGACTTCTCACCATTACTGAACTTGACAGCAAACAGAACATTTCTCCCGTTTTCCCTTAGTCACAACAGGGCTACTAATGTTCCTTCTCAGCCTGGGAGGTGGGTTAAACATACATCAAGGCCCAGGTACAGACTGTAGAGAAGCACTCATGTTGGAGGAAGCTGCTGTTAAAGAGCATTGTGCTTTCTCATTTTTAGAGGTGGGACCTGAAGCCCAGAGAGCTGATGTGCCTGTCATTTTTGAATGCATTATCCTATGACATCTTAGACAGAAAAAACAGAATACATAGGAAATCTCTTCGGACTTCCTTCTTTCTTGAGAAACCATATCTTTCATTTGCTTTCTTGGAAATGATTTTCAACTGGGAGAAATCAAAGAGAAAGTGCCGTTCTCTTATCTTTTATTTTGTTTTACTTTGCTGCCACATATTATGCCACCTACCATTTGCCTTTGAAACAGAGCTGATAAGAAAGTCATCAGACAAGGGTTGAGTTGACGTGTGTAGACTTCATTGATTGCATTTTCTACCTTTAAAGCCCTTACCCTAGTAGCTGCCTCAAGTTGGGGTAGCAACTAAGGCTTCTGCGGTGATCACAGCCTTTAGTGCATGAAAGTTTATTTGAATGGCATGAGCCTTGTTTTATATAGGCAACTAGCCATTGGAATTGTGAATAGCCTTAATCCAAGCCATGAGCTTTTCCTAAACAATTAGCCTTTGGAATGAAAGCACAATTCATGGATTTGCCCATCTTTCCATTTATCAGCCATCACTTTGACATCTCTACTTAACCACAAAATGGTGGCACCTCCACTGGAGAAAGAAGGAATAATTGGCAAAAGACTGAAGCTAGAATATGAAGGATTAAACTTAGCTATAAGGAAGAAATTGCTTAAGTCATTAGACCAAGTTTTCAGGGGAAGCTGGGCAATGACACTACCTGGGCATCTTTAATAGAAGTTCTGTTATATTTTTTCACCTGGAAGTGCGGTCAGTGCTAAATTTGGGAGGCTTATTCTAGATCCCTGGGTCTATACATTTATTAATTTTTACATTTAGAAAATGGCAGAATATCTTTTGCTTTTGAACTACTTCTTTCCAATGTCTTTGTTAGTGGAATTCAGAGAGATCTGGCAACTTTCTGGAAACGCTTCATCTCTTTCCAAAGCTCGTCCTCCTCACCCGCAATCTGATCATCACCAAGCCTTGTTGACTGCCTTGGAAATATCTCCTCTACTTGGCCCTTCCTTCTGGTGAGGCCTCCATGGGCCTCACCTGGAACGTGCAGTGCATCCGAAAACACATGGACTATTGCTAGAGTTAATCCTGCCATGGGAGCAATTCATAACTTCACTCTCGAAAATCTATTTACCCCCTCGTATGCTCTGGGGACAAGCACACATTTTTCCATGGAAAAGTGGCCACAGCTGCCCATCTCTCAGTATTGCAAGAGCTGTTCCTTTGCTCACTAGCATTAATCTGTTGTCTGGGCCTGGTTGACAGTGGGAGAGTAGAAGACAACAAAGGCTTTGGGAGATAGTGGGGGTAGGAATTTAAAATGGGAAAAAGCATCTACAGCTACCTGGTATTTTGACCCTTCAAACACACGAAAGAACAATGTTGGGCTCTTCTCTTTTTTTTTTCTGAAACAGCTTATGGAGTTCTGCTGCCACCTCCAGTGTCCCTGTCTCTAATCCCTCCAGCCTGCAGCCCATCAGTCATGATCTATACAACTTGGGTAGGTCAGTAGATACAGAAATAGACAGACAGACAGAGATCATAATCCATTATTCATGATCCATGCAACAGGAATAGATATTGTTATCCATCAGTCATAATCTGTGGTATATAGATAGATGATAGATAGGTGATAGACGATAGATAGGTATCACAATCCCGAGTCATAATCCATACAACTTGGGTAGGTCAATAGATAGAGAGATAGACAGACAGATAGACAGAGATCATAATCCATAATCATGATCCGTGTAACATGGATAGATACCATTATCCATCAGTCCTAATCCATGGTAGATCGATAATAGATAGGTATTAAAATCCATCAATCATAATCCATACAACATGCTAGGAATGTGCTAGGCACGTTCCTGCTGTTAAGGAAACAGCAGTGAACACAATGAATGAGCATCCCTGTCCTCATGGAACTGACATTCCTGAGTGGCCTTTCCTACTTATAAGCCAGGTTAGATCAATCCCCTGTTTAATATCTGTTGATAGCTCCCTGTCACCCATGGGATCTGGTGTGGACATCTCTGCCTTGTATTCAGAGCCCTCCTCAGTCTGAACACAGGGGGCTTTTCTTACCCATCTGGCCCCTTCCCCTGCAGCCCCGCAAGCTGCAGCCCTCCCCAGACCTCCTGGGCACTCCAGAACCTGGCCTTCCTGCCTCTGCCTGGAAGGCCCCTCTCAGTGGGGAACTGCAGCCTCATCCTTAGTACCAAGCTCAGACGTTCCCCCTTCTTGAAGCTCCCTCTGAGGCCACTCCCTTTCTGGGCTCCAGGCCTGCATAGAGCATCTCATTCCAAGCTCCCCTGTCTGTTGGTCTCAGATGGGGTTTTCCTTGGGACAGAGATGTCTGCCTCAGGGTTTGGCATGAGCCAGGACGGGGCAGCAGCAGGGTTGGGTTGTGGTGTGTGAACCCGAAGAAACCTTCCCTGCCTGTTGACTCTTCCCTTGGGGTCACAATAGACGTCCTGATAAGTCCCCCAAACACCAAGAGGACCAGAGACCACTCTGCCCTTGGAAAGACCTCAGCCTGGGAGTCTGTGCGTGACGGCACAGCCCTGGATCTCCCCTCCCCGCAGCACAGGGTCCTCACTCAGAGCTGAGAGAAAACCCCTACGGAGGGTCCAAGTAGCCACAGGGAACAGAGGGTCAGGAGCTGCTGTGGCCATTGTCCGTTTCAGGCAGCCTGACTTGCCCACAAGGGACCTGCAGACATATGATTTCGTGTGTCCCCCAAGGAGGAGCCAGGCTGCACTCAACCCACCTTACAGAGAAGGAAATGGCTTAGGCAGGTGAAGTGGCTTGACCAACTGTCTTGGCTGCTTCAGGGGCTAGAGGGTCGGGGGTCTTTCTAAAGGACCAGACTGGAGGAGAGACTGTGAAAGGGACTGGCTCTGGTGTGGAGGTCCTGCTGCCTTATCCCCTTGGAAGGTGGCCTGGGTTCTCGGCAGGTCCCCCAGGAACCAGGAACGTGCTGGCTGCCTGGGGCCACTGGGACCCCTGTAGCTGCTGACCCGAGCCTTCTGCTTGCTTCCTCATTTTTCTGCAAACACAAAGGAGCATTATTCGGTTAACTTATGTGTTCTTTCAACAAATTCCTATTGAGTTCGCTGGGCCCTTGGGGGTTGGGGGAGTAGGCTAGTGGGCCTGGCCCTTCCAGGAGCCCTTCCTAGTGGGAGGAAACAGGGAGGGGCAGAGTAGGATGTGCCGTGAGATCCCCAGAACCTCCTAGGGACAGTGAGCTCTTTCTCATTGGGGGATTCAGGGAAGACTGCAAGGAGGAGGTGACATTGAAGATGGGATTGGGTCCCTAAAGTCAAGCAGGCTTTGATAGGAAAAATTAGATGATCAGGAGGCATTCCAGGCAGGGGGTGGATAGATGGGTCTGGGCATGGCAGCAGAGTAATTTGCCCGAGGGTACCGTCTCTGTGAGATGACACAGGGCTGAGGCTGGGCCAGTGGCAGGATGACATCTGGGAGGCCTGGAACGTCCAGCTAAGCAATGTGGCCCAGCCCACAGGCCACAGTGGCCACTGAAGTTTCCAAGGGAGAAGAATGACATGGGACAAGGCCGTGCGTCAGCACGGGGGGAGGAGTTGTCTGGCTGCCCCTGGCCAGGGAGGGAGACTGGGGTCTATGGCTGAAGCAGAGGGTGGGCGTCTTTGTCAAAGCAAAGAACCAAGGCAAAGAAGTGAAGAGGGTCAAGCAAAGCTGGAGGAAGCTCATTTCCATCTATGTTAAGGGCAGAGAATGATCTGCATCTGGCTTAACTACCTTGGGCCGAGTGTCTTGGGGTGCCTGTTTCTTTCTCTGGAAGAGAATGCACGAGACCCTAATAAAAAGCCCAAGTGATAAAATACGCCTGTTTCCCATCAAATCAGCCTTCAACAAATCGTCTTCCCCCTCCCCCATCACATCATCACATGCATTATTTAATTTGTTTGAGATGGAGTGCATTTCACAGGATATATAAATCCATGGAAATTTATTAAGTCTTGACAAGAGTTATTGAATGTTATATTAAGTTTCTCAAATTGGCCAGTGTTGGATGGCTTAAACATTATTCATTAATGCATAACATTAAATACCAATAAATTGCATGGTGTAGTTATGAACTATCCTTGAAAGTCATTAAATATGCATATCAGGCAATAAATCTATTCTCTGCTATGAATCTGTTCTGAATCATGGCGAGTTAGGGCTTAGGTGGTGATGGTAATGGGGGTGGGGCTAGGCCCTCATTGAGTGTCACTAGGACCTCAGTGGGTGCATGGGAAATAGAGGCCAGTTGCTTTCCATTTCCATCATTCCTGCTGATGAAATGGGAAGGAGGCTAAATAAGGCAGACCCACTAGGTTTATAATGTTAATCAAAAGAGCAAAAACCTGAAAGCTGGAGACATGTAGGTGACAGTTTCTGCTCCAAAATGGTACGTTCTGGAGTCATCGCCTGTATCACCACCAGTTGCCAAGATAACGGCTGCCATTTATTGAGGGTCCACACTTTTTCAAAAATTAGCTTTTCAAAAGTTAACTTTTCAAAAATTAGCTCACTGGATCCTTCCACACACTTGGAAGGTATGTGCTATTACTCCTGTGACAGTGGTCCAGTAACCTTCCCACGTTACTGCCTGATTCCAAAACTTCTCCTCGTTCTATGACCCCTGCACTGTCTCTATCCCCGAACCCACCTCCGTGATAGACCTTTCGAGGCAGAGGGACATTAGCACTCATCTGTCTCTGAGAGCGGTCACAGCAACAGCAATTAGTCGGGGTGCCCAGCCTCAGCTGTCCTGGCTGTTGAAGATGGCTCATGCTAATGGGCTGGGGCTTGGATAGTTCTGTTGTTACATATTTTGGGTTGCATCCAGGGTTGTAATTTAGTCTCATCCCACATTCCTCCAGTGGCGGGGGACTTACTGCCTCCCTAGACCCACTGGCTGACTGCTTGGCTTATTAGAGAGTCTCATCTCTTAACCTGTGCAGGGGGTTAGGGAATTTGTCATTCTCCACATGTATTCTCCAGTTGGCCACCAGAGGGCAGGGTGTCCCTGGGATGGGGGAGACCAATGGACCCTTGAGGCATGGGTTCTAGGGCTTTCTTTGCTATTGAAAATCTCCATGGTTTCAGGCAGGCCACCCCTCCTGGGTTCCATCTTAGTAAAATGAGGGTGCTGGCCTGGACAACCTCTGCAGTGCACCCCAACCTGGGGAGGTCTTGAGGCTGCTTGTAAAGGGAGTGCCTGTGAGACGAGGTCTCTTGGGGATGCAGAGTCAGAAAACCTCACCAGCTGTGTGATCTTGGGCATGTCACCTGGCCTTTTTTGGATCTGCTTAGCCCTTGGCAGCTGTTCATCCTTTTCTGGTCCTGGCCTCGGTGTTGTGGTGGGATGGGCTGGGGAAGACGACCTGCATCCATGGCATGCACGCTCAGCAGGGACCACCTCCTGCATCCACACAGATGGCCTTGGTTCAGTGTAGCCCCCCAGCCCACTGGGGCTCAGGCAGCCAGATGTTTTCTTTCAGGGAGGCCACATCGCTATTGGAGGATTGCAAGTAAAATCCTAGGTAGCCTGCTCTGAGAGAGAGAGAGAGACAGAGAGAGAGAGAGAGAGAGAGACAGGCGAGGTAGCCTAGTGATATGGAAGCCACTGAACCACTTCCATGGCTTTGTGACATCCATTCATCCAGAAATGAGACACAGTGGCTGCCTCATTGTCTTCCTGGATCACGGACTTTGTACTCTTGAACGTGGAGACTGTCTTTCTCACCCTCCTGTGACCATCGTTTGGCACATAGCAGACACCTGGTAACCATGTGTTGTCCAAATGATTGCAGGCCTCCGTGCACAGGGAGCCCTAACACCACCCGGGGGGCGCAGAGGGACAGGCACCTGCAGGCGTATCTGGTTCTCAGGTCCTGTCCTGCAAATGGGGACTGGATGAGCTGCTGTCTGCATGCCTCCGGGTCTCTGGGAGCTGGTCTTCCCGGTGGCAGCTTTCCCTTCATTGAGCTTCCACCATGACATGGGGTCAGATGCCCATGGCAGGGGAAGGAAGGAGGACCCTGCTGGGGTCTTGGGTGGGCTTGTTTACAATCAGTCACTCATTCAACAAATAGACTTTTCTGCTAATGACCCCACTAAACCCTCCCACAACATGGTGGCGAGGTTGGGGGGGGCACTTTTTTTTTTTCTTGAGATGGAGTCTTGCTCTGTCACCCAGGCTGGAGTGCAGTGGCACGATCTCGGCTCACTGCAAGCTCCACCTCCCGGGTTCATGCCATTCTCCTGCCTCAGCCTCCCAAGTAGCTGGGACTACAGGCGCCCGCCATTGCGCCCAGCTAATTTTTTTTGTATTTTTAGTAGAGACAGGGTTTCACCTTGTTAGCCAGGATGGTGTCGATCTCCTGATCTCGTGATCTGCCCGTCTCGGCCTCCCAAAGTGCTGGGATTACAGGCGTGAGCCACTGCGTGGTGGGCGCTTTTGATACCTCCGTGTTCCCATGAGGGAGGCTTGGAGATTGAGTGAATTGACCAAGTGTCAGAGCAGAATCTGAACCCAAGTCTCCCTACAGAATGTGGTGGAAGTGGCCAGGCCTAAGCAGACACAGTGTGACTCGGCCTTGCGGTCAGCTGGGCTGAGCTGGGATTTGAATTCTGGCCTCCCAGCCCCCTGCCAGTGCTGCTGTAATGGGGCTTTGTTTCCCCTTTAATTGAAAATCTCACTGGGACAGATGTCTCCATTTCCTCCAGCCCAGAGAGGAGTCACACAAATCCGCGAGACCACACGCGTTGTGCAGTGGCGTGGGCCCCAGCAGAGGTGTAATTTTCCTTCTTTCAGCCGTGTGCCCAGGGCAGGTGGTGGGCGAGGGCATGGAAACTCTCGCAGTGGGCAAGCACGTGGCTCTGGCTAGCTCGGAGGACCAAAGGCGGCTCTTGGCTGTTGTTTGCTTTGTAGGGCAGTGCACCTGCACCTGCCTTTAGGCGCACTGGGGAGGACACTGGACTTGTTTTGACTGGTGGGCAGCAGCTGGCCTCAATGCACTGTGTTCTTTGCTTGGAGAAGTCGCTCGAAGCCTCCTGAAGGCTGGGTGATGGGGGAGCAGCCTGGGATGGTGCCACCCACACTCCCCCTGCCGGGGCAGCCAAGGGATCGTTGGCTGCAGGAGGGTGCTAGTTCCTCTCAGGTTCCCCATTGCTATCAGCACAACTGCCAGAGCTTTGTCTGGGTCCTGCAAGTACTGGGAGCATCAGGGCAGCAAGGACTGTGTTCCGGAGAGAGAAACCGAGGCCTCTAGGAGAGATAGGCAGCTCCCGAAGGTCACCTGCCAGCAAGGGGCAGAGGTGGGATTTGAAACCAGATGTTCTTTTTAAAAAAAAGCTTGGTAAAATATACATCACATGAGATTTATCATTTTAACCATTTGTAAGTGTACAATTCAATGGCATTAAGCACATCCATGTTGTCATGCAAGCATCATCATCATCCGTCTACAGAACCTTTTCACCTTCCCCGGCTGAAATCTGCACCTGCTGAACACCAACTGCCATCCCCCAGGAGCCCAGGAGTTCCCACCTCGAGCTCTGTGCGCTTCCTTCACTACTTGCCACATTGGCATCTTTTTCTATGGAAGCACCTCCTGGAGAAGAAGGAGAACCTCACTGGGGTAACTTTTCTTGGCAGGAGGGAGAGGGTGAGAATGAAGACAAATATGAGAGAGTTTTCCAGGTGGCCTGAGTGTTTGTTAACCCAGCCTCTCACTGTCACCTCTTCCTCACCAAGCTGGGAGTGGGGATGAAATAAAAAATTACTTTTCCTGCAAAAAGATATGGCTCAGTATGTGGCTGAGCTGCCTGGGAACTAGAGTCTGGCAGGGTCCGTGGCCCAGGCTTAGGATTGGTCAGGGAGACAGTAGCCTTTCTGGGGAGCATCTGCCTCCCTCTGAGCGGGTGGTTTCAACTCTGTTGCCCTCACCTGGTTTGGAAGGAAACTCAGGAGAGAATTAGCTGGCACTGGTCTCACTGTGACTGTGGCCAAGGTGCTCTTCACCTGTCTTCCCACCAGGCACACGCCCTCTCAGGTGCAGCATATTTTACTCTAATTCCCGGCTTATTCACTAAAGCCAGAAATGCCCAGTGCTCTGTTCGCTTACAGCTAACATGTGGGAGCCCACCAGCATCTCCTGAGCCCAGCAAGCTGCCAAGTACCTCCTGGGGTACTTACTCTTCCTCCCCCACCATCTCCTCACAGAGCCAACTGAGAGAGAATGACAAGAGATCACTGGACCAATGGAAAAATACATATTTGAACTAGCTTTATCATTCATTTCCTGTGTGATCTTAAGCAAATGGCTTAGCCTCTCTGGACTTTAATTTCCCACTTAAAAAAAAACTGGAATGATAATAACATCCAGAAAAATGAAGTCATTTAGAAAGTATCTATGCACTGTGCTAACAAGAAGCAGACACTCAAGAAATAGCAATAGTGGACAGGTGTGGTGGCTCACGCCTGTAATTCCAACACTTTGAGAGGGTGAAGTGGGTGGATTGCTTGAGCTCATGAGTTCACGACCAGCCTGGGCAACATGGTGAAACCCCGTTTCTACAACAAAAAACACAAAAAATTAGCTGGGCCTGGTGGCATGCGCCTGTAGTCCCAGCTACTTGGGAGACTGAGGTGGAGGATCCTTTGAGCCCCGGAGGTGGAGGTTGTGCAGTGAGCTGAGACGGTTCCACTGCACTCCGGCCTGGGCAACAGGGACTTTTAAAAAAAAGAAAAAGAAAGAGAGAAAGAGAGAAAGAGAGAAAGAAAGAAAGATCAGTAGCCTTACGCTTTCCCTGAGCATCAGTTTTCTTATGTATAAAACGGGGATAAAATAGGTTTCAGAGGGTGGTTGGGAAGATTGAATGAAAGAATGTATGGGAAAGACTGGCTGGTGCACACGGAGCTCTCAGATAATATCACTCTCTCCTTACTTCTCAGGTTGGGGTCCAGGGGCCAGGGAACCCATGGAACCCATTTAGGGGAACCCCTTGCAGGTTTTCAGGGCAGTGGGCATTTTGATGACTGACCTTGGAGGAATGGCCAGTGTGGCATTTTCTCTCTGTCCAACTAAGACACTGGGACATATATGACCCGTTAGTGATGGGTTATTTTAAATTCTCAGCTCATAACATAGGCCAAGCTCACTCTTTCAAAATAGATGTTTCATCAATTCCTCTTAATTAAAACTCTAGTCCTATAATGCGTGTTCTCAGGGAACATTCTGAATCATCTTCAATAATAACTCCACTCTTGAAGAGGCTAATCGTAAGCCTCGTCTATCAAGAAACCAGAAACAGCAAAGTCCTACTGAATGGGCAAACTAAATGTCCCAAACACCATGAACAGTTCATGAATGGTCCTCCCAGAGGCAGGCCAGGCTTTCCCTTACAACCTGTGCACAGGACTCTTGGTATAGCTCTTTAAAAAAATGTTTTCATTATCGTAAAATATACACAGTATAAAATTGACCATTTTAACCGATTTTAAGTGTGCGGTTCTGTGGCATTAAGTACATCTACACTGTTGTGTAATCATCACCACCATCCATCTCCAGATGTCTTATTATCTTGCAAAATTGAAACTCTGTACCCACTAAACATTGACTCCCCAGTCCCCACTTTTCCCCAGCCCCTGGCAAGCCTGTTCTACTTTGTCTGTGAATGTGACTTCTCTGAATAGCTCACATAAGTGGGATCATACAGTATTCGTCCTTTTGTGACTGGCTTATTTCACTCAGCATGATGCCCTCAAGGTCTACCCATGTTGTAGCTCATGTCAGAAATCCCTCCTTTTAATGTGCAATACGATTCCATGATAAGGATTTTGCTCAGCCATCCATTCTTCAGTCGGGAGTGCCCATTAGCAAGCTTGTTCGTTCCTGGCTTGCTGACTCATCCCAAGACCATACACTGATAAGCAGCAGCCTTTGGAGTTTACAGAATGCTTGCACATATCTGTCCTTTCCATTTTGAATCAGCTCAGCAGGAAAGAATTGGTAATTGCCGATGGTCAGTAATTGGCAAAGCAGACACTGAAACACTGGTCTGACATCAAACCCCGAATTTCATGTTGTTTTTTTCCTAGAGAGCTCTGTTCTGTTTAGGCTGGGCTGATAATCAAAATAGAACCTAGAGTCAAATAAAAAACGAGGTCACCCCGAGGCCCCAGCTGGGCCCGGATGAACCCCCAAGCAGTCGGGGTCGGAAGGCACTCAGGGTGTTCCAGCCAGAGGCGATTGGCACTCGCAACAGAAATATTTAACAACAGGTCCGAGATACTGATGCATTCAACTGAACGTCACTTCTGGGGCTAGGGTCCAGTGGGATTGATCGGAGGTGGAGGGAAAGAGCTGTGGCAAGGAGATGAGACTAAAAAATCCATTTTTGGAAATCAACAATAAATTTGACCCCAAGAAAAATTTCCTTTATTGTATATGACACCTACTGCAACAAGCAACACACATTATCTGAATGGGTGAGTTCCTCATTCCCACAGTGGGCTCCATGGTGGCCCAAGATCTGAGCAAGAGGACGAGGTGGTGGGTGGCCAGCGTCCCCTGCCTCCTTTGTGTGCAGAGCCCACATCCGTCCTCTCTTTGGGACTTTAGTGTCCCCATTGGCAAGAGGGGATATTTCCATGGTCCTGAGAAAATGGTACAAAAAGTGAAGGTAGTTAGGACCGCTGGGCAGGGCCAAACCACTGATTGGCCTCAGGTAAGTTGCTCAACTTCTCTGGGCCTAAGTTTCTTCCCCTAGAGGAAGGGTTGGTCTCCTTTAGTTTTCATGTTCTGTGATCCCTCTGGAATATTGATCCCTACTCAACTCCAAAGTGTATGGAGGCTGCTCGTAATTTTATTTTTTTATTTCAAATTAAATTAAATTAAATTAAATTAATTAATTACTTTTCGAGGTGGAGTCTCGCTCTGTCGCCCAGGCTGGAGTGCAGTGGTGCGATCTTGGCTCACTGCAAGCTCCGCCTCCTGGGTTCACGCCATTCTCCTGCCTCAGCCTCCCGAGTAGCCGGGACTACAGGTGCCCGCCACCACACCTGGCTAATTTTTTGTATTTTTAGTAGAGGTGGAGTTTCGCCGTGTTAGCCAGGATGATCTTGATCTCCTGACCTCGTGATCCGCCCACCTCGGCCTCCCAAAGTGCTGGGATTACAGGCGTGAGCCACCGTGCCCGGCGCTGCTTGTAATTTTAAAACACACAAGAACAGGAAACTGAAAAGAATACAGAATTTTTAAAAACCCCAAGCAGAAGAGGTCAAAGAATAGACACGCCAGGTTCCTAAGTTGAATGTGACTGCAGTTGAACACTCAGTTTATTTCTGAGCTTCCTGGCAGCTGAGACAAAAAGGGAAACATGTTATATTTTCTGATAAAAGGGTGCTTCAGATTCTCCTTAGGAGAGAGACCTCTTCCTGGCACTGGAATCTATTACAGTCTTCATATCAAAGGCAGAAAAAACAATGTCTGGCTGAAATTTTGTTAATGATACAGAGGTTTTTTTTTTTTTTTTTAAGGATCCTTTTCATTTTGCTCCTTTATAAAATCTAAGGGCAAAAATATTACATTTTATCCCAGTAAAGGTAGTTCTCTAGTTAAAATAATTTAGTCTATGTATGTTACAGACAAAACTGAGGCCCAATAAATGCTTAATGAATTAACAATCCACCCTGATGAGGAAAAACACTGAGAATCACAGGAATGAACAGTTGAGACACTGTGTCTTGCAAAGGAAGACATCTCAATGTCTTCCTCATTGAGATCAGACATCTCAATGAGGCTGGGGCATTTCTGGGCTGTGACAGTTTCATGTGCAGATCCTCCAAGGAGTGCTTGTTGTGTTATTGAGACCTTGTGTCTTGGTGCTTAGGACAGTGCCAGTCACATGGTGGAGAATAAATATTCACAGTATCATATGTTAGGTTCCAGACACAGAGAATTAAGATCAGAAAGGATCCAAGAAAATGTTTGGTCCAGTGCCCTCATTGGACAGGTGATGATGCAGAGGGCTGTCGCGACCTCAGTACCCATCCCCTAGGCCACCACTCTGCCAAGACCTGGTACCCTGTCCTCTTGGATGGCAGATATGTCTGTACAGTTGAAGAACTGGGTCTGTCTTCCCTCGCCTCCAGAGAACACATGCAAAGGTGTGGTGATGCACTGAGTTATGGGGTCCCGGAGCACAGAGAGCAGCCAGAGGCATCTGACCAGAGCCCAACAGCCCACTCCTGCGAGAGGTGACAGCCCAGTGAAATCGTTCACAAGTGCCACCCATCTGTGGCGAGCATTTGGGGCTCCGACTTATCACCTGAGCAGGGTGAACTTGGCAGGGTCTGTGGGCCTCTGGGGTCAGCATGGGGTTTCGGTAGAGACCCCACATGGGAGCTTAGAGGAGCATTTGCCTGTTCCTCACATGGGTGAGAGGCGGGACGGCAGCATATCCCATCTTCGGGCTGCACTGCAAATAAACCACCCCAGGCAGGTGAGCGTCAGGCTTGGCAGGAAGCTCTCTTGGGACATCAGCTTCTTCCATATACTGTGGCCTCCTGGCTAGGGGCAGGGCTGCAGCCTCCAGCTCAGCCCCAGTGGGTGGGGGGCTCCTGTTTCCATCTTTCACGTTCAGTCCTTGTTAAAGAACGTTACTCAGTGTTTGTCTCTAGGCTGTGCTCCAACAGTTCCTCTGGCCTTTCAGGATGACTGTCCCACCAGCCCGTGATTCTGTTTTAGGTCTTCCTTTGGGCTTACTCCGCATTCTCTTGATTTCCCCTTAAGCTGTGTGTTCTGGCCAGGGATGCCTGCATAGGACACGTACCTACATTTCCCATGTCCTGTTGGCTCACAGGGAGATCTTGTATCTACTAATATGTAGAATCAAATCCATCATCTTTAATTAAATCTATTCCTGGACAGTCCTTTTCCCGGAGTTCCTTTGGATACCACTGGGTGACATCCTCAACCAGGTCTAACTTGATCTGAGACTATTGGAGCATAATTTCTAAAAGTCTGGACAGCCTCCAAAGCAACACGGTGGGTGGCAAGCTGGCAGTTTATGGGTGTGGTGGAGAGTTTCAGGAACCATGCATCTAAGTTGGAGTTTCTCAAAGTGGCAGCTAAGAGCACCTGCTTCAGGATCCCTGCAGTGCTTGTAAAAAATACCGGTTCTCAGGCTCAACCTCTGACCCAGGAAATAAGAATTTCTAGGGGCGGTTTTTGACAATCAGGATTTTTGTCACACAAGACTGTGATTCTGGCGCACTCAAGTTTAGGACCCTCTGCTCCAGTTTCCTAAGGAAATTTCTGACAATTTTAGTTCTTATTTTGCCCTTTCTTGAACTTTAACTTTTAGGTGGAAAATAGGCCTTCATTGAACATACTAAATTGGAAGTTAGGAATAAAAGGATAGCCACTCCTGTTACTGAGAGGGCAGACTGCTGGAGCGGCTGTCAGCTGTTCAGAGCGGGCAGGTGGCTCCCCAGTCCCAGAGCCCCTGGACTGCCCGAGCCCTGTGCCCAGAAATCTTTCTCATTTTCCTCCTTCTATTTTCCTCTTTCTTCTCTGTTCTTCCTCAAAGTCCCGTATTTTCTTTTCCTTATACTCCACCAACTCTTTCTCTTTCTCCTCCTGGTGGTTTTATCCGATGGGGTCAGGTAGGAGAGAGGGAATGCTCCTGAGCTGACAACTGGGGAGAAGGTAATACAGTGGTGGGCAGAGTGTGGGCAAACACCGAGGACTGGTGTCATCCCCTGGAGCTAGGAACAAACACCCTAGGCCTGGAGGACAGGAGGAGGGAGGGTCACTGCAATCCAGAATGAGTTCTGCAGAGGAGCCCACGACACTGTCTCAACTCAACCGAAGGGGGCCATAGGCCAGCCCTGAGGGCACAAAGCTGGGGAGAGCACCTGGAGGGAAATGGAAGATTCCAGTCCCACAGGGAAGGGAAAGAGTCACACATTCTACTGATTCATTTAACTTATTAAGATGCTAACTTCTCTGTTCTCTAATTTTTTAAATGGGTGAGCCGAGTCCAATCTGCAGAGGCACTTTTCTCTTTGGTAGAGAGAGAAGTGGGGGCAGCTGACGGAGGACGGAGGGGAACCTGGGAGGCCTAGGAGCGGTGGGAGATCCGGTTCAAACACCAGCACAGACCGGATGCAAGGCCAGGAATGGAGAGGCGACTCCCACCTGCCTGAGCTCCAGGATCCAGGGGGACAGACCCTGGGTACCAGGGGGAGCAGCAACAGGCCCCTCGCTCACAGGAAAGGCTGGGGGGTGCTGCAGGGCCTCTGCATGTCCACAGGTGGCCCCTGAGCCCGGAGGGCGCCGAGTGAGGGCTGAGGGGCCGAGGTATCCATCTGGGCTCTGATGGAATCTTCTAGGGCTCTGGGGTTCTGTCCAGTGCAGAGCCGAGGCAGCCTGGAAACTGTCCTCCTGCTCTCTAGCGCATCCTCAGGGTGAGCTCTCTGACTTCAGTGGGCTTGTCCCACCTGCACCCACCACCTAAGGCCTCACCCCACCCGCCAGGAGCAGGAGCCTCCTGGAAAACAAATGCAGAGACCAGCTCCAGCACGTCGCTGTAGGTCCTTTGCCCTGCTTTCTTGCTGCTGAATGCAGAGGCTGGCACCGGCAAGTTGCTGCAGACCCTCTGCCCTGTTTCCTTGCTGCTCCGGGACAACCCTCCCCACCTCTTGTTACCTTGCCCACTTCCTGTGATCAGAGCCTGGCCTCCAGCTCCAGGGCTGGGCACTCTGGTGTCAGTCCATTGCCCCAGACCAGGCACCCCACGCCCCCCGACCTCTGCCTCAGTGCTGCCTGCACTGTCCACCTGGTCTTGGCTCCTGTACAGCCTCTTCGGGCAGCCCCAGCCTTTCCAGCTCCCACCTCCTGGCATAGCCCCCAAGAAACATCAGACCCAGGGGCCAGGCAGTTAAGAAGGGCTAGAGAGAGGGCACTGAGGCTTTCTGGGAGGTGTGGGAGTTTCCCACAGCAGCTTATCACGCCCCTACAGTGAAGCAACTCAGGTGTCATCTCACTGGATCCCACAGTTGCCATAGGAGGGATGTGTTGTTGCCTAGTTTACATAGTGAACCGGTTTCACAAATGAGTAAACTGAGCCCCAGAGAAGATGAATGCTTTTCTCATAGATTGCACTGCCAGTGAGTATGGGCAGGAGGGGTCTCTATATCCGAGGATCACGCACTGTCATGCAGACCTATGACGCAGGGATCTTGTTGGAATGCGGGCTGACTCAGCAGATGCAGGGGTGCAGCCTCTGCGTTGCTAACCAGCTCCCGGAAGATGCTGGTATCTCTGCTTCCGAGACCACACTTTGAGTAGTGAGGCTCTAGACCCATGGTTCTCAAGCTTCGTAATTGCCTGGGGAGATTGAAAGATGACTGAGGCTAAGACCTAGCCCCAGAGATCAGAGTGCCACCTGTTTACTGGAAGTGCTCGTCAGGTGATTCTCACAGGTGGCCAAGGTTTAGACCACGGCTTCTCAGACGTCAGTGCGCCCCAGGATCCCCTGGAGGGTTTGTTAAAACCTGGTTTCCTGGGCCCCATCCCCAGAGACCCTATTCTAGAGGTCTGAGGGCAGGGTCTGAGAACTTGCATTTTTATTTTTATTTATGTATTTATTTATTTATTTTTGAGACAGAGTCTCACTCTGTGGTCCAGGCTGGAGTGTAGTGGTGCGATCTCAGCTCACTGCAAGCTCCGCCTCCTGGGTTCACGCCATTCTTCTGCCTCAGCCTCCCGTGTAGCTGGGACTACAGGTGCCCACCACCACGCCAGGCTAATTTTTTTGTATTTTTAGTAGAGACGGGGTTTCACCATGTTGGCTAGGATGGTCTCGATCTCCTGACCTCGTGATCCGCCCGCCTGCCTTGGCCTCCCAAAGTGCTGGGATTACAGGCGTGAGCCACCATGCCCGGCCTAACTTGCGTTTTTAATACATTTCTCGGTGATGCTAATGGTGATGGTACAGGCACTGTGTTCTGAGTGGGAAGGCTGTATACACCAGTGGCTCCCAAGGGTGGTCCATGGACCAGCGGCATCAGCATCACTTGGGAACTTGTTAGAAATGGAAATTCCTGGGCCCTACCCTCGACATACTGAATGAGAAACTCTGTGTTTCTTAGTCAGTGTTTCAGCAATCCTCCCACTCAAGTAGTCCGGATGTACCCGAGGTTTGAGAACCGCTGCTGTGCACCTGGCACGGTTGCTGTGTTTTAGCAATCCTCCTCCCCACCCAAGTTATCTGGATGTACCCGAGGTTTGAGAACCGCTGCTCTAGGCCTGGCATGGTTGCACCTCAGAAGGATCCCAGCTCAGTCTTCTCAGCCCAGGCTGGAAGGTGAATTTGATGCCCTTGAGGAATCCTAGAGTTTGGGAGGTTGAAGGCCGTTTTTTGGTTCCCAGGGGACCAGGTGGCCCACACCTGCTGGGTGTGAGACAGGAATGATGTGGACTCGGCCCGGGCCAGATGAATCATGAGCTCCTCTCCGTTGTGTGAACGGTCGGAAGCAAGAACATCTGTTCAATCGTTCTCACTTTCGTATTTTGTGCGGAGTAAGAGTTAAACTGCCAAATCCCGTCAGACAGCCGTCTGTTGCCCCGGTAACACCCTGCAGCTGCCGGAAAGAGAGAGATGGCGCTTCCGGGCACCAAGCCTTCATTCTCCCAAGTCTCAAGCGAGCTGTTTGGTGCCTTGGTTTTCTGTCTGGAAAGAGGGGAATCGGGAGCCCGTCCCACAGGCCCCCTGCGTGCCTTAGCAGCTCATGTACGATGAGTATGTACCGAGAATGTTCTTGTGTTCCTCCTCCCTGCATTTATGCAGCAAAATGTTCTCTGCGCACGAGGTGCCATGCTAGGTGCAGCAGTCAGCAGCAAACCAGGCAGACAGCTGCCTCTAGGCTGTGTCTTGAGTGGGAAAGTCTGTGGGGCCCCCAGATCCCTGGGGGACCGTGGTGCTCGGAGGAGCCTTCCACCGTTGCTCCCGCATCTCTGTAGTGAGAGGATCGAGGGCACGTGCCCTGCTTGCATCCATGCCCGTAGGGCTGATGTGCTTGCCAGAGCTCAGATGAGCCGAACTGGGAAGGAAATGGGCTTTCTCAGAACTGGCAAGGAAGGACTTAAGAAGGACGTGTGTCCACAGGACCCAGGGGACCCGCCATCCATGAGGCCAGAGCTTGCTGGTGTTCAGGTTCTGGGGCCTTGGCAATATGGTTTCCTAAGCTGAGAGCCCAACAAGCAGGCTTGTGGTCCAGTCCAGTTGGTGGCCCTTGGCCTGTCCCTTTAAGAGAGAGGAAAGGGAAGGCGATGTAAAGAGGAGGGTTGGATCCCTAGTGGAGGAAGCCTGTAAACACACCTGCACGGGGATGTGGATTCTGGGTTTAACAGGGCCCTGGAGCGCTGGCCGGGGAAACTAAGTCCGAATGCAGTTCTCACAGACGTGGGCTATGTCAGGGGAAAGGGCTTTAGAGGATGCTGCAGGTTTAAGCCCAGGACTCATTCCGTGTGCAGTGAGAGCAGGTCTGGCAGCGCGAGTGGGCCCAGCTGCAGCTGCTGGGGAAATCAAGGGATGAGGGGCCCCTGCCCTGACCAGGTGACTCCAGGGTGGGCAGGCAAGATCCCGCGGGTGAGGTCATGTAACTCTGCCAGGAACGGCGGGGACAGGCAGGTGCTGATTGTTGGGAGGACCTCAGCGGGCAGCTTCATTTTTATTTTCAAGACCAGGATGTTGTCCAAATGCCCCATTAAGGTTGAGATGCCATTTTCGCTGACTGAAGTGACCCCAATATGCTCTGGGTGAATTGGGCTCCCCTTGGAGAATGATGTGTGTCATGGTTGTTTCAAGTGCTGAATGTGGGAAATCTGGGTTCCTGCCACTGAGGAACGTCACTTGTGAGTGGTTCGGAGCCTCCAGGTCTAAGCTCCAGCCCAAAGAAGGCTCCATGTCATCAGGACAGCCCCGAGGGGTTCAACGTGCTCCATTTTGCAAAACTGAGCAAACAGGTGTCCTAGAAGGTGTCCTAGAAGCCCCAGGGAAGCGTGGGGGTATTGGGTTTTTAGAACCAACCATTCATTTCTCCCACAACCACAGTCCAATCAAGGTCTTCCCCCAGGATACAGGAGAAGCTCAGGCAGCCCCTGCCCTGGGGAGGTAGGTCAGGGGAGTAAATGCAAGACAGGACCCCAGGAGAAGATTCTCAGAGCTGAACAGCCCATTTGAGGCACAAGATCTTGAGTGGTAGGTACTCTGTGTTGGTGGCCCAGGGCTGAGAGGCTGATGTGCAGTCCCTGCCACCACCCTCTGCGGTAGGGATTATGTTGCCCATTTTATAGACTTAGAAATGAAGGCTCAGGGCAGTGAATTAACTTGCCTAGTGGCACTCAGCTGTGAGCTGGGATTTGAATCCAGGACTGACCCCAGTTCATGCAGTGTTCACATCATTCATTCGTTCAGCAACTACTTAGGAAGGGCCTTCTTGTCTGGGTACCTGGAATCTCAGCACTTTGGGAGGCTGAGGTGGGAGGATTGCTTGAATCCAGGGGTTCAAGACCAGCCTGAGAAGCATAGGAAGAGCCTGTCTCTACAAAACAATTAAAATTAGCCAGGCATGATGGCATTTACCTGTGGTCCCAGCTACAGGTTGGGAGGCTGAGGTGGGAGGATTGCTTGAGCCTGGGAGGTCGAGGATGCAGTGCTCCATGACCATACCGTGGCACTCCAGCCTGGGTGACAGAGTGAGACTCGATCTCAAAAAAAAAAAAGGAAGGGTCTTCTTTGTGTCAGGCCCTGTTCGAGGCACTGTGGATTCACTCTGAGCAAAAATTCCTGCCCGGATTGTCTGGTCATCCCAGTGACAGCAGGAAGACTGGAGGCAGGTATCGAAGCAAAGCCGTGTCTAGGGATATCCATGGAAATGGCTATGGAAAAAAGTACAGCAGATAAGGGGAGGTGGAACATTTGGAGCAGGGCTGCTCTTTTAAACAGGGTGGTCGAGAAAGGCCTCGCTGACACACTGACGTTTGAACAGAGGGGATTGCCAGTGCCAAGGCCCTGAGGCAGAGCCAGTCAGAGCCGACAGCTGCCGGTGTGGCTGCAGCCACATGAGCAGGAGTTTGTGGTGGAGAAGGCCAGCGGGGAAGTGGGGCCTGTGTCAAGACTGTGGCTTGGACTCTGAACTGGCTGCCCCTGGAAGCGCCGAGAGAGGAGAAGCGGGATGTGCTTGGTCTGGCGCTGTTGGGCGTTCAGTCTGCTGACTGCAGGGGTGCCGGGCAGGAGCCAGGGAACCAGAAATGATCGAAGGACAGGCTCAAAAGATAGTCACTATTTAGAGATTCAAAAAGGGGCCACAACTGGGATCCTATCCAGCTTCAAAAACAGATGAACCAGTCCAGGTGCGATGGCTCATGCCTGTAATCTCAGCACTTTGGGAGGCCGAGGCGGGTGGATTACCTGAGGTCAGGAGTTCGAGACCAGCCTGACCAATATGGTGAGACCCCATCTCTACTAAAAATAAAATTAGCCAGCTGTGGTGGCGGGGGCCTGTAATCCCAGCTACTTGGGAGGCTGAGGCAGGAGAATTGCTTGAACCCGGGAGACAGAGGTTGCAATGAGCTGAGATCACGCCATTGCACTCCAGGCTGGACAACAGAGTGAGACTCTGTCTCAAAAACAAAAAAAAACAAAACAAAAACCAGATGAACCAGAATATGAAACTAAACATGGAACAGAGAAGATAAGCAACATTGAACCAAGTTCCAAAAGTTGGAACTTCCTTACAAGTTCCAAAAGATGTAAGACATCGTAAATAAACAAAAATACATTTGAGCCTTCTGGCGGAAATCCTCCCTAGGCTGCAGCCCCGGGAAGAAGGAAGTCAAGTCCTACCTCTCAGAGCACCAGGGGACCTCCCTCTTGGGGTTCACTGCAGCCTGACTCCCAGCCCAGCATGGCAAATGGGGACTACAAGTCAGGGGCTTCAGAAATGTGGCACGATGGTGTCCCCCAAAGCTGGTTAGGGAACAGAGTTGTACTATGTGACTTGATAGCACCTCTATTGTATGATAATATTATGTTTTGGGGTTTTAGGGGAAGCATTTAAACCTACTTATGGTTTGCATTTTCTTACTTCTTTAAAAAGATTGAAAATAAGTCCCCTGTGTGCTTCTAGGAGGGGCCATTTCCTCCCACTCTGTCGCCCCCGCGGAAAGTCATGATTAGGCCAAGACACTTTTCATTGTACTTCAAAGAATAATGCACAGTAAGATCAGCATTTTAAGTGGAGAAGGTGCTTTCATGCCCTTCCCCCAAATAAAAGGGATAGCTTTTACTCTCAGAAAGGTGGTGTATAATAGCTATGCGTTTGTGTTGGATGAATACTAAATGCCCCACGTTATTGTCAATGAAACAATGATTCTTGGGCCTCTCAGGTGGTGGAAGGACCAGCCACTCTCACCGGGCTCCCTTCCTCCTGGCAACGTTCCCCTCGGAAGGCAGGTTCACTCCTGCCTGGCATAAGAACTGGACAACTGTGGGCAAATGAAGCGATGGAGGCTGCATGTTAAAAAGCTAAAAGGAGCAAACCAGAGTTCAGAATCTCATTTTTCCAGCTCCCTGGGCTGCAGTTGCCTGCCTCTCAGACCGTGCACAGTGTTGCCAGGAAGCTGGAGGTGTGCTGGGTCTGTGTTTGCCACCCATGTGGGTGGGACCACATGAAGGAGGTTCTGCCCAAAAAGATAGTCCTGAATTTCTCTTTGGGTTTCTTCATGTACTCATCAAGTGTGGACTGTGTGTTCACTCTGAGCCAAGGCTGGGCCTGGGTTCTGGCTTTCAGTGATTCCACCCCGACTCCTATTTCCCCAGCCGCCCCTAGCCAGCCTCTGAGGATGCCAGGCCCAAGCTCTGCCCAAAAGGCATTCTGCAGCGTTGTCAGTGTCTCTGGACTCACAGCTCCCACTGTCACTCAAGCCGCCACCTCCTCTTGCCTGGAATGATGCCAGTCAGCAACTGGCTGCCACATGGCCTCCAGCGTCCCGGCTGGTGGGCACACTAGAGCCGGAGGGATCTTCTTAATTGGTAAATTGGATCTTGCAGCTTCACTGTTTAAATCTTTTCAGTGGCTTCCCTTTGTACTTAGAAAAAAATGCAACTTCTTCTGCTGGGACTCATCCGCTCACAGCCTTCCCCTCCACCCTCTCTCTGCCTCATGCTCTGCCCCTGCCTGCCATGCCTCCGATACTCACCTTTTGTACCCCAGCACCCGTGCCCTCTGCCCCTCGATCTTTGCCTGGCTGGTTGCTCCTCACTCAGTGTTCAGGACAAATGCTCCTGGCCCTACCCCATCTAGCCAGTCTAGCCCGGTCTTCCCTGTCTTCCCTGTTTCATTCATGGCTCTTATTGTTTGTTTACTTGTGTGCTGTTGACTTTTAATTCTCTCAGTCCCCACTGGAATGCAAGCGATCTCCCAAGCTCCTAGAATTGTTCCTGCCTCTTCACAGGCCCTTACGCTGTGTGTGCTGCAGGAGTGAAAGGGTGATTAGATGAGGGAGTGAGAGGGAATGATACCTCCTGCCTTGGGAATGTGAGGCGCTGGCCTTGGTCTCAGACCTAAGGTTCTGATTCTCAGATTCTCCGTGACCCTGGACAAATCCTTTGTCCCAAAGCCTCAGTTTCCTTATCTGTAAATTGAGAATGATGCCCCTGTGGCTGGGCTGTGTTGAGGATCAAATAAGATAACTATGCAGAAGTGGCAGACAGCTGACCTAGAGTGGAAATTCGATGAGTTTTCATTTCTTCCTTTCTTGTGGAGGCGTGTGAATATTCCCTGATCAAAGGAAAGGCTTCCGTCTCTCTTACTTTAATCATTTTCCTCCCCCGGCCTTCAGAGTAAGCATGCATCTTGACCAGGAGACTGGGGCAGTCATCTGCCAGGGTAACGCTATGACCGTGCCTGATATTTATGGGTTAACGGGCTTGAGAGTTCCCTTGACATCCTGAAGTAGACTGTACCTCTGCTGTTCCTGACCCACCTGCTATACCTGCACCCACCTGCTATACCTGCACCTACCTGCTATACCTGTACCCACCTGCTATACCTGCACCCACCTGCTGTACCTGCACCTGCCTGCTATACCTGCACTCACCTGCTGTGTCTGAACTAACTGCCTAGGAAAAGACCTTTTTATGTTTTCCTGATTGGAAGAGATCTTTAATGGGGCAGTTTGAAGACTGAGTCATGGACAGGGCCAGGATTAGGGTGAGACACACAAGGTGCCAGGTGCAAATTTTAAGGAGGCCCCCCCCTGACCTTCAGGCTTTTGTAATCCCAGGAGCAAACCCTGAGTGTGAGTGCTGCCTTAAATCCTGCACTCTGGGCATTTCATTGCCTCACCGTAGTTCCAGCCCTGGTCACAGAAACTCATGTTTGGAAGGAGAACCACTTCCCACCCATTCTCAGACTCCTCCCAGAGGGTTCCTGCCATTGGAACACCAGAGGAAAGGGCGCAAGGTGGTGTCTGTTCTCAGAGGATTGTTCCTCTGTCTTTTCCAATACTGGATGCTCTGGACAGAATGTTTGTGTCCTGTGAAATTCATATATTGAAGGGTAACCCACAGTGGGATGGTATTAGGTGGGGCCTTTGGGAAATCAAGGGTTTACATGAGGTCATGAAGGTGGGGCCTCAGCAACGGATTAGTGTCCATATAAGAAGACGAGGAGACACCAGCAAGCTTGTTCCCTCTCTCCACCACGTGAGGACACAGCAAGAAGGTGGCTGTCTGCAAGTAGGAAGAGAGCCCTCACCAGGAACCAAATCCACTGGCACCTTCATCTCAGACTTCCCAGACTCCAGAATTGTGAGAAATAAATATCCAGTGTTTAAGCCACCCAGGGGTATTTTGTTATAGCAACCAGAGCTGATTAAGATACTGGCCAAAACCAGTCTCCCTATAACATCTACCCATTTCTCCTATGCCCAGAGGTGGTCTCTGTGACCACCTGTGGGTCACAGAGAACCAGTGTCCCTTTCTACATGGCAAGCCGAGGGGACCGAGTTCCTCTCCCACTCCTGTGGTCTCCAGGCCAGGCCTCACCATAGAGTGGGGAGGGAGGGACACTGGAGAGATCCGGTGACCAGGAGAAGTTGTTCAGTGAAAGCCGCGTGAACTGTCATTATCTGTGCATGAGCTCAGTCCAGGGACCCCCAAAGCGAGCCAACACCCAAAGTGACCCAGGAGAGGTGGTCGCAACTCAGAGTGTCAGCGTCACACTCTGGTTACAGAAGCCCTGCAGGGTTTCCCCCGGTCTGTGGGCAGATTAAGCCATGTTCTCAGGCTTGATGCCTTCCTGTTGAAATGCAGCTGTAGCTTTTGCACAAAAGGTGAGACCCGCTGTCACCATAAAGCATCCAGGCCTTGCTGCTGCTCCCTCAGAGCTGGATAATGACTGTGATGACAATAATAGTTCCTAAGGCTTCTGTTCTGTTTCCTCTCTGCAGAAGTTCTGGAAGCTAAGTTGTACTTTCTCATCCAGTGATGAGCCCATCGTTTCTCTGTAGGACAGAGAAGGAGGAGTGAGTTGCTCCATTTTACAGTTGAGAAACTGCAGGCAAAAATGGCCACTGCCTCCATCAGCGGGCGGCCCAGGCTGAGTCCAGGCTCCTGCCTGTGTCTTCCTCTGTAAAAGGGGAATATTGGCTCCCATGGTGATCACACCCATTTCTACCCTGTCTTTTCTGACTTCTTTCCCTCATGGGTGCTGGCATGCCATGTCTCGGGTGATGAAAGCCTCCCAAACCACTAGCCTTGCCAGTGATATCCAGCTCTCAGGATGACCCCTGCCCTGAGTAGCTGGATGTGGGCCCTCCTGGGAGAATGGCAGCACCAACTGGGCAGCCCATTGTCACTATTGATTTCACCAAATGAAGCACAGTGAAAACGAAGATGAACATTCTAATCCCATAATCGCATTAGTGCCGGCTCTAAAGACTCACATGCTCCCCAAGCCCCAGCACTCAGGCCTCTGTTTCCCAGGCTCTTCACAGATGGCACACAGAGAACGTTCCTTCTCCAGATGACTTGGCTTGGTTGCCATCCAAACGGGAACTTGCATCTCATGGAAGGGCTGGCAGAGTCCATTTGAAGACTATTTTGAGATTCAGGGATTAGGTAAACAGCAATGAGAACTGTTCAGATTTTCCAGTCTGACACAAGTGAGGGAAACTGAGGCCCAGAGAGGGCAAGTGACTTACTGAAGATCACACAACACTAAAGTAGGCCAAGCCACTTTCCAGATCACGTGGGTTTCTTTTTCCTTTCAGTTCAGTAGATTTAGAAAGTACCAAAGTTTAATTACAAATCTAACTATAGTACACCAAGTTTTTTTTTTTAACACTTTGATTCAGTTTTTAAAAAATCACATTGGGGATCATTTTTAGATTCGATATTGTTGTTGGATCCTAACTTGGTTTAGTTCAAGTTTCTGGACCCAAACCAACATGATCTGTGTGGATTTCCCCACTCCCCAGTTTCGCTTGTTCTGAGGAGGGATGGAGAGGCCTATCCTGGGATGAGGAGAGGTCCCCCATTGGTGAGCCCCATTCCTCACTCCTGGATGGCCAGGAGGGATGGGGCCATGCTGCCCAGAGTGAGACTGGGCATCAGCGGCTCTTGGCAGGCGGAAGCTCCATCTGCCCTGCAGTCTCCTCTCATTTTCCTTCCTGTTGGTGACTGCGCCATCAGCATCCCAGGGTCTGCCTATCTGTCTCCTGGGAGCCTGCAAGACATTGATGTATCATCCCCAGTCACTGCATCTTGTCATTGCTGAGGGAGCAGGTGGGGAGAGGGGCACACCATGGGCCACAAGAGGCTCCCTGAGCTCTGTGGACCCCAGGGAGTAGAAGGGCCTGAAGGAAGGGAATGGGGTGTTCCAATGGTGACACGCCTGGAGTAGACTGTACTTGCATCCACCTGCTGTGCCTGAATCCGTTGCCTAGGAAAAGGCCTTTCTGTGCTTTCCTGATTGGAACACAGCTTGGATGGGGCAGGTTGAAGACTGAGTTATGGCTGGGCAAGGTGGCTCCTGCCTGGAATCCCAGCATTTCAGGAGGCCGAAGCTGGTGGATGATCTGAGGTCAGGAGTTCAAAACCAGCCTGGCCCACATGGTGAAACCCAATCTGTACTAAAAATACAAAAATTAAACGGGCATGGTGGCACGTGCCTGTAATCCCAGCTACTCGGGAGGCTGAAGCCTGAGAATTGCTTGAACCCAGGAGGCAGAGGTTGTAGCAATCCAAGATCACACCACTGCACTCAAGCCTGGGTGACACAGCAAGACTCCATCTCAAAAAAAAGAAAAAAATACTGAGTTATGGACAAGGCCAGGACTAGGGTAAGAAAAGCAAGGTGCCAGGGTACACATTTTAAGGAAGCTCTCACCTTTAGGGTTTTGAAGCCCAGAAGAGGAGAGAGGTCTTACCTGTATCTGAGAAGCTGAAGACAGATTAATCCCAGTTTCTAGTTCAATCCCCTTCTGTCCTCACTGGCCACAGCAGAGGTGCAAAGGGGCAGCCGGTCACTGTGCTGTGATTATTGGCTCCAGCCCTTTGAAACCATTGGCACGATGCTTCCCTTTGACATCCGCTGTTCTCCTAAAGGCAATGATGATGCTGGCACTCTCGGAAAGCCCCACGAGGGCTGTAGACTCCTGACTCCTGGATTTGGCCCTGAGCTGTCTTTCCAGTGGTATCTGAGTGCCATGCTTAGCGCTGTCCTCTCTGTCGATAATTGGCTGAGCTCCCAAGTTGAGGCCTGGGCCCTTCATCCTCTCCAGCCTCAGGGAAACTCTTGGCCTTCTTGGGGAACCTCTCTAAGGGGTAGGTGCAGTGCCTGCTTTGTATGGGGTGTTGGGCAGATCCTGAAGATGGGTCTCCAGGGCCCAGGGATAGACGCCTGGCAAGCCACTAGTGTCCACCCCCACCATCCATCCCGGGGCGCCTTTCAGATGGGCAGAAAGTAAAGGAAATGAAATGACCGTGATGACAACCGGAGTGAGGGAGGCCACAGAGGAAGGCTCCGCAAATTCACTTTTGAAGATCAGCCCTAGAAAACTGTAAGAGGAAGAGAGGGTCCCAGCTCCTTTCTGCCTACTTCCTCCTGGCAGCACTGGCCCCCAGGAGAGGACCTGTGAAGGGGAGCAGCAAGGTGGCAGGAGAAACGAAGGCTAGGGAGCCAGGAGCACTGGGCAGGCACATCCCTCTCAGGGCTCAGCCTTCTTCCTTTGTAAAGGGAAGACCTGGGTTCCTGCCCATTCTTCTCCATCTTTCTGTTGTCTTGCCCTCACCCTCTCACCGAGCAGCCACTCAGGGCCCTGAAGCCCAGGGCAACAAGGAATCGCCCCATGGCCACAGCTTCCCTCTCAGCATTTTGTCAAGGCAACATGACATTGAAATAAATACCCAGGGCTGCATGGGAAAAGGAAGTGTCCAGTGTGGGCCTGGATCTCATCCTACCTCTGTTACAGTGAGCCTCAGACAAGTTTCTCTACACACCAACTTCTTCTCTAGAAAGGGGAGACTCAGGCTAGCTCATTCCCATGTTTCTGGCATCTCTGTGGGTGTCTGGCAGGGGAAACAGAACCACATAGCTTGGGTTCACCTCCCAGCTCTGCTGTCTACTACTTGTGTGACCTTAGGCAAACTACTTGCCTCAGTTTCTTCATCTGTAAAATGGGACTATGAAGAATAATGTTACATGAGTTAATACATACGACCCACTTAGACCCATATCTGACTTAGAGTCCTCACTGCAGAAATGTTACCTTGAAAAGGCAGAGAGGCTGGATGTGGTGGTGAGCCCCTGCAATTCTAGCACTTTGGGAGGCCTACATGGGGGGATCACAAGAGCCCAAAAGTTCAAGGCTAGCCTGGATAACATAGTGACACTTTGTCTGTACAAAAAATAAAAAAATAAGAAAATTAGCTGGGCATGTCGGCACACACCTATAATCCCACTTATTCAGGAGGCTGAGGTGGGAGGATTTCTTGAGCCTGGGAGGTCAAGACTGCAGTGAGCAGCAATCATTGTAGGCTGTTCTTGCATTGCCATAATCACAAGTAGATATCCACATGCAAAAGAATGAAGCCGGGGGCTGGGTGCAGTGGCTCACACCTGTAATCCCAGCACTTTGGGAGGCCAAGGCTGACGGATCACTTGAGGTCAGGAGTTCAAGACCAACCTGGCCAACATGGTGAAACCCCATCTCTACTAAAAATACAAAAATTAGCTGGGCATGGTGGCACATGCCTGTAATCCTAGCTACTCGGGAGACTGAGGCTGGAGAATCACTTGAACCCAGGAGGCAAAGATTGCAGTGAGCCAAGATTGCACCACTGCACTTCAGCCTGGGAGAAAAGAGTGAAACTCTGTCTAAAAAAAAAAAAAAAAAAAAAAAGAGAATGAAGTTAGACCCTTACCTTACATCATACAAAAAAAACAAGTCAAAATCATCATAGACCTAAATGTTAAAGCTAAAACTATACAACTCTTAGAAGAAAACATAGGCGTAAACCTTCATGACTTTGGATTAGGCAAAGCCTTCCTAGATATGACACCAAAAGCACAAATGACAAAAGAAAACATGGACAGATAAGACTTCATCAAAATTAAAAATTTCTGTGCTTCAGAGGACACCATCAGGAAAGTGAAAAGACAACCCATAGAATGAGAGAAAATATGTGTAAATCATGTGTTTGATTAAGGACTTGTATCCAGAATAAACAGAGAACTCCTACTCAATAATAAAGAGAAAACCCAATTAATAAATGGACAAAAGATTTCAATAGACATTTCTTCAAAGGAGATATATAAATGGCCACTAAGCACATGAAAAGACACTGAACATCATTAATCTTTAGGGAAATACAAATCAAAACCACACTGTGATACCACATCACACCCACTTGGATGGCTAAAAACAAAAAGACAATAACAAGTGTTGGCAAGGATGTGCAGAAATTGGAACGCTCATTGCATTGTTTGTGGGAATACAAAATGGTGCAGCCACGATGAAAAACAACTTGCTGGTTCCTCCAAAAAGTTAAACATAAAGTTACCATGTGACCCAGCAGTTCCACTACCATGTATATACCCAAGAGAATTGAAAACATATGTCCATATGAAAATTTGTAGATGAATGTTTATAGCAGCATTACTCATAATAGCCAAAAAGTGGAAACAACTCAAATGTCTATCAACTGATGAATGTGATAAACAAAATGTGGTATATACATATAATGGAACATTACTCAACAATAGAAAGGAATGAAGTACTGATGCATGCTACACTGTGGCTGAAACTTGAAACATGCTAAGTGAAAGAAGCCAGCCACAAAAGGCCATATATTGCATGATTCCATTTGTATGAAATGTCCAGAATAGGCTAATCCATAGAGACAGAAAGTAGACTAGCACTTGCCAGAGGCTGTGGTGGAATGGAAGAACAGGTAGCAGCTGCTTGTGAGTCCAGGATTTCTTTTGGGGGTAATGCAAATGTTCTGGGACTAGATGGTGGCGATGGTTGCACAACTCTGTGGAAGTACTGAAACCGGTGAATTATACATCTTAAAGGGGTAAATAAATACAGCTATTATCTAGATTCTTCCCACACTTGTAAAATAAGATGAATAGTGCCAGATCCACTGAATTGTTGCAGATTCAAATATAATAATGTAGGGCTGGGCAACATGGCAAGACCCCGTCTGTGTTAGGTCATTCTTGCATTGCTATGATGAAATACCTGAGACTAGGTAATTTATTAAGAAAAGAGATTTAATTGGCTCACAGTTCTACAGGCTGTACAGGAGGCATAACATGGGCATTTGCTTCTAGGGAGGCCTCAGAAGCTTACAGTCATGGTGGAAGGCCAAGGGGGAGCAGGCATCTCAGATGGTGGGAGCAGGAGCAAGAGAAAGAAGGTGCCACACACTTTTAAACAACCAGATCTCCAGAGAATTCACTCACTCTCTCGAGGAGAGCACCAAGGAAGATGGTGCTAAACCAGCAATCCCCAACCTTTTTGGCACCAGGGACCAGTTTCATGGAAGATAATTTTTCCACAGACTAGGAGGGAGGATGGTTTCAGGATGAGTATTACATTGATTGTACACTTTATTTCTACTATTATTACATTGTAATGTATAATGAAATAGTCATACAACTCACCACAGTGCAGAATCAGTGGGAGCCCTGGGCTTGTTTTCCTACAACTAGATGGTCCCATCTGGAGGTGATGGAGACAGTGACAGATCATCATGCATTAGATTCTCATAAGGAGCGTGCAGCCTAGATCCCTCGCAGGCACAGTTCACAACAGGGTTCACACTCCTGTGGGAATCTAATGCCGCCACTGATCTGGCAGGAGGCAGAGCTCAGGTGGTAATGCTTCCTCGCCTGCCACTCACCTCCTGCTGTGCAGCTGGGTTCCTAACAGGCCACAGACCAGTACCTGTCCATGGCCCGGGGGTTGGGAGCCCTGTGCTAAGAGGAGGCTCAGGTTCATTCATGAAGGATCCGCCCCCAAGATCCAAACACCTCCCACCAGGCCCCACCTCCAGCACTGGGGACTACATTTCAACATGAGATTTGGGCAAGGATACACATTCAAACTGTATAACCGTCTCTACAAAAAATAAAGAAAATTAGCCAGGCATGGTGGCACGTGTCTGTGGTCCCAGGTACGGGGGAGGCTGAGATGGGAGGATTGCTTGAGCTCAAAAGTTCGAGGCTGCAGTGAGCTGTGATCTTGCCCCTGCACTTCAGCCAGGGCAACAGAATGAGACCCTGTCTCAAACAAAAGAAAAGAAAAAACAAATATAATAATGCAAGGAAATAACAGTTCAGCACATCACAGGATGCTAAAGATATGAGAGGTTCTGACGTACTGACTGTATTAGTGTTTGTTGGGGGTTTATGGACTGTGCATACAATGAGCAAGCTCATGGATGATGTGGGTGGTAAGTGGGCCTCTTTCTACCCTGACTGGCTGCCTCCCAGGTCACTACCCCATTACCCAATCACTTCAGAGCGGGAACGTCACGGGGAGCCCTGTGGGTGAACTTGGGTCCCCTTCCTGGGCAGGGGCTTTGAGGCAGCCTCTGAGGCAGGTGGGCTGAGGCCTGGGATGGGGATGGGGGCTTTGAAAAAGCCTGGAGAGGGGCAGGAGGGCTGCAGGAGGTCATGCGGTGGACCTGTGCTGCATGTGCCCTTTATAGCTGGCCCTTCTCCTTCCCACTCCCCTACCCACTGGCCCACGATTTCCCCTGCTGATCCTGGCTTTTTGTCAGCCAGCTAGAGGAGGGCAGGGGGCTGGCTGTGGCCTCTTGGTTCTCCTGTCGTCCCCACTCAGCCCAGCCCTTCTGCAGGGGCCTCTTCCCGACCTGGCATCCCCATAACAGCTCCCACCCCTGCCCCCTCCTTGGTCCGGGCTCCCCACTCCCAGCTCAGGCCAGGTCAGGAGGAAAACCTCGTTTCTCCCTCTCCCAAGGCCACTGACATGCAGCTGGGGTGGCTTCTGCCTGCCCTGCTTCACACCTGCTGTGCTGCAGCCTACTCAGAAGAGGCAGCGCCTCCCAGATCCCCACTCCCAGGGGAAGATGAGACTCTGCAGCAGAATAGAATGATGGGCCGTTAGGTCATGGACCAGCCTTCCCATTCTGCAGGTGAAGACCCTGAGGTCCGGGGAAGTGCAGGGCCTGTGTAAGAGGGCGAGATCAGAAAGAAGCCACGCAGTGTGAAACAGACTGGTAGCCACTGCTGCTGTTTGGGACTAAAACCAAGTTCTTCCCGATGCAGCCGCCGGTGATTCTGTCTTCACTCACACCTTCCCAGCCTTCTCGCTGTTCCACTGCAAGCCCATTCCCCTCTCTGAGCTGCAGCCTGGCTGTTACCCATGCGTCGCTCAGCACCTTGTCCCATTCTGGTGTGCGTTCCCCTGTCACCACTGTGGGGGCCACACACACACACACACACACACACACACACACACACACACTTTTCTATCCCTCTGTTTTATTTTCCCCACAGCCCTTGTCCCCCCAGCATGAGTTTCCATCACTATTTGCTCATTTGAACACTGTCTACCTCTGCCTGGAAACTGAGTTCCAAGGGCAGGGACCTGGGGTGCTGTGGCCTCCAGACTTCCTGGGCACCTGCTGCAAGGGACTGGCCCAGAACAGCAGCCCTGGGGTCGTGGATGGATGGGTGACTCCGTTTGGCGCTTGACAATTTGGAAAGCACAGGAAGATGTCAGGGCATGCTGCTGAGGTTCTGGGGCTCACAGTCAGTCCTGGATGGAAATCCCCACTCCCCATCCTTGCTGTGTGGCCTTGGGCAAGTAACTCGCCGTCTCTGCACCTCAGGCTTCTCATGTGTAGAAAAATGTAGTGACAGTACCTGTGCAATGGGCAATTGTGAGGCTTTGATAGGACGGCATCTGAGAAACTTCTAGCAAGTGCCTGACCTGGAAATTGTTCGACACTTACTCCTGGATGACCTTGGGAGGCGAAGGTTTGGCCAGCAAGCCAAGGGCCTGTGGTGCTTGCCAACTGGATTGTATGTTCTCGCCATCTCAAGTTCTTTTCGGAATGTGCTGAGGTATGAACGAATGAATTATTAAGCATTCTCTGTCTAGGAGACTAGGTTTTCTGTTCTTGTCAGGGGTTTTCAGTCTAAAACTGTTGTGGGGACACATCCCTTTCTTCATTTGCACCTGCTGGAAGTCAAGAGAGAATCCAACAAGAGACCCTTGTTCCCACTTTATGAACGAGGTGACTGAGGCTCAAGATGCTGATGTGGTTCTTGCCATCTCGGGGCTGGTCAGTGGGAATGACAGGAAAGGCCTGGACCCGTGATCTCTGCCACAGTCACTCTCCCCCAGCCCTGGCACAGGGAGGGTGTGCACTGCTTCTAGCAGCGTCTACAAAGAGCTTGTGCTCCCTGGGAAGATAAGGCCCTTCTGAGCTTGGGCCTGCACCACACTGGCTTCAGCAGGGACCTAGAGGAGGCCGGGGGCTGGGAGCACAGAGGAGCCCCCTGCACTATCCATTGGCCAGGTGGTAATGGCAGCAGGAGGTGAGGGCTGCTGGCCTGCGACAGGGTGGAGTCCCACCCCCACCTGTTGGGAAGCTGCCCCTCCCTCTCTGCTGTGACCTCTTCTGGTCTCAGCCACCCCTGCTTCCATCCATCCTGCCATGTGTCACGTGTGCATGCATTCCTGGGCCAGGAAGGGTGGAGGGGCAAGGATGCTCAGTTTCTGACCTCAGAAAGCTTCCAGCTACAGCCCTGTGGGTTCTTTTTCATGCAGAGGAGCCAGGAGAGGGCCATGTTGGAGGAGCTGTGAGCACAGCCTGCAGACCCCTGAGTCAAGACAGGCCGGGCTGGGAAAGGGACTCCTGGCCTGTGGAAGTGGGCTCTTGCTCCAGCTCAGAGATGCTGCTGAGATTCACCTCCTCCTGGAATCTTCCTCGTACCCTCCCCCACCCAACTTGGGCTAGGAGTTCCCTCCTCTGCCCGCAGAGCTCCGCATGCTTTGGGCACAGCATAGTCTGTAGGCACCGGTCCTTGACTTTGTGTCCTTGGATGAGTTACTTAATGGTGCTCGCCTGTTTTCCCATTATAAAATGGGGATAACAATAGACATACTGCCTTCAGTCACATTCCCCTGTTAGGGCACTAACGGTGTACCCCGCTAGCCTCGAGTGTCTGGCTCCGTGCCTGGCACATCGGAGGCCTCCCTGCCCTCTTTTCAGGTGACTGTTCTAGGAACAGGTGTGCCTTCCTGGCTACAGAGCGAGAGCTCAGAGCCCTGGGGAGCTCCAGCCCTGGCTCTGTGGTGCGGCTGGCCCCTGCTCTGCATCCTGCCCAAGTCTTTAAGGGGCTTGCCTGCCTCCCAGATCCTCATCCACGGTGCTGCTGCACCCCAGATGAAGGGGGCCCATGCTGGGTCACCAAGGGCAGGCCTTCTCCCTGCAGGGCAGTTATGGAGAGTCCACTAAGCTGGCCCGTAAGACTCAAGGCATGGAAGGGACTTAGAAACGGTTGTTCCGCTCTTTATCTTATGGAGGGAGAGGCTGGAAGCGGGAGTAGGGGGGTGATTTGCTCCAGGCCCTAGAGCCGGCCCCTGCAGAGGCAGCCCCGGGGCCCAGGCTCCTCCAGCCAGGGCTCACCCCGGACTCCCAGGGTGTTTCCAGCAGCATGTGGAGTCATTGACAGGAGAGGGCAGCGTGAGTGTGAGGCTCACTCAGTGGAGATGTGGCCTTTGCTGCCCTGCCCTGGGTCTGACTTTGAGGAGCCTCCCGAGAGGCTGCACCGCCCAGGGCAGGGCTGGGAATTGACGATCACCTGAAGATTTGGGCTCTAACATGTGGACATGTCACTGGCCACCCTGGGTGGTGCTGTGCCTGCTCCAGTAAATGCCATCTTCTATTTTGAGCCTGTTTCCCAGGGAGGCCCCAGGAAGCAACACAGATGAGCACGTCTCCCCAGAATGGGGCTGGTGGACACGGATACAAGGAGGGCTTGATAAGCCACAGCTACACGCCGGGGTGGGAGTGCGGGGCCTTCCCCATGGGAAAGCAGCCAGCTGGCAGGGGGTGCTATAGGAGAGGACAGACCGGGTCCTGCGGGGTGGGAGGTGCTAGAGGACGGGACAGACCAAGTCCTGCAAGGATAGACCATGTCCTGTAGGGTAGCTACTGAGGTGGAAAGATCTCTGGGCAGCCGACCAGGCCCTACAAGGTCTGCAGAGTCAGCTTCCAGGGCCTGAGAGCTCACCTGGTCTTCCCCGCTCATCTCACTCATAAGGAAACAGAGGGGAAGAGCTTCCTGAGGCCACTCAGCCAGGGCAGGGGGCAGCAGAACATAGCAGCCTTCTCAGCTGGCAGAGGTTTCAAGAGCCTAAGTCTCAGCACACACAGCAGATGCGGTGCTGGGCATCTTCCACAGGACCAACAGCTGCATGGGATGAGGGACAGCAGGACGCTGAGGGAGAGGGTCCATCTGCTGGATGGGGACGGACCTGAGCCCAAATCCCAGTGCTCTAGTTCTTTTGCTGTGTGACTTTGGGAAAGCTTCCAAACCTCTCTGAAGCCCAGCCTCTTCACCCGTAGCTGGGATACTGGTTTTACCTCATAGGGTTGTTGCGAGGAACCAGTGAGATATTTTGGTGGTGCCTGGCATACAAATGGCAGCCGCTGTTATATCCTGAGTCCCCTTCTCTGAGGGAAAGGTGGCTGTTCTGCAGTCACCTCTCCCCTAACCCACCCTGCACCCTGGACTTCGCTACACGACTTTGAAAGGCATTGCTTACCCAACCCCAGGCCTGACAGCCACTTCGTCCTGGAAGGTAGGGAGCATTTGAGCCCAGAGCTGAAAAGATCGCCCAGGAATGCTCTTCCCTTGGCTCTTGGGTCCCTACACCTGTGTGATCACATCCCCAAAGCCCTCCTGGCTCCCAGAATGAGGGAAGAACTGAGCAAAGCCCAGAGCAAAGGGATCCACAGTTCCCCTGGCGGTGGGCTATTCTCAAGGGACTGGATGAAAAGACTGGGACTTTTCAGCCTCAAAAACTGAAGGTTGGGAGAAGATGCAGGCAAAACATCTTAGAAGGTGAATGAAAGATCACCTTTGCCAATACTTGGGTCCAGGGCCCCGGGGGCTACACTGTGCTGTCTTTCTCCTCCTTCTTTGGGTGTGGATAAGTGGTGCTTCTCTTCCCTGATCACCAGGGCCCTCTCGGTCCTTTCTGACCTTCCTCTTCCATGGAAGCTAAGCGATGGTGTTTTCAGGGCTCCATCCTGGGCTGCTCTCCCTCGATCCCCCAGGGTGACCCCAACCATGCCCCCAGATTTGCCATCTGTGCTTCCTCAACTCCACTGTCTGCGTCTCCAGCCTGGATTGTCATCTTGTGCTTCATAGAGACACCCACATGGGCTCCTGGCCTGGATGTTCCCCAGGTATCTCACTCCCAAACCTTTGCTCTCCTTTTCGGTTCATCCCGGTGAATGGCAACACCATTCTTCTGGTCAACCAAACCAAATCTCAGACGTGTCTTCATTTTCTCTCTTTTCCTCTGCCACTGAGAGCTATGATTTCCCCCTTGCCAGCATTACCACCATGGAGCAAGCTCTCCTCACTCGTAGTCACTGGGACTACTGTGTCTTCCGCTCCAACCCGTCTCCTTAGCTGCAGCCAGAGTGAGCCTCCTGATATGTCATCCGATCCTCACCATGCCTGCCTCCTGCATGCATCTGTGCTCCCAAGGCCCTTTCTGTCCAGCCTGGCCTCCCCTTATTCCTTCCTCTCTGTCCCCACGCAAACCTGGGGGATTTTGACCCTCTGGAACTGTCTACCTGGAGCACCCTCTTTCCCTTAGCTGCTTGGTGAACTCTCCCCCATCCTTGAGCACTCAGCTCCAGTGCCTCTGACAGAAATATCTCATGCCTAGCAATGGAATTAGAAGCCTTTCCTGCTGTTCCAACCTGGTTGCCAGCTCCTGAGGCGTGTCTCCTCCACTGGTCTGTGAACAGCATGAGGGCAGGGACCATGCTGGGTCCCCTGTGCCTACCCCAGTGCCTGGCATGCAGTAGGAGCTCAATTATGTCTGCTGAGTGCTTGAATACGACTGAGAGGGGTTTGGATCACTGCAGTAGAGTGCTCAGGAATGTCATAAAGGGGCATGTTTCGGGCAGATTGTGGGACAGCATAGCCCGTGGGGAGGGAAAACCGCAGGACACGCCACCCCCAGGGGTGGGAGGGGTGGATGAAGAACCTCCTTAGTGTTTTAGATAAATTCATTAATGATAAGCCCACTATGGGCCGAAAAAGGACACTAGAGTGTTTCAGCCACACCCTGCACCCGAGGCTTACACAAAGGTACAAGCACGTTCACTGCCCCGGGTGGGCTCTGCGGCCTGCTCAAGTGCACGTGTCCATTACACGATTCAAAGCCCCCGGTGGAGTGTGGGTGACTTCACTTTGGGTCGGGGGTCCTTTCTCATAGCTGTGAAGTGCTTGGATCGGCTATTCGTGTTTCCCTCCTGTGGGCAGAGCTGATCTCACCCCCATTCCCCATGGGCAACCTGTGTGCAAATAGGCTACTTGGGTCCCGGCAGATTGTGAGAAACCTGCAGGCAGAGTGACACAGGGAGGTGTGTGTGGTCAGGAGGTCTTTAGCTCTAATTTGAGTGAGGTCAAAGTGGCCTTCCCATCACGGGCATGGCAGCGGTCACAACTCCACGCTGAAAAGCACAGGGCGCCACCAGCAAGGGGCTTGTCTTGCTTGGTTGGAAAGACTGCGTGGGGGCTAGAGAGGAATCAAATATGGTCCCCATATTCACTCCGGGCTGGGGACTTAGGCTGGGCTGGAGAGTGAGGCTTGGGGACAGGAGAGGGAAGGGAGGAGCAGAGCTGGGAGTTCCCATGAGCTGCTCTGCACACCACCCAGCTCTCGGGTTCCCCAGCAGAGACGCGGCGCTAGGCCAGAGCCTGGAGAAGGGAAGGGCTATGCGTACCCTTGCCCTGGGGGCTTGGAATAGAGACATATGAACTTTCCAGAGTTCAAGGATTTTATTAAGAAGTCGCCCAATGTGTTCATTCATTCATTAGAGAAAATCAAATGCCCGTAAGTACCAGGTCGTGTGCCTCATATCAGAGATATAAAGATAAACAAAAAACCAAAACCTTGGTCTCTGTCCTTCTGGGAGCTTAGATGGGGAAACAAAGGGAAACCCACATTTCTCCAATACATGGGTTTGCCAAGGCATTTTGGTCTTTTCATTTTTATTTATTTATTTAGAGATGGAGTCTCACTGTGTTGTCCAGGCTGGAGTGCAGTGGCGCCATCTCGGCTCATTCCAACTTCCACCTCCCGAGTTCAAGCAATTATCCTGCCTCAACCACCCAGTTAGCTGGGATTGTAAGTGTGCACCACCATGCCCAGCTAATTTTTGTAGTTTTAGTAGAGACAGGGTTTCACCATGTTGACCGGGCTGGTGTCGAACTCCCGACCTCGTGTGATCCGCCTGCCTTGGCCTCCCAAAGTGCTGGGACTGCAGGTATGAGCCACCGTGCGCAACAGCATTTTGGCCTTTTTAATCAAGTTTTTTGCAACGTCTTGGAGAAGGCCCTGGTGGCCTGAGCCCTACTTGCTGGTGGGGAAATGAGGCTGGGTGGCGTGGGGTGGAGCCAGTTTCACCCAGGCAATGCTCTCCCGAGCCCTGGGATGTTTACAGAAGTCACCCTCGAGCTTGACCCTACATCCAGAAAGACTGCATGGCGACATCTACCGCATTCTGCCTCTGTTCCCAGAAGCCTCAGGGTGCTTTCCTCTGCCATGTCCCCTGGGACCCTGGAAAGAAATGCCATTTCATCCCTGCGTTCTCAGACACGCACCCTGAGCCCACCACCATTGTTCAGCTGATGTCAGAGTTGCTGGAAAGAAGGGCTAAAAATAGCTCTGATTTCATGTGCTCTCAGGGGCTGGGTTGGCAGCTGGGCCCCCACCTTTTCCTTGTACAGAAGGCATCTCTGCTCTAGGGTATGTTGGGGGCAGGGTGTGTGCAGGGTGGAGGGGAGCATAGAAGTTTCTCGGAGCCAGCCAGGCTGTGGAAGGTTCTAGAGTCTGTTCTCATACTCAGAGCCTGTGAACCAGAGGTCTGTGGCCCTGGTCGCGACTACATGGGTGCACTATTTCTGCAGGCCCTTTGAGCTGCCAGACCTTGCCTTTGAGTGGTTCTGAGGGAGTCTGAAAGTGGGATTTGTGTGTGGGTGTGGGGCACCCTGCCCTGGCGTGTGGTGAATGGCTGGAGTGGAGAGGATTTTCGAAAGGTCAGTGGGTCCAACCCTTGCCTTCTGTGTGCTGGGAGCATCTGACAGGCTTGTTTCTGTTTTCTTAAACCGTCCAGGGAGTGGCAGGAAACCTGTCTCGTTGTAGGTTCAGCCAGCTGTGCTGGTCACTAAGTTCTTTCTTGTGTTCAACTTAAATCTTTCCTGCTTGAATTTAGCTGCTGCCCTTGTCATCTACCTTTGGGAACATCTAGTTCATGTATTTGAAGCTAGGGTTACAGGCAGCTCTTGGTCGAAGGAGACCAGCTTCCATCAGAGTCATCAGAGCCAGGGCCAAACTCAGTTGAGTGCACTCTGATTGGATGTTACCGTGGTGGGCTGGGGGGCGCTGGGTATATGGATGCCCCTCCTGGAGGTTAAAATCTAGCTGGAGAGGCTTCTCTCTTCCTAAGGGACTGGGTGCAGGGTCGGGGGTAAGGAGAGCTCGGATATTGGAGGAGAGAGGCCTCCAGGGGTGGGAAACAGAGGCAAGCACCACATCCGGGCAGGGGGAGACTTCCGCCTGGCTTTAGCAGGGCCATTGAACTCCCTGATCCTCAAGGTGTCCTCATCTGTAAAATGGGGCTCGCAGATGATCTCATTCGTAGGGATGTGGACAGGAGTGAATGAGAAGGGGAGGGAATGAGAAAGAGAGCAGGAGAGCATAGTGCCCTGGCGTAAAAGCACTCCCTCTCGAGTCAACCACCTGGGTATGACAACCTCTTGCTTTGGTCTCTTCATCTGAGGACGATCGTAAGGCTTTCTGGAGGCTTAGATGAGTTGATAGATGCAGAGCACTTCCATTGTGCCTGGCACAGAAATGGTAGCTACGGGAGGACGAGCGAGGGGTGGAATTTCACCAGGTCAAGGAGCAGGCATGTGGCGGGGAGCTTGGCCCTACACAGGGATGGATCTCCAGGCAGAGGGGACAGCAGGAGCAGATACAGAGAGGGGCACCCTTAGGAAGGTCTGGGGATGGAGAGCCATGGATGTGGCTGGAGGGCAGGAGCAGGTGTGGGGAACAGGCGAGAAGGCAGGTCGGAGTCAACCATGGGAGACTGAAATCCAGGGTGCAGAGGCAATGGAGGCCACCCAGGTTAGTTAATGTAGCTTAGCCTCAGCTTCCTCATCTGTCAAATGGGACTGCTCATCATAGTAACTGCCTGTTTGCCTGGCAAAGGCTTACAGGCTGTACCCTGTCCTGTCTGTGACAACTCAGACAGTGATGCTCCTGAGATCTGCGAATGGTATGGAAGGGTGCCAAGGCCTTTTGCTCTGTCCTGCAGCCTGCTCCTGAGCTATGATCCCAGGAAGCAGCCACTAAGGCTCTGACCTGGGCAGAGTGAATGGCAGGCAGGTAGAAGAGCCCCAGATGGGTACGGTGCCTACCTGGGCCATGCAGCCTATGGTCCTGAAGCCTTCCTGGCCCCTCCTTTGAGCCATTTTCTCCTGCAGCCACTGCATGTGGCCACCTGGCCCTAGATCCTTGCAGCCCTGGGATGTGGTCAGACATGGAAAGGACAAACAAGGAGGCAACTGTTCCACCCTCAGAAGGATGCGTCAGGCAAGAATGCGATCTTGCAATGTCTCAAAAGCTTTGCTGTGGCTGCAAGTCAGGACTCCAAAATAAGCTAGGCATGGGATAAGGGAAGGGGTTGTAGCGTGAACAGGGCGGAGGGAAGGCAGGGGTGATTGGCAAGTTGGGGCATCAGTGAGCTCGCGAGTGCTTTGGCGGCAACTAGCTTAGCCCTGTTCTCAATAATGGGGGCAGCGTGGCGCTGAATTTGGAACACCTGGATCTGCTCACATAGTGCTTACTTCGTAATTTGAGGGCTCCTGCTGTCCTCTCTGAGGTGAGTCCAACAGCTGAATGTGAGTTTGGCTTTTTGCTCTGTGTGCCCGGTCTCTCTGCCTCCCTGTGGAGGCCACAGTGATGGCGAGTGACCGGGAGCAGGCAGTCCTGGGAGCAGGAAGTCCTGGGAGCAGGAGGGGAAGCACAGGCAAGAGACCTCGCCCACAGCAATCCAGGCTGGCTGTGGACTCAGGGCCGTGGCGGATGTGACTGTGTGTCCACACGTATCTGTATAGATGGAAGCTGAGCTGTGTGTTGCATGTATGGATATTTGGTAGTTTGCATGCGTGTGTGCTCTGTCAGACACAATGCACCTGTGTGGAGTGTGACCATGTGGGTGGATGTACTTTGTGTTGAGTACGCTGTGTGTAAAGTGTATGCATATTGTGAATGCCGTGTGTGTATGCAACTGTGTGTGATATGTTCGAGTGTGTGTGTTCATGTGGGAGGTGTGTGTATGGGTGCGGTTGTGTGTATGTGTGAGATAGTGCACCTGCATCCTCCCAGGATAAGAGTAAAGATGGTTTGAGTAAAAATCCCTCAGAGGGGATAACTGTGTCATTATCAGCTTCAGAGAAAAGCTGTGCTCTGCCTTTAAGGTCGGCTTTCGGAGTCTTTTTGGAAAGAGCTTGAACAGTTCTTGGCCACAAAGGGGTCGGAGTGCAGCCCACAGGCCTGGCTGCTGGGGCAGAGGCAGCCGTGGAAGGGCCGTTGGGGTTCTATGTGCTGCTGTGACTTTGGGCCTGGGGCCTCCAGGGCTCCCTTTGTGAGCCCAAGGGTTGCATTTGACATGTTCTAAGGCCCTGCTGGTCGAGGGTGGGGGGTCTCAGCTCCCCAGCCTCCTCACAACCTCCACAGCACTCAGCACCCATGAGCCCCCAGGCCACGTAGCCACACAGACTGTAGGCTCTGAGGTCAGGAGGCTGGGGCTGAAGCCCAGCCCTACCACACAGTCCCTCAGCACATGCCCTGTGGGTCTTCCCAGGAGCAGGCCTCTGGTAGGGGCTGGGGACCCAGTGCAGGGCAAAATCAGGCTCAGAGACTGCCTGCGGGGCTGAAGGTCCTGCAGGAGTGGCCGAGCTTAACCTCAGCTCACACAGGTGCTTGGCAACAGCCCAGTGCATGGGGTCAGCAGACCCAGCTGGATGCCATCAGCCAGTTCCTTTGCCTCAGTTTCTCCATCTCCACAGGGCCCATGGTGCCCATCCTGGGGTCAGGGCAGAAGCAGGAGGCCTTGCAAGTGCTGAGTGCTCCTAAGCGGTATCACTTTGTGTGGTTGTGGTTGTGACACCGTCCCCTCTGTTCCTGCCCCCAGGGAACCAACCTGCAGACAGTCAAGGGCTGAAGGGTTGCCTGGGGAGGGGGGCACAGGTGGAGGGTGTCGGTGGGAGGAGGCTGTGAACCCGGAGGAAGGACAGGAGAGAGGGTAGAAGGAGCCTGTTGGACAGGGCCTGGAGGGGTCTCCGTGTCATAAGGCAGTGGGAAAGGTGGCCTCCTCAGACTCCTCTCCACTGAGTCTCCTCCAGGAGTCATCGAGGAGCCCCCTCACCTCCTCCCTGGGTGTCTGAGAAGCCTGGCCCGGTGGCCGAGTCACTGTGGCTACAGGGACCAGAGCTATGTCCCTGCGTGACCCCAGCCTTGGCATCCTGTTCATAACCAAGCCTGGAGCTGATGGCAAGGAGCAGCTGAAGGGAAGGGGCTGCCCTTCTGATCGATATCTGGTGGAAAGAATCAGTGGGTCACAGCACCTACCACATATGGAACAAAGCAGTTTGCTGGTGATGGGCCCGCCGGCCTATTGCAAAGGGGATGTGTGTGACATCTCGGGGTACAGCTGGTTGTCGCGTACAGGTTGTTTGTGTCCTGAATATGTGACACTGCTGCTGGCCAAGGCAGCTCCTGGGATAGTGGGGAGAAGCCACTGGTGAGATCTTGGGAGCCCCAGGAGGAGGGTGGGACCTGTGTTGCGTGGCTTTGAACCAGCTCTGCTCCCGGACCAGCCGTCTGCAGGTGCCGACAAAGAGATCAAAAAGGGGTTTCCCCTGCGGAACTCAGCCTTCTGCTAGGGCTTGCTATGCCACTTGGGGGACACAGGTGAAAATCGGGGCCTACTATGGCCTCTGCCCAGCCAGTTTCCCATGGCTTCCTGGGGCTGCAGCCCTCCTGGTTTGGCACATGGGCTCTGGAGGGAATGCTGTAGGTTGTCCACAGTGACTACTGCGGGCCCTGAACCTGGAGCCCTGAAGGCATGAGCTATGTGGCATTCTTGAATGTTGACCAAGGAGGAAAGCTAAGTAACTTACAGTGAGAGTCCTGTGAGTGTGGTGCCCAGACCTGCTTTGTTCCTGCTCATGATGCCACCTCTCAGCTTAGGCACTTCCCTCCCTCCCCGTCTCTCCCTCTCCCTTCCTCCATTTCTTTCTTTCACTAATGTGGGTCCAGGGCACACCATGTGCCAGGCGCTCTGCTACATGAGGGGCCATGCCAGTGACCAGCACAGACATGGTCCTGCCCACTAGGCCCTCCCTGGAAAGGTGCACATTGCATTACACGTCGACGCAGGATTTCTCGCAAACACTCCAGGTGCTTCTCAGGTGCAGCCAGGATTGACACCCCTTGTGCTACGATGTGCACACTCAGGGGACACACCTGGGGGAGGGGGAGGCTGGCTGCTGTGGACCCCCGAAGCCCAGGGAGAAGCTGGAGATGCACAATGAAGAGCAGTTCTCCCAAGGACGCCTGACAACCTCCTAGGCAGCAGGGCCCAGCCCCTGGCCTTGGGAATGTCTTCTGAGGACAGCTCTGCATTGCTCACAGTGCCCAGGAGGCCTGAAGGTGGGCGAGGCCCCTGGTCTCTGGTCGAAAGCAGAGCTCTGCATTAGGGCAGGAATTTCAAGAACCCAGCGACTTAGGGGAAGCTTTACGAACCAGCCTGGAGTCTTAGGCCCCTTCTGCGTGACCACCACTCCCAGGTGGGATACAAGCGCTCATAGAATCAGGTTTCTGAATAAGCCGCTTGAGGGGTGAGAGCTAGAGATTGCTAAGGCCACTGGGTGCAGGTCAGGTGCCCAAGTAGGCAGTGAGGTCACCCCTCTCAGGAGCTGGCTTGTCCCCAGGGGCCTGGGTCTCTAGGATAGGACTGTGGGAGCAGCTGTCCCTTAAATCCTGGTGATCCCCACCCATTTGTTCCTCGAGCAGGTCAGCGTAGCCTTGGGAAGTCATCAGTAGAGTGTTCCTCTCAGTCACTGGTCCTTGGGGCCAGGCCCAAAGAGACATTCGTTAGGAGGGAGAGAAGCAGGAACTGTGGTGGGCGGGCCTGGATTCTTCTCTGCCAGGGCTCTTCCTGCCCTTCCTTCCTTCCTTCTTGCCTGGTTGGGCCGGTCAGCTGTTTACTGGGGAGCGGAAGTTCTGAAGCCCTCATACTTGCTTGTGCTGGGAGTGAAGTTTCCTTTGGGCCTTTCCATCCAGGGTTTGTGAGCTCATTCCTTCCAGAAGGCTGCAGAAGCAGGTCCTGGGAGAAGCAGGTCCTGGGAGAAGCAGGAAAAGGTCCTTGCAGATAGTGTTCGGGGACAGATGGATTTCTTGCGGCCCCACTGAAGCTTAAGCTTTAGGGCCCCTCACTTTTACGGGCCTCTAATGGGACCCTGTACTCAATTTTGAATAAGTAATTTTGTATTCTTTTTCTTTACATTTTTTAAAAATTTAAGATTCTTTTTTGGACAATTTTGTAAATTAACATTTACATAGAGTAAAATTGACTTGTATGTGTGTTTGTAGAGGTCTTTGAGTTTCAGTGCATACGCGGATTCACATAGTCACCACCATAATCAGCTCACAGGACAGTTCCACCACCCCAGAACACTCTCCCATGTGCCCACTTTTAAGCAAATCATGCCTTAATTTCACTCCCTGGGAACTACCAATCTGTTCTCCATCCCTCTGGCCTTGCAGAATATCATATAAGTGGAATCACACTGTATATAACTATCGAGACAGACTTCACTCATTTAGGATAATGCCTTGGAGATTCATCCAGGTTGTTGTGTGTGTCAGTGGTTTGTTCCTTTTTATTCCTGAGTAGTATTCCACAGTATGGATTACCATAATTGTTTATATATTCACCTGCGGAAGGATAGTAGGCAAGTATGAAAAGAACTGCAGGGGGGAGGAGCCAAGATGGCCGAATAGGAACAGCTCCGCTCTACAGCTCCCAGCGTGAGCGATGCAGAAGACGGGGGATTTCTGCATTTCCATCTGAGGTACCGGGTTCATCTCACTAGGGAGTGCCAGACAGTGGGCGCAGGCCAGTGGGTGCGCGCACCGTGCGCGAGCCGAAGCAGGGCGAGGCATTGTCTCACCTGGGAAGCGCAAGGGGTCAGGGAGTTCCCTTTCCGAGTCAAAGAAAGGGGTGACAGACGCACCTGCAAAATCGGGTCACTCCCACCCGAATATTGCGCTTTTCAGACCGGCTTAAAAAACGGCGCACCACGAGACTATATCCCACACTTGGCTCGGAGGGTCCTACGCCCACGGAGTCTCGCTGATTGCTGGCACAGCAGTCTGAGATCAAACTGCAAGGCGGCAGCGAGGCTGGGGGAGGGGCGCCCGCCATTGCCCAGGCTTCCTTAGGTAAACAAAGCAGCCGGGAAGCTCGAACTGGGTGGAGCCCACCACAGCTCAAGGAGGCCTGCCTGCCTCTGTAGGCTCCACCTCTGGGGGCAGGGCACAGACAAACGAAAAGACAGCAGTAATCTCTGCAGACTTAAATGTCCCTGTCTGACAGCTTTGAAGAGAGCAGTGGTTCTCCCAGCACGCAGCTGGAGATCTGAGAACGGGCAGACTGCCTCCTCAAGTGGGTCCCTGACCCCTGACCCCCGAGCAGCCTAACTGGGAGGCACCCCCCAGCAGGGGCACACTGACACCTCACACGGCAGGGTATTCCAACAGACCTGCAGCTGAGGGTGCTGTCTGTTAGAAGGAAAACTAACAAACAGAAAGAACATCCACACCGAAAACCCATCTGTACATCACCATCATCAAAGACCAAAAGTAGATAAAACCACAAAGATGGGGAAAAAACAGAACAGAAAAACTGGAAACTCTAAAACGCAGAGCGCCTCTCCTCCTCCAAAGGAATGCAGTTCCTCACCAGCAACGGAACAAAGCTGGATGGAGAATGACTTTGACAAGCTGAGAGAAGAAGGCTTCAGACGATCAAATTACTCTGAGCTACGGGAGGACATTCAAACCAAAGGCAAAGAAGTTGAAAACTTTGAAAAAAATTTAGAAGTATGTATAACTAGAATAACCAATACAGAGAAGTGCTTAAAGGAGCTGATGGAGCTGAAAACCAAGGCTCGAGAACTACGTGAAGAATGCAGAAGCCTCAGGAGCCGATGCGATCAACTGGAAGAAAGGGTATCAGCGATGGAAGATGAAATGAATGAAATGAAGCGAGAAGGGAAGTTTAGAGAAAAAAGAATAAAAAGAAATGAGCAAAGCCTCCAAGAAATATGGGACTATGTGAAAAGACCAAATCTACGTCTGATTGGTGTACCTGAAAGTGATGCAGAGAATGGAACCAAGTTGGAAAACACTCTGCAGGATATTATCCAGGAGAACTTCCCCAATCTAGCAAGGCAGGCCAACGTTCAGATTCAGGAAATACAGAGAACGCCACAAAGATACTCCTCGAGAAGAGCAACTCCAAGACACATAATTGTCAGATTCACCAAAGTTGAAATGAAGGAAAAAATGTTAAGGGCAGCCAGAGAGAAAGGTCGGGTTACCCTCAAAGGGAAGCCCATCAGACTAACAGCGGATCTCTCGGCAGAAACCCTACAAACCAGAAGAGAGTGGGGGCCAATATTCAACATTCTTAAGGAAAAGAATTTTCAACCCAGAATTTCATATCCAGCCAAACTAAGCTTCATAAGTGAAGGAGAAATAAAATACTTTACAGACAAGCAAATGCTGAGAGATTTTGTCACCACCAGGCCTGCCCTAAAAGAGCTCCTGAAGGAAGCGCTAAACATGGAAAGGAACAACCGGTACCAGCCGCTGCAAAATCATGCCAAAATGTAAAGACCATCGAGACTAGGAAGAAACTGCATCAACTAACGAGCAAAATCACCAGCTAACATCATAATGACAGGATCAAATTCACACATAACAATATTAACTTTAAATGTAAATGGACTAAATTCTCCAATTAAAAGACACAGACTGGCAAGTTGGATAAAGAGTCAAGACCCATCAGTGTGCTGTATTCAGGAAACCCATCTCACGTGCAGAGACACACATAGGCTCAAAATAAAAGGATGGAGAAAGATCTACCAAGCAAATGGAAAACAAAAAAAGGCAGGGGTTGCAATCCTACTCTCTGATAAAACAGACTTTAAACCAACAAAGATCAAAAGAGACAAAGAAGGCCATTACATAATGGTAAAGGGATCAATTCAACAAGAGGAGCTAACTAACCTAAATATATATGCACCCAACACAGGAGCACCCAGATTCATAAAGCAAGTCCTGAGTGACCTACAAAGAGACTTAGACTCCCACACATTAATAATGGGAGAGTTTAACACCCCACTGTCAACATTAGACAGATCAACGAGACAGAAAGTCAACAAGGATACCCAGGAATTGAACTCAGCTCTGCACCAAGTGGACCTAATAGACATCTACAGAACTCTCCACCCCAAATCAACAGAATATACATTTTTTTCAGCACCACACCACACCTATTCCAAAATTGACCACATACTTGGAAGTAAAGCTCTCCTCAGCAAATGTAAAAGAACAGAAATTATAACAAACTATCTCTCAGACCACAGTGCAATCAAACTAGAACTCAGGATTAAGAATCTCACTCAAAGCCGCTCAACTACATGGAAACTGAACAACGTGCTCCTGAATGACTACTGGGTACATAACAAAATGAAGGCAGAAATAAAGATGTTCTTTGAAACCAATGAGAACAAAGACACAACATACCAGAATCTCTGGGATGCATTCAAAGCAGTGTGTAGAGGGAAATTTATAGCACTAAATGCCCACAAGAGAGAGCAGGAAAGATCCAAAATTGACACCCTAACATCACAATTAAAAGAACTAGAAAAGCAAGAGCAAACACATTCAAAAGCTAGCAGAAGGCAAGAAATAACTAAAATCAGAGCAGAACTGAAGGAAATAGAGACACAAAAAACCCTTCAAAAAATCAATGAATCCAGGAGCTGGTTTTTTGAAAGGATCAACAAAATTGAATGACCGCTAGCAAGACTAATAAAGAAAAAAAGAGAGAAGAATCAAATAGACACAATAAAAAATGATAAAGGGGATATCACCACTGATCCCACAGAAATACAAACTACCATCAGAGAATACTACAAACACCTCTACGCAAATAAACTAGAAAATCTAGAAGAAATGGATACATTCCTCGACACATACACTCTCCCAAGACTAAACCAGGAAGAAGTTGAATCTCTGAATAGACCAATAACAGGAGCTGAAATTGTGGCAATAATCAATAGTTTACCAACCAAAAAGAGTCCAGGACCAGATGGATTCACAGCCGAATTCTACCAGAGGTACAAGGAGGAACTGGTACCATTCCTTCTGAAACTATTCCAATCAATAGAAAAAGAGGGAATCCTCCCTAACTCATTTTATGAGGCCAGCATCATTCTGATACCAAAGCCGGGCAGAGACACAACGAAAAAAGAGAATTTTAGACCAATATCCCTGATGAACATTGATGCAAAAATCCTCAATAAAATACTGGCAAACCTAATCCAGCAGCACATCAAAAAGCTTATCCACCATGATCAAGTGGGCTTCATCCCTGGGATGCAAGGCTGGTTCAATATACGCAAATCAATAAATGTAATCCAGCATATAAACAGAGCCAAAGACAAAAACCACATGATTATCTCAATAGATGCAGAAAAAGCCTTTGACAAAATTCAACAACCCTTCATGCTAAAAACTCTCAATAAATTAGGTATTGATGGGACGTATTTCAAAATAATAAGAGCTATCTATGACAAACTCACAGCCAATATCATACTGAATGGGCAAAAACTGGAAGCATTCCCTTTGAAAACTGGCACAAGACAGGGATGCCCTCTCTCACCGCTCCTATTCAACATAGTGTTGGAAGTTCTGGCCAGGGCAATCAGGCAGGAGAAGGAAATAAAGGGTATTCAATTAGGAAAAGAGGAAGTCAAATTGTCCCTGTTTGCAGACGACATGATTGTTTATCTAGAAAACCCCATCGTCTCAGCCCAAAATCTCCTTAAGCTGATAAGCAACTTCAGCAAAGTCTCAGGATACAAAATCAATGTACAAAAATCACAAGCATTCTTATACACCAACAACAGACAAACAGAGAGCCAAATCATGAGTGAACTCCCATTCACAATTGCTTCAAAGAGAATAAAATACCTAGGAATCCAACTTACAAGGGATGTGAAGGACCTCTTCAAGGAGAACTACAAACCACTGCTCAAGGAAATAAAAGAGGATACAAACAAATGGAAGAACATTCCATGCTCATGGGTAGGAAGAATCAATATCGTGAAAATGGCCATACTGCCCAAGGTAATTTACAGATTCAATGCCATCCCCATCAAGCTACCAATGACTTTCTTCACAGAATTGGAAAAAACTACTTTAAAGTTCATATGGAACCAAAACAGAGCCCGCATCGCCAAGTCAATCCTAAGCCAAAAGAACAAAGCTGGAGGCATCACACTACCTGACTTCAAACTATACTACAAGGCTACAGTCACCAAAACAGCATGGTACTGGTACCAAAACAGAGATATAGATCAATGGAACAGAATAGAGCCCTCAGAAATAACGCCGCTTACCTACAACTATCTGATCTTTGACAAACCTGAGAAAAACAAGCAATGGGGAAAGGATTCCCTATTTAATAAATGGTGCTGGGAAAACTGGCTAGCCATATGTAGAAAGCTGAAACTGGATCCCTTCCTTACACCTTATACAAAAATCAATTCAAGATGGATTAAAGATTTAAACGTTAGACCTAAAACCATAAAAACCCTAGAAGAAAACCTAGGCATTACCACTCAGGACATAGGCGTGGGCAAGGACTTCATGTCCAAAACACCAAAAGCAATGGCAACCAAAGCCAAAATTGACAAATGGGATCTAATTAAACTAAAGAGCTTCTGCACGCAAAAGAAACTACCATCAGAGTGAACAGGCAACCTACAACATGGGAGAAAATTTTCACAACCTACTCATCTGACAAAGGGCTAATATCCAGAATCTACAATGAACTCAAACAAATTTACAAGAAAAAAACAAACAACCCCATCAAAAAGTGGGCGAGGGACATGAACAGACACTTCTCAAAAGAAGACATTTATGCAGCCAAAAAACACATGAAGAAATGCTCATCATCACTGGCCATCAGAGAAATGCAAATCAAAACCACTATGAGATATCATCTCACACCAGTTAGAATGGCAATCATTAAAAAGTCAGGAAATAGGAACACTTTTACACTGTTGGTGGGACTGTAAACTAGTTCAACCATTGTGGAAGTCAGTGTGGGGATTCCTCAGGGATCTAGAACTAGAAATACCATTTGACCCAGGCATCCCATTACTGGGTATATACCCAAATGACTATAAATCATGCTGCTATAAAGACACATGCACACGTATGTTTATTGCGGCATTATTCACAATAGCAAAGACTTGGAACCAACCCAAATGTCCAACAATGATAGACTGGATTAAGAAAATGTGGCACATATACACCATGGAATACTATGCAGCCATAAAAAATGATGAGTTCATGTCCTTTGTAGGGACATGGATGAAATTGGAAATCATCATTCTCAGTAAACTATCACAAGAACAAAAAACCAAACACCGCATATTCTCACTCATAGGTGGGAATTGAACAGTGAGATCACATGGACACATGAAGGGGAATATCACACTTTGGGGACTGTGGTGGGGTGGGGGGAGGGGGGAGGGATAGCATTGGGAGATATACCTAAGGCTAGATGATGAGTTAGTGGGTGCAGCGCACCAGCATGGCACATGTATACATATGTAACTAACCTGCACAATGTGCACATGTACCCTAAAATTTAAAGTATAATAAAAAAAAAAAAAGAAAAAGAAAATAACTGCTAAAACATTTGTGCACACATTTTTGTGTGGACATAAGTCTTCATTTCTAGAATACCTAGAAAGGGAACTATGGGTCATATGTGGAGAGTATGTTTAACTTTATGAGAGACTGTCCACTGTTTTCCAGAGTGTCAGAAGCATTTGCATTCCCACTGCAATATATGAGCATTCTAGTTGCTCTGTATTCGTGACAGCACTTGATAGTGTCAGTGTTTTTATTTAGCCATTTTAACAGATATGAAGTACTATCTCATTGTGGGGTTTTTTTCACTGTGATTTTAATATACATTTCCCTATTTACTTGTAACGTTGAGCTCCCTTCTCCCCATGTTTATTTGCTATTGTGTATCCTCTTTGGTAAAATATCTGTTCAAATCTTGTGCCCATTTAAAAAATTGGATTGTTTTTTTCTAGTGAGCTTTAACAGTTCTTTGTTTATTCTAGCTACAAGTTCTTTGTCTGATATGTGATTTGCAAATATTTTCTCCCAATCTGTAGCTTGTCTTTTCATTCTCTTAACAATGTCATTCACAGAGCAAAAGCTTTTAATTTTGATAAAGTTTATCTTTTTTTTTTTTTTTATGGATCATGCCTTTGCTGTCATTTAAGAACTCTTTGTCTGATACAAGGTACAGAACCACTCCTGCAGTTTCTTCTTAAAGTTTTATGGTTTTACACGTTAACCTATGATACATTTTAAGTTAGTTGTTGCATATGAATGACTTATTATTACTACATCATTTGTTGAAAAGACTATCAACATTGAATTGTCTTTATCCCTTTGTAAAAAACCAATTGGCCATAATTATATGGGTCTTCTTCCGGACTCTTCTGTTCTGCTGATCTATGTTTCTCTCTTGGCCAATGCTACACTGTGCTGTAGCTTTATAGTAAATCCTAAAATCGAGTAGTGTGAGTTCTTCAAATTTATTCACTTTTAGAATTGTTTTGACTATTCTAGTTTCATATAAATTTTAGAATTGGCTTGTCTGTATTTAAAAAAAAATTCCACTTGGGTTTTTATTGGAACTGTGTTACATCTATAGATTAATTTGAGGGCAATTGTCATCTTACTATATTGCATCTTCCAATCCCTGAACATGGTATGTCTCTGTATCATTTAGGTTTTCTTTGATTTCTTTTATTAGCATCTTGCAGCTGTGGCATACAAATCCTGCATGTTTCAGTAGATTTGTCTCTAAGAATTTCATTTTCGGAGCTAATTTAAGTGGTATATATTTTTAATTTTTAAATTTTCAATTATTCATTAATCATTTATAGAAACGCAATTGACTTTTACAGGCTGACCCTGTATTGTGATACCTTGCTAAATTAACTAATTATTTATATGAGCTTCTTGCTTAGGATTGCTTAGGATTTTCAATCTAGACAATCATGTCATTTACAAATAGGGACAGTTTTACCTCTTCCTTTGCAATCTGCATATACTTTCTGTATTTATTTTTCTTGACTTACTGCACTGAACAGGACTTCTAGTATGATGTTGAATAGGAGTGGTGTGTGTAGACATCATAACCCTGTTCTTGATCTTAAGACAAAAGCATTCAGTCTTTTATCATTAAGGAAGATAACTGGGAGTTTCCATAAATGCCCTTTATCTACATAAGGTTAAGGAAGTTCCCTTCTATTTCTAGTTTGCTGAGAAAATTAATGGATGTTGAATTGTGTTACCTTTTACTTCTGTATCAATTGTTATGATGTGTGGTTATTAATGTCATAGATTACATTGATTGATTTTTGAATATTGGACCAGCCTTTCATTCCCAGGATAAACCCCAGTTGGTTCTGGTACATTGTTCTTTCCATATATTACTGGATTTAATTTGCTAATATTTTGTTGAAGATTTTTGCATCTATGTTTATGGGAGATGTTGTCTGTAGTTTTATTTGCTTGTACTGTGTTTGACTGGCTTTTGTATCAGAGTAATGCCGGCCTCATAAAATGAATAGGGAAGTGTTTCTTCCTTTTTTATTTTCTGGAAAAGATTGTGTACAGTTGGTGCAATTTCTACTCTGTTTGGTAGAATTTACCATTTTCCTTAAAGAAGGGTTCTCTAAGCCTCAGACCCCACAAAACATGAGCTTACCCCTGTTTGGGGCTTTGAAGGTGGTTTGTTATCCACAATCAGAGATTTCAGTGCTGTTTCTGACAGTGTCATAAGAAGCAGCTGGAGACTGTGGGCCCAGATAGGTGAATGTTTAGCCCCCTGCCCCTTGTAGAAATCACTTATTTTCTACCCCAGCCAGTCTTGGGCAGAGCCATAGCCAACCTCAGAGGGGCAACGTAGTTTGGACGAGACCTCTGATTTTCCTGAACCATGACTGACGGTGTGGCTTCAGGGAAGTCACTTAGTCTTTCTGAGCCTCAGACGAGCCAGCAGGAAAAAGAAGATGACAACCGTGTCTCCCTCAGAAAGCTGTGCTCAGAGGACTAGATACTTCTGCTGGAGGGAACAGGAGCTTTAAACAATTCCATGGCTTACAAAGTAAGGAAAGGAGATAGAACTAGAAAGATATAAGCAGAGTGGGCTGGAGGGAACACAGGAACAGGGCACCTCAGGGAGCAGTAATGGCTGCCATCTGCATGGTGACTTCTAACCTCCTGTCTGTGCTCACAGGCATGGTCTTATTTAAGGCCCCTGTGACCCTCTGAGGGGGCACTATGGTATGCATTCATTCGTCCATCATGTCCTGGGTTCTACTCTGGTCTAGGCATTTTATACATGAGGAAACTAAGGCTCAGAGAAGTTAGGAAATGTCCCTCAAGGTAACACAGCCAGGTGGCAGAGCTGGAAGGGAGCCCAGGTGTTTTGGGCAAACTCCTTTCTTCCCCACTGTCAGGCAAGTTGGACTGAGTTCAGAAGTAAGGAGACACATGGTCTACCTCTGGGAGGTGCGTGGGCAGGAGCAGTCAACAGCACTGGCCCCAAAGCCAGACTGCCTGGGCTTGAAGCCCTGCTCAGCTACTTAGCTGGGAAGAGCAAGGCGAATGTTTTAACCTCAGTGCTTCAGTTTGCTGTCTGTAAAATGAATATTGGTAGGTAATACTGCACCTGTAAAATGAATAATTAGTAGGTAATATTGCAGCTACCTCATAGGGGTGTTGTGAGGATTAAATGAGGTAATATGTGCCAAATGCCCATAATAGAGCCTGGCACAAGTGAATGTCACACAAACATGAGGCATTATTGTTTATAAAGATGCTAGGCCATCCTTTGTGCTCTGTGAGGTCACTCACCTGAAGAAAGACAAAGTTATAAGATGTTGACAGAGGCTTGGAGATCCCTCCTGCCTGCCCCTCCTGTGATGGGAATAGCGGGGCCCAGCCATGGGAGGTGACTTGCTCAAGATTGGCCATTCCCGCAGACCATAGACCAGGCCCAGCTTTCTTGAGACTGTGCTCCATGAGGACACGTGGCGTTGCTGCTTTCACCCCCGTGTATTTCATGATCCGAGGCTCTTAGGGCAGATATGGCGTGACAGGAGGTGACACCGACTTTGGGAGCAAGTCCGGGAGAAGAGTTGGTGTCTTCTCTCCCAAGAGATACCTTCCTGGAGAACGGTGCGGTAAGCTTTCTGGAACCCGCCTGGAAGGTGGAGAAGGAGGGGGCTTGGAGGAATGGCAGCCAATCCTGAGTCTCCTGCCTTGGTTCCCCCCTCGGAGCGCACCTCTGGGCTTGCACTCCGCGCCCTGGCAGAAGAGGGCGCGGGCCTGTGGGATGAGATCACTTGCCTGGAGCGGCGTTTCCGCGACGCTTAGGGTCTGGCGCCACCGTGTGGCCGCGGGTCGAGGCCGCTTCTGCAGAGGGGATGGGAGACTCAGCAGGAGGCGGCTGGCAGCGCAGCCTCAGAGGTCACCCAGGAGCTCCGGATTTTACACACAGGAAACTGAGATCCCGAGGGAGAGCAGCGCTGGCCCAGGGGTTTAGGGGGGACATGGCTTATGCCTTCCTCCCACCCCACCCATCTGCCTCGTTGTTTCTTGGCAGCTCCTTAGATCTTGAGGGAGACAGACACCAGGTAAAGCTAGGAGGAGGAAGAATCCTAGAGCCTCGAGGACAGCAGCAGCCGCGTGATCGCAGGAGCTGCCAGGATCCTCCTGCATGAGAGGCAAGGGCTTTGCACGTGTTGTGGTGGACAAGCAAGGTCATGGGGTCAGGCCTGGATTCTGGTCCCGTCCGGGCCCCACAGCACTGAGTGACTGAGGCGGCAGTGGCTTGCGTTCTGGCACCTGGGCCCTCCACTATAAAGTGGGGGTTGGACTAGACCTCCAGGGTCCAGACCTAATTATATTGCAAACCAGTACCCCTCGGTTGTGTACTGTGGACCCAAGGACTTAAGAGTAGCAGAGGAGGGACTGAGCCGGGAGCAGTTGGAAAGGATGAGCATTTGCATTGAGGCTTGGCTGTCAGGAACTCCTGGGCAGGGCTGTGATCAGTCCCTACTACAGTCCCAGAGGTGCCTGTGCGGGTGACCCAGGAGGCACCATGCTGTCCAAACGGTTTTGCCTGGACTCTAGTGCCCTCTAGGCCCCAACGTCTGCTTGCTAATTGGCTCAGGGAGGAGTGGCACCCTCTTTGCCTACATCCACCCTGGCTCTTCCCACACCCTGGGGTGCTCACACCCAGGAGAGCATCAAGATTGGCTCCTCCTGGCAGGCATCCCAGTTGAATTGGTGTATTCTGGGCTTGTTGTTTTCCTTTGCCCCGGCCTTGGTGGGCAGAGGGGCCTGTGGCTTTGGGAGAATGTGGCGTGGAAGGGTAGAACTGGTGCTCCCTTTGCCTGGTAGGGCAAACCTGGGTGAACCTGAGCACTGGCATTACTGACCTGGGACCCAGATGGATAGGGTTAGTGCTGCCATATAACCATTCCTCCAGCTGCTGGGCCACCTGTGAGGCTGGAAGAAGCAGAGTCTGTAGTCTGAGTACCCCTGAGACCATTAGGTTTGCGGTCTGGGGCCTGGAGTGATCTGTGGCTCATGGCTTGTGTGCTGCAGGTGCCACCTGTTGAGAGAGCCGGGTTTGGGTCACAGGGGGCAGCTCTGATCTGGGAGACACACGGCACTGAGGCTCCACTCAGCACACAGCTCTCCTAGACATGGGTGCCAAAGATCTGGGCACGCAGCCCTGCCTCGGTGCTTCAGCTGGAGCATTCATGTCCCCTGATGCCCTGCCTCCCCGCACTGCCATCACGGTTGATCAGCCTGGCCCTTCTATCACCCTCCATCAGGGGCTCACCCTCAGCCCCTCCCAAACTACCGATGATGACATCTGCTTCCAGGAACCTCGCTGCACACATTTCTTGCTGCCATCATCTCTTCCAGGCAGTCCTCTCCTCAGACCCCCAAGTTTGACACTGCTCCCTTCACCTTTGCTTTCCCCTTCAGCTCCCTCCTACTTCTCTGTCTCTCCGTGTGTGTCTGTCTCACTGTCTATCTCTATGTCTCTGCCTCTATCTCTCTGGGTCTCTCCCTCCCCCTCTCTTAGTGACTGTGAGCTCTGAGACTAGGTGCAACCTCCCCCTTCCTCTTCCTGAGCCTCTTCCCTGGTTCCTTGATTTTGTGAACTCACGGGCAGGGGCCCAGAGCAAGGCAACACCTAGTGGAAATGCCACAGTCAGCAGGTGGCAGAACCTTGAACAGAACCAGAATTTGGTGGTTTATTTCATGCTAGAGCCTCAGTTTCCCCATGTGTTGAATGGTGATAACCAGACCTGACCCGCAAGGTGGGCCAGGGACCCCAAGAGACTGTATACCTGGAAGGACCTGGCCTGGGGGGCCTGGTGCCCCAACCTTCCTCCCATATCCCTCCCTGATGGGGCCATCATTGCAATGCCAGCCTCACTCTGGTTGTCAGTAAGATTGCATCTCTGCTCACCACAGGGGTTGGGTCTGGAGAGAAATGAGGCATCCATTGCAGCTTCCCTGGCTGGGTGCCTTCAGGATCCAGGCCCCCAAAGGGCCTTAGGAATCTAGAGAGAAGCCGGGCACCCCTCATCAGATGGTGAGCGGGGCTTACTGCACCTGGCATGTGTGTTTGAGGTCACCCTTGTGGCTTAGTAGCGGCGTGAAGAATGGGTTGTTCTGGGGTAAGAGTAGACAGTGGAGGACCAGTGAGGAGACTCCGGCATCCCTCCAGGCAAAAGGGGCAGTGGCTGGGAGCCAGCTGGTGTTGTGGCAGTGACAGAACAGACCATCCGGCAGCCCTGAGTGTGTTCTTGGTAATACCTGAGGCCAGCTGGGCCTGGATAGGGTGTCAGCCATGCACTGAATCTTTAGGAGTCAGGCTCAGCATTTCAAAGGGCACAGTAGTGGGTCCTAGAATGTCCATCCCACAGGACAGTCAAGGACAGGCATGTGGTTCTCTCCCACTGCCGCTGGCACCCAGTTTACGGTTCCTGTTTTTGATCCTGACTGGGCCCACAGAGCTGTGCACTGTGGCCCTTGCTTCTGGGTGAGCCCTGTCCACAACCTCTACCCTGGCCCAGACTTGGAGCCTGTTGGCTGAGTTTGGATGGTGCCTTAAGTCCTTCTCTTGCCTTGGAGACACAGTTCCAGAGAGTTCCGGTGAAATTGAGGCTGGGGTTATTATATGACCTGGGGAGATGCCGACTGTGCATATCATCTCACTAATCTTCCCATGCACCCTGCGATGCTCTCATTCTGTCCCCACATGAAAGATGAGTGACAAGGACACAGAGCTGGAATAACTAGTTCAAGATCCCCCACTTAGCAAGTGATGAGTCAGGCCTGCTTGACCTGTGAACCTTGCTCTTCCCCCTACCTGCTTCCTTGGCCCCTCAGCCCTCCCACACAGAGCCTGGGAGTGGTCCTGAGAGGGCGGGCAGCGGATCTGCTCCTGTGTCCTGGGCCCTGCTGGGACGGAGACTCCATGGCAGGCCCTGGGTCCCCCTGATGTCCAGGGAGGGTGTCCAGTGGCCTGGATGTGATCCCTACTTGTTCCACTATCCGGCGACAGGAGCCTGTGCAGTGGGGGTGACCTTTCTGAGCCCACGCTGTTTCCTGTCTGTATCATGTGAGAACCATACCCTCCTACTTACCACCTGGGCATGGCCAGCCAGCGAATGGCACGTAGTAGGAGCTTCAGAAATGTTCACCCGCTTCCCTTCCTTTCCTCCTCCAGAACAACAGAGGTGATAACCTTGCTGGATTGTTTCCCCCCGGGGTCCTGAACCTGAAAGCCCACCCCTGTCCCGGAGCTCACCTGAGATGCCTACCTGCAGGCCCTGGCAGGGCATCTGGCCCCACAGTCTCATCTTCCAGATGAGCAAATGGGAGACCAGGAGGAGGAAGACCTGCCTAGGGGTCCACGAGGGGTCAAATCCTTTCCTGACCTGCCCCGCCCCTCCCCCATGCCTCAGCATCATGTCCTTTTGCCGGGAGCCCCCCAGAGCCCCGTCCAAGCCTCTGGGAACTTCAGAGCATAGGGCGTGGGGGGGATGCTGAGTCTCTTGGTTTTGGGGGGATGGCAAGGGTCCTCTGGAGCCCCTGCACCCACCCATGCTCTCTGTGTTCTCCCCATCTCTCTGGGCAGGTATATCCGCACCATGTACCTGGGGATTCAGAGCCAGCGGCGGAAGGAACACCAGCGACGCTTCTACTGGGCTATGATGTATGAATATGCAGACGTCAACATGCTGCGCCTCCTGGAGACCTTCCTGGAGAGCGCGCCCCAACTGGTGCTACAGCTCTACATCATGCTCCAGAAGAACAGCGCCGAGACCCTGCCCTGTGAGTGCCCGCCGGCCGCGCCCCGCCACCCCGGCCTGCCCTCCACCTGGGGACCACGGCCGCCTCCCACACACTTCGTGCCTGGCACGCTCTGTGGGCATTGCCCATCCTGCCCTGAGTCCCCAGGACGCCCGGCCCCGAGTGCAGTGCTGACGGGGCCCACACCACACTCAAGAGCTGCACAGGCATGTTCTGAATGTATGTGGGCTGGCTTGGCACCTCCAGGCCACTTCGTCCATGTGAGCAGAGCAGAGCCAGCCGGGTAGAGGGCTCTGGGTCTCCCCATCAGGGGCAGTGGCCCCTGTCCTTGGGTGCTGACCTGAGCCAGGCATTTGCACATCTATGGGAGGGGAAGCCACAGACCAGAGATAGCGTGGGACCACAAGGGGCCGTCATATTGGGCAGCACTAATGGTTTCAGACCCTTTAAACTGTGGTGCTCTTGCTTCAAACCAAGCTCATGTGTAAGCCCCATTTGTAAAGCAGCTTAAGTAGCTCTGTTCAAGTTCCAGCAGGGGAGAGGGCCCAGGAGGAGGAGGGGCTGGAAGCAACAACACATGGGGTGACATTTGAAGGGATGTCATGGGCAAGAAGGATCATCCCAAAGTGTAGAAGTTGCAGGGAGATGCTTATCCATTCAACAAGTGAGAGACAGTCCATGGAGCCATGCATGAACTGTCTTGGGAGGTACGGAGTTTATCATCAACTGGAGTATTCAAGGCAAGAAGTTGCTGAAGAGACTCAGCCCAGAAGTTCCTGACTGCAGAGCGCTCAGTGAGCGTGTGTAATCTGGGTAGCCAGGCAGCCATGAGGAGGGGTCTGCCGTCCATACCCCAGCTCTCCCTGGCCAGCAGTACCTCCTGGTCTCTTGTATTCTCACCTCCAGACCCCGCAGGTCCTCTTGGTGCCCCAGGAGGCCCTCCGTGTCACCACGTTCATGGACACCCACACGGACCTCCTCACCAATGTGGTCTGGCAAGAACAGCCACGCTGCCCCAGGCCTTTCTCTAAACAGATGTGCCTCCTTACTTTTTCCAAGCTGGCCCTCTGTAGGCTCCAATCCCCCTAGGTACTTAGGCAAAAAGGGGATTTAATCTTCAAAAGCCAGTGGAAGACTGAGCTGTTCAGGCTAGTAGCTTGCTGGTGGCATTCAAAGCCTGGGGACCTGGTTATGAACCCAGATGTGCTGCTGACAGGCTCGCCTGTCCTATACAAACTCGGCTCAGGTGAAGCCTCATGTCCCATCTACTGAACCAGAACAGCCCTCAATGGAGGCTGTCTGGTAGAAAAAGGGGCCCCAGGGTATCTGTCCATCCCACAAAATGCTGGCTGCAGTCCTGCTGGTCCATCACAGAAGCAAGGAAAAGGGGCCGTGTGACCCTTGGAATGGACACAGGGAAAGCCAGGCCTGAGACCCACACTGAGCTGAGGGACCAGTTCCGCCCTTTGACAAGGCTTCAGGAAGCATAAGCTGCATGCTCAAGGCAGCCACAACCTCTGTTTTCTGGGCACCCACAGAAGCAGGAGGGGTATGGGGATCTTCAGCAGGTGCTGCCAGTGGGGTGACACCAGCCAACATCTGCCCTTGGGCATCTGCAGTCCTCACTGTCAGGAAGAGGCCCCAGGTGGCCCAGGGGCTCCAGCTTCTTGGAGTGACAGCCCAGCTGGTGCCTACAGGATGAGCAACCGTGGCCTAGAGAGGAGAGCTGGAAGGAGCCAACTTGATGTCCGGCTCCAGCTGGGACATGCAGAAGCTAAGCAGGAGGCCTCGAGGAGGATGGCAGGGCTGACCACTCATCTGATCCCTCCCTTCTTTCTTGGACACACCCACATGCACACATACTCTCTCCTGGGCACTGAGAAGAGCTTGGGAACACAGGGAAACCTTGGTGATGCTCCATCTTCAGGATGCCTGAGGACCCAGGCTGTATGCTTGGCAACGAACTGGTGTGATTGGCTGCCCACAGCTGCGGCCATGGGAGTCCCTGCCTCACAGGATCGCTGAGAAAACACATGGTGTGAGCATGGACAACATGCAGCAGTTTGAACAACATCATTTGTTCTCAGTGCCAGGAGACTCACATGATGATTGATTCTGGAGCAAGACCAGCATCATAGGGATGTCTTTGAAATGAGCATTCTTGCTCTAGAAACCTACCCATAAAGGAGCTCTGTGGAAGTGAGCACTGAGCCTGGGTAGCAGCTCCTGGTGCCAGGATGTGCTGCCGACTGGCAGGGCAATGTCCGGTTCCCTGGTGAGGCCTCCATATCCAACCTGCCCTCAGATCCCAGGGCTACTGCCCCACAGCCCAGGGCAACAGTGCTCTCATGGGCAGATTTGCTGGCACTGGAGAGGGACACCTTTCTCTCCCATCTGAGTCCTTCTTTTTCTCAAAATGAACTCAGCTGCTGTCTGAGACTTCAGCTTAGCCCATTTGTGCTACTATAACAAAATGCCTGAGAGTGAATAATTTATAAAGAGCAGAGATTTATTTTCTCCCAGTTCTGGAGGCTGGGAAGTCCAAGATCAAGGTGCCTGCAGGTTCAGCTGCCTAATGAGGGCTGCATCCCCTGGAAGGGAAGAACACTGTGTTCTTACATGGCAGAGGGCAGAAGGACAAGCTAGCTGCATGCTGTATGAAGCCTCTTTTGTAAGGCCCTCAATCCCATTCACTAGAGAGGAGTCCTTATGGCCTGATCACCTCTCAAAGGTCCCACCTCGTAATCCTATCACACTGGCAACATCTGAACTTTGGAGGGGACACCTTCAAACCATAGCAGACTCTGTTTATTTAAACTGCCTTTTGCTGTTTCAATTTCAAATCTTCCCCACTCTGTACCACCAGGGCTGCCAAGTTATGCCTCCTCTCATCTTTTCCTCTTCCAACCTTTGGCCAGATCTTGACACCCCAAACAGATAGGGCAGGTAGCAGGGTGGTAGACAGATGGGCTCCTGATGGGGCATTTGAAATCCAAGGACCTGGTCACCACTTATACCCTCTTGTGATTTTGGACCTTCATCTTTTCACAATCCCGTTTTCTCTTTGGTATACTGGAAGAAAGAAGAATAATACCTAATTTTCAGTGGGGATGCAATGATATAATGCACAAGAGAGCACTTTGTAAACTTTCAAACTCCACGGGCACATAAGGGGCTGTGTTTATCATTTCCAGGGCCAGGTGGAGTCATCCTTTTATAGGGCTCTGACGGTCACCTCCCCATCCTCATGGTACCACCCGCCATGGGCCAGACCTGCTGGGGATGGGTTTGCAAAGACGCCTATCCTTCAGGAGTTTATGGGCTGGCATGGGCCAGGTCCTAGGGAGATTTCTCTCCCTTTCTGGCCCTCTGGATCATCTGTGTCCCAGCCTCCTTGTTAGGCCTGTCCTTTCTATGATAGTTTCTCAGATTATAAACAGAAAGGGCTGGGCACCAAATCTCTGGAGAGAAAAGCCAGTGGGGATTCCCAAGGGGCAATGGATGTTGCTTCCTAAATGTCCTCTCATGTGGGAGCCCATTGGGGCCAGGGTCTGTGCAAGGACAGGGGCCACTTGGGCATGCTGCCAAGAGCAGACCCCTTGGAAAAGGAGCTGGGAGCGACCCAGTGTCATGCTGCTCTTGGGCCTTCACCCCAGGGAAGCCCCTCCTGTGTCCTCCTCCCTGCAATCCCCTGTTTTTGTGCTAGAAACTGGGAGGTCTGGTGAGCATTTCCCCAGGTTTGTTTGGGATGTGGAATGGGTGTTTCTCAATACAGCCTTTTGTGGTTAAATATATTTGGGACCTGTTGGACTAAACAAAGGCCAGTGGCCATCCTTGTCATTGGATTGTGGATCTCTAAGCCAAGAATGAGGCTATAGCATCAGCTGGGTTTACGGGAAGGAAGGACACTAGCCATCACTGAGCACGGGCTGCCTGTAAGGGGCTTGGCATTTCTCTCTTACTTAACTTCTAGAGTTGTGTCCTCATCACCAGACAATTTTGTTATGCCAGTAGATGCCATTCCAATCTTTTTAAGCTGCAGGAAATGTACAAGCCTTAAAGAAAATCAGTTTAGTCATCAGAAATTGGAAGAGGGCAGAGAAAATGTGTGGACTTGGAACAGACCTGTTGGTGGCATGGCCTCTCCCAGTCACATGGGTGCCTGGAGGGTCGCAGCGTAGAAAGCTGGGGTGACTCCCACCTGTTACTTGACAGTTGTTTGACATTAGGCAAGTTACTGAGCATGTCTGTTCCTCATTTTTCTCATTTCTAAAATGGGGATAATGCTAGTACCTATCATAGAGAGTTGTTATGAGCATGAAACATCATGACAAATGTGAAGTGCCTTGTAAGATATCTGGCTGTTTTCTTGGTGGTTGTAGTGGTTCTTTTATTGTAGATGGACCTTCTGAATTCGCCTTCAGGCTTTACTGGTGAGACCTGTGGCTCACCGACCTTGCTTTGGTGGGCTTTACAATGACTCTTGTCCACTGTATACCATTAGGGCTAGTAGATGCTTGGAAAGATCACTATGACTACCACTTTAATAGGTGAGTTTTGCATGGATTTGCCAATGCCAGTCTCTCCCTCCCTTGCCATCTCTCCACCCTCTGTTTCTCTCTAATCACTGGGCTAAGAGAACAATATTCAGCCTGCAAGACACACTTATAATCCAATTTCCCTATAAATACAGACTCAAGGGAAATAATAGTAATATATCATACAATTATTATGCTGGAGTCATTTGGACATTTCTGCAGGGTCTTCCTTAAGCCTGATGTCTTGAAAGTTTAAGTAAACAGAAGAACAAATAAATGACGGGAGCACATAATTCTGACATGTCACATTTATGCCGGTGGTGAGTCTTGTGTCTGCTAAGGCTCCGCTCCTGTTCTGGGTTGTGAAAGGGTTGGAAAAGCAGTCCAGTGCAGTAGGAAAAGTCAGACAGGGCTGCATGCAGATTCCAGCTCTGCCATGTATTGACCTTATGGCACCAGGCAAGTTACTTTCCTAAGTTTCCTCATCTGTAAATTAGGAATAACAAGTACTTTTTGGGTTGTTGCAAAGGTCTAATGAGCTCCACATGCACCTCCACAGTGCATCACCTGGCATATTCTGGGTACATGATACTCTCTGCCACTCAACAAAGATGTGTTACCCAGGAGCCATGCTATGTGTGGAGGAACAATGGGGAGCATAACAGGCATAATCCATGCTGTCATGAATTTCCCATTCTGTCTGGGGACACAGCACAAAAACAATTAGACAACGCGTGATGGTTAGAGTATTGAAGCAGACAACTGGGTGGGGTTGGAGAAAGCCCACTTTAGGCAGGGGGTCAGGAAAAGCCCCTCCAGAGAGCTGCCAGTTAAGGTGAGTACAAATGATGAGCAGGAACCAACTTGGGAAGAAAAGAGACAGCCTTCTGGGCAATGGGAGTAGCTTGCACAAAGGCCCTGAGGGAAGGAAAGCCTGACTTGTTCCAAAAAGTGAAAGGACCCAGCATGACTGGAGCTTGGCAGTTGCGGTGAGAGAGGATGGAGAGAAAGGCAGGGCCCCAATTGGGAAAAGCATAGGGGACCCCAGGAGCTTGGATTTATTCCAAGGGCAGTGGGAGGGGCTGCAGAGGAAAAGCACACCGCCAGGCTTGCTTTTGAAGAAGGTCCCTTTTCTTTCACACAGGGAGGGAAGCAAGGGCTGAGCTAGGAGCACCTGTTGGAGGCTGTGGTGGGCCAGGTGTGAGGTTATGGGATGGAGAGTCTTTGGGGAAGGATGCAATGGACAGATTTGAGGTCTGTTCTGGAGCATGAGCCAACAGGATGCAATAGGACTACTGGGGGTGGTAATAGAAAGAGAGGTGGTGGTTTCTCACTGGGTGTGTTGGGAGGAAGATCTTTGGGGAAGCAGGGATTGGGGGATGGATGAAGAGTGATGGCTCTGTCCTCCTTCCTCCTTTGGGGATTCTCCGATGGTTCTGCACAAACATAGGTGCCATGCACAACGCCTCAAGCTTGGAAGTGGTAGAGCTGGGATCTCTACCTGGAGAGTCCTTCTCTAAAACCTGTGCCCATAAGCAAGGACGGCTGTGGCTGAGTCTGGAGGAGACAGATAAATCTGTGCGGATTCTGCAGAAACCAGCCACTGCTGACGGGATGGAGTGGAGGGTGGCTTGTGCCATGGCCAAGCTGGGCATGGATGTGGACTGTCAAGTCCAGTACACACATGTGTGCATGCCCCAGATGCCATCACACTGACATGGTCAGAAAGCGATGTTTCTGCCTCTTGTCCCCAAAGTCTCTGCCCAGAACTTGGCTTTTTGCAAATGTCCTGAGTCTTCCAGAGCCTCTTAGGTGAGCCTCTTCCAAGCACTCAGGGGGAAGCCTCACTGTCTTACTAGGAAGCTAAGCTTGGCCTGGCCAGGAGGCAAGGGGATGGGTCTAGGACAAGGACCCTCCAGCTCCCCAGGACCCTGATAGTGAGAAACACACATATGGGCTCACCGCCCTTTGCCTAGCCTTTCCTTGGAGATCATTTCTATCCTGACCCAGAGGTCAAAAAAGCTTATCCAGAGAAAGACTTTAGGGCAGGATGGGTGGCTCTGGAGGAGATGGATGTGGGATGATACTATTATCATTTTGGCCCCAAAACCTTGGAAGACCCTGAGATTCTTGATAGATAACAAGATTCTAGCATCTTCTAAGGCTGCCTGTCTACCTGTCTCCCCACACATAAAAGCACAGAATCTTTGTGCTGGAAACAAGCATTTGAGAAAACGTGTAGTTCAACCCTTTTCTTTTACAGATGAGGAAGTTGAAGCCCAGAGAGATCAAGGGACTAGTCCAAGGTGACGGACTCAGTTAGTGAGAGGTTCACGAAGAAAACTCAGTGCCCTACATTTCCAATATGGTGCATGTTTCTCTGGTCTCCTTAGATCTCTCTGGCCCTGAAAAATCAGGGCACCCCAGGAACCCTCAGAGGAAACCCCAGGTGCCCTCAGATATCCTCTGAGCCATTGTGTGCCCCTCAGACTCTAACTCAGCAGGGGGCAAGACTGGGCATCCCCAGGTGGGATCAGACTTGTGCTGGGGCTGGAACCTAGAGTGACCTCTGACCCCAGAACATGGCCAGCTGGTGCCATGTAGACCATTCCTGCTCAAGGGACACACATTGGGAATATACTTCTTCCTAGAGCAAGGAATTCTCTCAGAGATGATCAAAAGCAGACCTCGACATGTTGCATAAAGTCGCACGGTCCCACTCCACCATGCAGCACTTGGCAGGATCTCCTGGGAGTGGAGGTGGGGGAGATGCTGCCCATCAGGCCATCCAGCCCCTCTCCCCATTTAACACAGGGAAGCCGAAGCACAGAGAGGGAAGGAAGTTGCCCAAGTCACACAGCAAGGAGGGTAATTAGAAAAGCCTCCTATACTTCTTGCCACCCTGGGCCTGCAGTTGAGCAGGTCACACAGCACCTAGAAGACATGGTCCAAATGCCATGCCTCTCCCAGAGGGTTCCCTGCTCCCCACCTAGACATCCATAACCACAGATACCAGCACCAAATTTGTGCCAAAAAAAAAAAAGCATCTTTGCTAAGACAGGGAAGCAGGAGAAAATTATAAACCCTGCATATAAACACTGATTTTCCGTTAAACAAACCTGGAGCTCTGAGATACAATTAGGGATCTTTGTGTCTCTTCAGTGCTAACTTCCTTGCTAGTTTTCTTCTTTCTCAACTTCACTTGCAGGCTCCTTTTATATCAGAAGCCCTTCTAGAGGGCTGCGTTTGAGCTTCACATTGACCTATTTTTCCAGCGAGAACTCAGACTGACTGCGTCCAAACAACTCAGAAGGACAATTCGGTTTTCTCTGCTCCCATTAAGCAGAAATGTCTGTGCCTTTCTTTTTGGCTGCAACCCGGCAAGCACTTACTTCTTTTTTTCCCTGGTGAGGATGAAAAGCATCCCACATGAAGCATCAGCTCCACTGCTCTGTCTCCCTGGCCAAGTATCCCTTCTATGGGTAAAGCCTGCTTCTGTCCCCAGGTGGAGGGAGGGCCGAGGGGCCCGACTCTTAGCGGTTGGATCAGTTGGATCGGTTGATCAGTTGAATGGCCTCCTCTCTTTCCTCTCCCCAGTGAAAGACATCCACATCTGTCTTTGTGGGAGATTTCTTTTTTCTTATGTGAAAATACTTTCTTGTCTCTTTCCAGTCCTGTTCATATGGGACATTAGCTGTCACCGTCTCTAAATCAAGGACACAAAAGGTGATTACTTCAAACTTTGGGATCTTGGTTAAAATAGGGTGAAGCTGCCACCCAGAAAGGGGTGGTGATTTTGTTGTGTGAGGTGAAGGTATTGGATCTGAGCTCAGCACCAGAGCCATGAATTTTCCATTCCATTTCCTTAGGAATGAGAAGTAAAATTTGTTCCCAAAACAACCAATCCACTACGTCAAACGACATTGCATAATGACTCACCTGGTCCAGAGTTCCTATGTCCTGGCCCCTTGCCAGTGCTCCACGCTGCCTGGTGGACCCCAAATTGAGCAGAGCCCCTCCTTCTCCATGGCTCACAGTGCTGATCTTGGGGTCAGGTGTCTCCAAGGAACACTCTGGGCTTTCAGCCCCAGCGGCACATACATCTGCCAGCACACGAGCTCCACTTCCGGGCGCTCATGGCATTGCAGTGCCTTGGCCTCGAGCAATTAAATCAAGGGAAAGAGGACCAACTCCCTCTTGACCCCGTTCTCCGGCTGGCTCGCATCTTCATCCACAGCTGAGATGGAGAGAGACGCAGCACAGACCTACCTGCCTCCTCCCGCTAGAACATGGGCTTGGTCTCTCCTACTTCCCCAGGGATAGCCTTTCTCTAGCTCTGTGTTTCTCCTCTCATTTTGAGGAGATGCCATTTGGAATCTGCTTGGCGTCTATAGCAAGTCCTGCTCTAGCTCCAAACGGCTTCTTGTTAAGCAATACATTAAACCATTACCCTGTTAAATGGAGTTTGCAAGAATTTTTAACAGACTTGAACGCTCGCACTGCACCACTCTGGCTTGAACCTGCATGCCATTTTGAGGCCCTGCACTGAGGTCGCCCTACCGACCAATGGCGAGAGGGAGGGTTCTTAAAGCAGCAGAAAGAAAAAAGAAACAGGAGAAAGGCAAACTCAATGGGTTTCATGACAGTGAATGCAGATGAAGTAGCAACTCGGGACTTGGAAATGTTTGCACATGAAATGCTGGAACAGAGAGACATGAGCGCAGGCTTCCTCAGCCAGTGAAAGTGAGCGAGGTAGCTTCATGGGGGCGGCTCTGACAACGGCAAGTTTAGAAGCCTGAGCATTTACTGCAGGTGGAACGTTGATTCACTTATTCAATAACTTCCCTAATCACCTACTATGTGCCTAGCACGGTTCCAGGAGCTGGGGACAGATACAGCAATGAAAAAACAGAAAACCCTGCCCTTGTGGAGCTTCTGCTTTGTGTAGAGAGATGGGCAATAAACAAAGCAAATATTTTCTCTATTAGAAAATGGAGTGCACAGAGAGCAAGAAAGCTGGGAAGAGAGAAGGGAAGGGAGGCAGAGCCATGTGCAGCGAATAGCTATTATGCAGCTCTCTATTGGTCTTCAACAGGGAGACCACGAAGGCGCCACTGAGGTGAGGGTGGGGCCGAGATGTGCAGGAGGGGAGGCGGCCAGGCTGACAGACACCTGGAGGACAGTGTCCTGAGAAAGAGGAGTGGCCCAGACAAAGGCCTTGAGCAAAGGGAGGGCTCCCAGTGTCTGAGGGCAGCCAGGGAGGAGAGAGGAGGGGGACCTCTGTACTGGACGCCAGGGGCTACCCAGGAGGCCAGCAGGGAGCCCTCTGCTTCCACAGCCTGGCCTGCCCCAGGGTCTTACCAGGGAGCTGTTCTTCTGTGAGATTTCCCCCACTTTCCCACATGGGGAATTGGGTTAAGGAGCCGCCCTCACAAGTCAGCTGAGCTAGGATGCTGCAAGGGAGACTGCTCAGATCTCTCCAATCTCATCTTCTCTGGGTCCCAGAAACATGCAAGGAGACAGAAGAGCCTCCTGAAGCCCATTTCAGCTGTAGCCTAAGGAGGAGGAGCATTGGGGGAGTCACAGTAAGTTGTAGGCAGCAGGGGTCCTTAATTATTAGACATCACGTCAGAGGCCATCAAGAACCTGAGACCTCGTGGGAGCTTCCAGCTGCAGGAAAGACTACAGCTAAATGATCTCCAAAAGATCTTTCCCATTCTTTACGAATCTCAGCAAGGAAAGCCCAGGAGTTTCACGAATACTATCTTCTTGTTTATGTCCCTCTCACTACTGGGGATGCACTACTCATCCCCAGTATATACTGTATATACTCAGGAAGAGGCTCCGAAAGGGACACCAGAGTGACTCCCAGTGAGCTGTCCCACCCCCTGCCTTGCTAAGACCGGGAAGCATGGTTGCGGCGGTTACAGTGATTACGGCAGTGGGCTGGGTGGGGGGCACTCTCTGAGCCTCACCTTTTTCATCTGGGAAGCTTACTCCCATAGACCCATTCAATCCTGAACCAGTCTGAGGTGTTAGGTTGGTCAGAACGCCAAGAGGAGTTCCAGGGGTCTGGAATTTGCCCAAGGGCCATCCCGAGGCAAGATTTGGGCCCGGACCTGACCAAAGGAGAGTCCTGACTGCATTCCCAGCCTCTTGCACCCCAGGCTGCCAAGCCCTGCTGCTGGCTTCTGAAACCTGTTATCTGCAACATAATCATGGGGCCCCCGTCGCAGGTCCTCCTGCCTCGTGCTGCTGCTGGGACCCCATCCTTTTCCACACCCGTCACCCTCACTAGCAGTCACCAAGGACTTTGGGTCCTTCTCTGCTTATCGGGAACCTCCGCAGCCTTCCTGTCACCTGGGAGAAAAGGTGCCTCCCTTGAACACCACGTGAAGTCCCTAGTGGGGGCCAAAGGGGCCTGGCTTTGCACACCTGGTCCGCATCTGCATCGACGGCTGAGTGCACCGGGGCAGGTCCCTCCCCATCCCTGAGCTGCAGTGATCGTGTTTGTAAACACTGGTGATCTCTTCTATCGCAGAGGGGTGTTAGGAGGCAGAAGTGATGACATCTGCTCTTGGCAGAAAGGAAGCACCCAACAGCGATGGCTGGGGGGTGCATATGGCCTCCATCCTTATCAAGGCTTTGGCTGAGTGAAGTGCTTTCACCTGGCAGGCTGTGTCTCCCAGGGCACTCACGGCTGAGTACCTGGCTAAGGGGCAAGGCAACGGTTAACCTCTGTGAGCCTCATTTTCACCTTATAAATTGAAATAACCCTACCTGCCTAATCTCCTCACAGAGGATGCTGGGGACCCTGGCCAGACTCTGGGGGTACAGAGGCGAAAAAGGCAGACGGATCTCTGTCCTGGGGCTTACATTTTAGTGGAGGCAGGCAATGAACAAGTATATGAACAATGTAATTTCAAATATATATTGAGTATAAATATAGAGACTATATACACACACACACACATATACATACACAGAAAAGATGACATACATACACACCCTCTATATATATACTCTCTCTATATATATAGATATACTCACCTTCTCTATATAGATATATACTATATATATATACAAGCACACACACCCTTTCTCTCCTCTCTCTCTGTATATATATATATATGTATGTGTATATACACTCATCTTCTCTCTACAGATGTACTCGCCCTCTATAGATATATACACTCTCTACATATAGATATACTCGCCCTCTCTTTATATATAAACACACACACCCTCTTTCTCTCTATCTATACACACACCCTATCTCTTTCTCTCTCTATATATATATATGTATATATACTCGCCTCTCTCTATATATATATGCACACATACACACCCTCTTTATATATACTCACCGTCTCTCTCTCTATATATATGTGCATATACACTCATTCTCTCTATGTGTGTATATATATATATATATATACACTCACCCTCTCTATATATATAGACACACACACCCTCTTTCTCTCTTTACATATATATACTCACACACCCTCTTTCTCTCTCTCTACATATATATATGCACACACACATATATATACATACACACACACCCTCTCTCTTTCTCTATATATACTCACTCTCTCTATGTATATACACACACATACACACCCTGTCTCTCTCTCTCTCTCTCTCTATATATATATATATATACACTCACCTATCGTCTCTCATATATATATGCTCACTCTCTTTATATATATATATGTATACTCACCTTCTCTCTATATATAATCACCCTCTCTCTCTCTCTCTCCATATATATATATATATATATATATATATATATACACCCTCTCTTTATATATGTATATACACACCATCTCTCTCTGTATATATATACACACACACCCTCTCTCTCTCCCTCTCTCTCTCTGTATATATACACACACACACCATCCCACTCTATATATACACATACCCTCTATATATATACATATACTCTCTCTATATATACACCTCTCTCTAGCGCTCTCTCTCTATATATATACACACACACAGATATATATACTTACCCTCTCTATGTATACACGTCCTTTCTCTGCATAAATATGTGTGTATATATACTCACCCTCTCTTGCTCTCTCTCTCTCTATATATATATATTCTCTCTCTTTCTCCATATATATGTGTAAACTCAACCTCTCTCTCTACATATATGTATACAATCTCACCCTCCCTCTCTATATATACCTATTCTCTCTATATATATACACACCTTCTATATATACAAACACGTATACACACACCCTCCCTTTCTATATATACACATACTCACCCTCTGTATATATACATACATTGTCTCTATATATACACACCTCTCTTTTTATTTATATATATATACACACTTGCCCTCTCTATATACACACACCCCTCACTCTCTCTCTCTCTACATGTGTATATATATACTCACCCTCTCTTTTTCTCTTTATAGATATATATATATTCTATATATATATACTCACCCCCTCTCTGTCTACATATATATGTGCAATCTCACCCTCTCTCTTCCTCTCTCTCTCTCTATATATATAGATATTCTCTCTATATATATATATTCACCCCCTCTCTTTCTACATATATATATACAATCTCACCCTCTCTCTCTCTATATATATATACACATACATATTCTCTCTCTATATATGTATACTTACCCTCTATATATACATATTTTTATACAATCTCATTCTCTGTATTTATATACATATTCTCCCTCTCTGTCTATATATATATATATATACACACACACACACATATATATATATATATACTCACCCTCTCTCTCTACACATATATATACAATCTCACCCTCTCTCTATATATATACATATTCTGTCTCTCTCTCTCTCTCTATACACACACACACACACACACACACACACACACACACACACACATGCACACCCTCTCTCTATATGTATATATACTCAAAATCCATGTTTTTACCCACGGCTCACAAACAGTAAACTGAGGCTTGGAGAGAGTCAGTGCATTTGCCCAGGTCCACATGGCTGGACCCAAGCCAGCTGTTTGTACGGAACCTGTGTCCTTTCCAGAGCATCTCACTGCCTCTGTCAAAACACAGCCACTTCTGGGAGCAACAGGGCATTGTGCCTGGTGGGCTGTTGCTCCTCAATGAGAATGGATTTCCTGGCACTCTCCAGGGAAAGCAGACGGCCATCTCCACAGTTTGCTCCAGGCCAGCCAGGATCCAGGCACCCTTGAGCCTTGTGCCATGCCAGCTGGGTGGCTGACATTTGTTCTAGAATCTCTAAAGTTTGCCTTTATGCAGCTGGCTGTGAAGCTGGTATTTTGAGATCCCTGACAGAATCTTAAAAAGAACAGACAAGTGAAGCAGGGGGCTGGATTTAGCGTTCCTCCTCCTGGGCCCTTTAAACCCTGGTGTTTGACCTTGGAACTCCTTGAGGGGAGGTCTGGTACTTCCCTGTTGTCCACCATATTCCCAGAGTGGCCGCCAGCCCCCAGCCAGCTGCTCAGAAGAGCCCAGGGTCCAGGAGAGCCACAGTGGTGTTTCTCACATGTCGTCTTTCCTGCAGCTGTAGAAGAAATGCATTTGGGACCAGTGCTGAAGATTGCGGTGGTGGCTCTTTCTTTAGGAACTATAGGTTCTTTAGGAACCAGTCATCCACTCTTTATCAGAGCTGGAGAGATGCAGTCCTCATGGCCTTCTGAAGGTCCCTGCATCTGTACCTCCAGGCCCGTTAGGATACCCACCACTTCTCAGGGGGAATTCTTTGGAAGATCTAAATCTTCAGTTATTAGGCACAGCCAAGTTCACTGTCTATTTTTTAATTGATTTAGAACATTGAGGAAATACCCTATCACAGTTTCAACCTCAGTGCGATTATATTTGGGGCCAAGTCATTCTTTGTTGTGAGGGGCTTTCCAGAGCATTGCAGTATTTAGCAGTATCCCTGGCCTCTACCTGCCAGATGCCAGCAGCACCTGCACCCCGAGTTGTGACAATCAAAAATGTCTCCAGATGTCGACAAATGTCCCCTAGAGGCCAAAATCACCCTGGTTAAGAATCATTGCATTGCTGTTAGTTAAATGGGTGATTCTGGGTGTTGTAAACTGAAAAAGGTCCCCCCAGCCCCCCGAGATGTGAAAGCCTCAGAATAAAAAGACTTGCTTAATACTGTAAGCTTAGGCAAATTCTTTTACCTCCCTGAGCCTCAATTCCTTCCTCTGAAAAATAGGGACACTGACAGGCATTCTCATGGGATTATTGTCCCATTAAATTCAATGAAATAACATATGCACAGAGTCTGGCATACATAATGTCTGACGCACTGAAACATTCAGTAAATGTGAATTCCTTTTCTTCCCTGTGTTTAACCCCAAGGTTTTCTTCCTAAATGACAAAGGCATAAATGCTCCCAAGGAACTCCCTTTCCCGTGTTTGGAGAGCATTGTGGGAGATCATGGCGGCTAGCAATGGGGATTATGATCCCTTCCCTTGTTTGCCTACTTAAGAATCCAAGAATAGCTGTGGACTCATTCATGAGAAAAATACCCACACAGTTTTGCATGTAATTCCAGAAGTACCAAACCAAATCCCTGCTCTGCCCTTAGGGAGCTAGCATTCACCATGGAACATAGTAGAAATAAAAAACCAAAAGCAGGAGAAAAGTTGATCAAGATGGTGCAAAATGCTATGGTGGAAAAAAAGCAAGAAGGCATGAGGCAGTCTTGAGGGGTATCTTAGTCCATTTTCTGCTGCTATAATACAACAGACTGGGTAATTTATGAAGAATAGAAGCGTATTTGGCTCATGGTTTTGGAAGCTGAGAAGCTGAAGATTGAGAAGCTGCATCTGGTGAGAGCCTCTTTGCTGTGTCTTAACATAGCAAGAGCGGGGAAAGAGAGAGAGAGAGACAGAGCTCAGGCCAAACTATTTTTTTTTTTTTGAGACAGAGTCTTGCTCTGTCATCCAGGCTGGAGTGCAGTGGCGCAATCTCAGCTCACTGCAACCTCCACCTCCCCAGTTCAAACAATTCTCCTGCCTCAGCCTCCCAAGTAGCTGGGACTACAGGTGCGTGCCACCACACCCGGCTAAATTTTTGTATTTTTAGTAGAGATGCGGTTTCGCCATGTTGGCTAGGCTAGTCTCAAACTCCTGACCTCAAGTGATCTGCCCACCTCGGCCTCCCAAAGTTCTGGGATTACAGGCGTGAGCCACCGTGCCCAGTCCAAACTACTTTTTAAAAGTCAGGAACCCACTCCCTGGATAAACAACCCACTTCTGTGTTAACTGCACCAATCCATTCAGGAGGCAGAGCCCTCATGGCCTAACCACCTCTTGAAGGCCCCACCTCTTAACACAATGCTGTAATGGTGATTAAGTTCCCACCATATGAATTTTTGGGGGACACATTCAAACCATGGCAGGGAGTTGCAGTTTTAAGTGTGGTGGTCGGGGAGGGCCTGGCTGAGAAGCTGATCGTTGCATAAAGGTCTTGGTGAGAAGGTGACATTTGTGTAACAACATAGCGATACTGGAGGAAGAGCATTCCAGGCAGAGGAAGTAGCAAGTGCGGCTGGAGCATGTCTGAGGGGCCAGCAGGAGAGGACCCCAGGGAGGGCAAAGGGGACTTGACAGATTAGATTTAAGAACAGCTCACCCATTGGAGGCAGAGATTCCTGGGAGGGGGAAGCAGGCTGGTTCCACGGGTGACTCCATATATATATATATATGTTTATGGCAGGGCAGCCCTGCCGGCCCTTCTAAGGACTGTAGCTTTTACCTGGGGTGACTTAGCACATCAGTGAGGACAGGCTGGCCGTGCTGCAGTTTACAATACCTACACAGTTCCAGTGGCCTTGAGCATTTTCGATTTCCTTCATGCTCGTTGCATGTGAGTCAAGGGTCCCTGTGGAGCAGCCTCTTCCTGGAGCATGGGTGAGCACAGTCTTCTGCCCGGCAGGGCCACACATCCCTTCTGCTCACTTGCCTGGCCAGAGCAAGTCTCAGCCACACCTCAATCCAGCAGCGTGGGCGTGTACATCCTCCCACGCAAAAGGCGTTGAAAATCAGTGACTCTTGATGGTCCACCAGGCACTGGAAGCCACGCGGAGGGAAACATTGTAGCTTAATCATGTTGGCTGCTGTAGTGTGGATAGAGTGTTGGGAGGAGGGCAGATGCAGAGAGACCAGTTAGGAGGCCATTCCGGCAATTCAGGCAAGAGAGATGGAACAGAAGTGTCATCAGCTTTGCAGTGGCTTGAACACTCAGGCAGGGCCTCCGCGGGGTGGGTCCTCGGCTGTGTAGACCCACAAATTTGACTTTGTCAATGCTCACAGAGGTGATCAGAGGGCTGACATATGTTAACCAAATTAATAAGAAACTGATGTATAAGCCTCAATGATAATTCTTTAATTTGTGGTTGAGGATGGAGAGAGATCTTTCCCAGTGGTTCAGAAAATAATCTGAGTTTTGGATTCAGACAAGCCTATATTCAAATTCTAGTTCTACAACTTTTTAACTGCTTCATGTGGAAAAGTTACTTAATTAGCCTGTAAGCCTCAGTGTCTTCATCTTGAAATCAGTCTGCTGCTGCTGATAGCATGGTAAGGAAGAATAATTGAGTTAACATAACAATTGAGTTATGTGCAGTGCCTAGCATAGAGTCTGGGTCAAGGTGGCTGTTCAGTAGAGGGAAGATATCACTGTTATTGAACTTACTAGAAACTAGCAGATGACATGATATGCATGAAGTCAGAGGCAAAAAAAAGAGATCTTTCATAGAAACCATGGTAAGACCTGATATTCTTTCTCCCTTGGCCCACTCACTTACGTTAAAGAGCTTTTTGTCCAGCCAGAGGATGGTGTGATCGCTCAGATTTTGGCTTTCCTGAGATATCCAAATCCTCCTTTCTTATGTTTACACCAGATCACTTCGATCAGTCTTGGGTTTTTCCTGATCTCCTCGGCCACATATTTGTCAGTCCTGAGGGCTAGGGCCACAAATGTGATTGCCGTCTCTTCTCTTTGACCCTTCTTCTTCTTCTTTTTCTTTTTTTTTTCTGAGATGGAGTCTTGCTCTGTTGCCAGGCTGGAGTGCAGTGGTGTGATCCCTGCTCACTGCAACCTCCACCTCCCAGGTTCAAACGATTCCCCTGTCTCAGCCTCCAGAGTAGCTAGGACTATGGGCACTTGCCACCACACTCAGCTAATTGTGTTTTTGTATTTTAGTGGAGACTAAATACATGGTTTCACCATGTTGGCCAGTATAGGATGGTCTCAATCTCCTGACCTTGTGATCCACCTGCCTCAGCCTCCCAAAGTGCTGGGATTACAAGCGTGAGCCACCACGCCCAGCCTCTTTGACCCTTCTTAAGGGTCCATCTGGAGATGTCAGAGATGCATTAAAGTGACTCCTTGTGGAAACCTCACATCTGGATCACACCCTCTTCAAGTACAGAAATGTAATGAAAATGAGTATGTCAGTGCTTATGAAAGACTGTGCACAAAGCAACCTGTTAGACCTGAAATTATTTGCCATTACAATGGCAAAACCGCAATTACTTTTCACCAGCGTATTATTTCCTGTGTACATATTTTCAGCAAAAGTTTTAAAAGAAGATTGCTTTTTTTGTTGCTTTCTCATTAGCACTAAGGTATTTAATTCTGACTGATAACCAGGTAGTGCCCTGCATGTGAAGACCACATCTAGGAGTACAGCACTGAATGTAGAGTAGGCACTGAATTTGGAGACAGGCCCTTCTAATTTGCATAGACACCCACCAAGCTTTTCAAGAAGGATGGCTGATCCTGACCGGTGGTGTGCTGGTAAATGTTTAACAACCAACATTTAGCAGGATTTGGTGGAGCTCTGGTTTGTACCACTTGCCAATTGCTGTGGTGTAAATACTCCCACCATGCCAATTTCAAGCCCGCAACATGACATCAGGCAGCCTACAGTTTAACAATTGGCCAGCTCCAGCACATGCAGATCCAGATTCTGGGGAGTGAAATAGTCTCGGGTTTCAGTATGAGCTCTCTTGCTTACTAGCTGTGTGGCCTTGGGTGGGTTATTTAACGGCTTTGAGCCTGGCTCATAGAAGTCATCAGGATGCTTGTTTTCTTCCCTCTTCATTGCCCAAATAGGAAAGTACCTTTGTCACATCACTCCCTTGCCATGTCTCCTGTGGGAAGGCGAGGACGGGAGACAGTGGGTTATGCTTAGAGAGGCGGTGGACACAGCTGCCTTATCCTTTCCTGGGAACATTTCCAAGAAGAGACTGGACTTTTTTAAAATGTGGGAAGACAGAGGGAAGTTTGACAGATGGAAGGGGAAGAATTGCTGTCTAAAAGGACTCATTGTGGGAAAAATACAAAATAGGAATTTGAAAAGCAGATGGTGGAGATCCCCCAAATGTTAGCTTCCCCAGGAGGGAGGGAGGCAGGGAGGGGGCCAGGGTTGAAAGAGGGAGATGTTGTCCTTGATATGCAGACTGACAGATAACCAGCTAAGCCTGTGTCCTGTCTGGGGCATCTCTAGAGGCCCAGCCTACTGGGGTACAATGCCATACAAGTTAGGTGAGCATGCAAATGTCAGGATATGGCTGTGGCCACATCCACGTCTCTTCACTGCTGTTTCGGTCTCCTCATCTACAATATGGGGATAAGAAACCTGGCAGGAAAAGGCTGCCATAAAGAGCTCAAGAAATGGCAGGAAGAGAACTGGGGAACAGCTAAGGGTGGGGTGTGAAGAAGGACAGAGCAGATCCCAATCCCGACTGTCACACAGAGCCAGGAGGAGAAGCACGGAAGCAGTCCTCCGAATGCCGCACGACCTGAGTGACAGCTCTCCACTGGGGCAGATTTGGGAGGAAAGCAGGTGGTGGGAGAGTGAGGAGGGCAAGTGGCCTGCCTTCGGGAAGCTTGGAGAAGATGAGACAAGGAGAGGAGGGACAGCTTCAGGAGAGGATGCAGGGTCCAGGGACCATGCTGTGTAAATGGGAGAACCTTGACCCTGGCTACCCGCTGATGGGAACAAGCCAGGAAGAAGGAGCTGGGGAGGAAAGAGTCAGGAAGCTGGGATCTGGGGAGCTGCACACAGCTGACTCTTTCCACTTCTGTCCTGCCTCATGCTTAGGTCCCTCATCATCAAGTGTGTTTCCGACACATGACTTAGCGGTGGGGCTGAGCTGACGCTCTCGGTCAGAGAGAGGGTGAGGCAGGGCTGGGCCTGCACCTCCCATTCTGCAAAACACATTCCTGCAGTTGAGCCCAGCTCTGGCTCAGGGGCAGTTGGTGACCATCTCTAGGCACTCCTGTGGCTTTCTGGAGCATGCCTTCCCCCAGGTGCTGTGTTCAGCCTACAGGGAGCTCTGGACATTGTTTCCTCCTTCAGGTTCCCTTATTGGAGATGTGTCGGGGCTCCCATATGCTGGCCCCCTGATGCAGCTCCACCCTGGCCCATCCCGGTCACAGCCTCCCTTCCTGGCCTGACCCCTTCCGTGGCACCTCCTTGCTCTCCTGCCTCACCTGCTCCCTCCAGGTTCTAGGATCTCATCCTTTGCAAGACGCCCTGTCACTGTGCTTCTCATTCAGTAGGGCACCCATATCCACACGTGTTGCTTTGTTCCCCAACTGGCTATGACCCCTGGGAATTGAAAACACAAAACAGGACGTTCCCTGATGACTGCCTTTCTGGCTCTGTGTCATCGGTCATAAGATGTGGCCGTTCCATTTCTGGAACCTGAGACCCCAGGGCTGGTGATCAGAGCCCAAAGGCCCTTTCTCCAAGCCTTTCTCTGGGGAGTTGCCCTTCCCCAGCCCCCCAGCCTCAGGAACTCTGGCCCAGAGACTTCCCAGCCAGTGGCACTGCACTAAGGTCAGCGCAGTGGGCATGCTGCCAGCGCTGCCTCCTGGTCTGCACCAGGGAAAGGGAGCTGTGAAGGTCACTGCTCAGAGCTCGTCACAGCCAAACGTGAAGCGTGTAACAATTTCTAGTCTGATCTTCGGAATGCAGTCAGTGATGGAGCTGGAAGTGGAAGGGAACCGTGGAGGCTGCCAGGCCTGTCCAGGAATTTCACTGGGGGCTTCCACGGCCGGTTCCTGTGTGCTTGGGTGTTACCTAGGAGAACGCATTGACTTTTGAGTTGACTTCAGACAAGACGGAAATTCTCCAAGTGAGCCACTGCAGAGAAGGAAGAACCTGTACTCACTCCTTCTGTAACAGAACACACAGCAAGCTTTGAAGATGAATCACTCGGCGGTGGCTGTGCACAGTTCTGTCCGCACGGTGTACGTCTGCTCAGGCTGCGGTCACAGAGCACTGCAGATCAAGGTGCTACTGGTCTGAGAAGTCTCTCCTGAGGCCTCCCTCCTTGGATTGTAGACGCCTGTCTTCTTGCTGTGTCCTCATGTGGTCATCCCCCTGTGTGTGTACCTGTGTCCTAATTTCCACTCCTTAGAAGGACCCAGTCACACAGGGTTAGGGCCCACCCTAACGGCCTCGTTTTACCTTAATCACCTCTTTAAAGGCCCTATCTCTAAACACAGCCACATTCTGAGGTCCTAGGGGTTAGAGCTTCAGCATATGGATTTTGTGGGGGGGACACAACTTAGCACCTACCTCCCCAGGCCCTTCTCAATAAGAAAATGCATGTAGATGCTCAGTGAATCCTGCCAAGTTCTCCGGGACAACCAGGTGCACAGTTGGGGAGGGTTCAGAGCAAGAAGTGCATCTTCTGTCCTGGCTTCCCATCTCCTGCCCCTGTTGAGTCCCCAGAATTCACAGGCTGTCCTCAAGGCACCCTTCGCTGATGGCCCTCTGAGGAAGAATTGCAGCGACAGTCCTGTGGGGGCTGCAGGACTTGTTCAGGGAAAAGATGCAGAAGTGGCTGAGCCATGAACATTTGGTCCCTTGGCCAAACATAACGACGTAGACAATGTCACAGACAGGTGCAGATGAGTTCCTGGGGGGCAGGCTGAAGACATGTTCATCGATGCACTCCATCACAGGTTTTTGAGTCCCACCAGGGCAAGGGCTACCCTCTGTTGAGCATCCAGTAGAAACCTGTTCCCAAACGGGGTCCTGAAGTGAGCCTGGCTTTCCTGGTCTCTTCTCAGGGATTGACTCAGCCCACTAGCTGTACCAACTCCGGTCCCAAAAAATGTGCCCAGAGCCTTGGATAGAATGGGGAATACTTTGGTGATGAGGTAGATTAGAAAGTGATGGGGGTAAGAGTTTTGACCTCCCCCAGGCAAGTCCCCTCCTTGCAGGATCATTCTCGCCCCTGTTGCTGGCAGAGAGAGAGGGGCAGGCACATCAGGGGCACGAGGCCTGTACACCCACTCCCCATTGCTCTGTGTGGTCAGAGGTGTTCTTCTTGGTCTTGGGCAGTTGGTGGAAGTTCACCTTCTCCTTTCACTATTTGGAGCATTTCACAGTGTCAAGGATATGGCCTGGCGTTCGAACCCTGAAGAGCCAATGGCTGGGCACCAGAACAGGCTCCCACGATTGGAGAAGGCTGATGACCTTTAGTACAAAGGATCTTGAGAAAGGTGTTGCCTGCTGGATATCTGGAAAGCTGAACTGACAGAGGGACCAGACGGAGAAAGGATGGAGAGTGGGAGCAGCGCGACATGGCAGGAAGCATGCCATCCTCATAGAGATGGCCGGTGGTTCTCAGGACAGTCTTGAGCAAGCCACCCAAGCCCCTGCACCTCTGCTTCCTGTGGAATGGGTGGGTTGAAGTGGATGGTCTGGGAAGCTCCCCTAGATAGAAGGTTTGGCCATTCATAAGTTGACCAAGTCAGGAACAGATGAAGCAGAGACTTAAAACTGGGCTGGCCATTAGCTCGCCAGCAGACTCCCCAGTCAGATGCCTGGAATCACAGTCTTCCATGGGACCATTTCCCAAGCCCTCCTTGTAAGTTAGCAGTGATGTCTTGCAACACTGAGGAATGTCTGTGCAGTACCCTTGGGCGAAATTCTAGAAGCCGCAACTGCAGTGCCTGGTCGGCTGAAACAAGAGTAGTTTCAGCACCACTGCCATGAAGGGAGTTGCAGGAACAGAACACCCGCCTTCAAAACCACAGCGACACACCTGGAAATGGGGTAGGTAACTCTGAAGGCAGAAGAATGGAGAAGAATTCTATTTGGCTTTGCAACTGGTGGCTGATGAGCATTTGAATTCCCATTTATTCATTATTGGTGTGAACGGGGCCAATGTCACAGCACAGAGAACAACAAAATCAGAACAGCGAAGTCTGAGGGTGATCCTAACTCTGCACCCCAAGTCTGCTCAAAGCATGCTTAGAACTGGACTGGATCTGACCAGGCCCCAGCAGAAGCTAAGCTGCTCCTTCTTGCTTTATGAGCTCAGCACTCACGCTTTTCTGAGTAGAAGGTAATAGAGTTTGCTTTATTAGAAGGAACACAACAATCAAGCCTTCTTCCCACCCAGCTCCCATAGAACTCCCATCTGATTACTATGGGTCGGTAGGACCTACCAGATGTTCATGATTAACATCAAGCAGTGAATTCAGCTGGAGAGCAAGGATGTCATGAGGATGTTTAATGGAATTTTTTGAGGGTGCTTCAGTGCTGGGAATAGCCTGGTCCAGACTATGAAGATGTGATTTCAGCAAGGCGTGGTGACTCATGCCTGTAATCCCAGCACTTTGGGAGGTCAAAGTGGGAGGATTGTTTGAGCCAAGAGTTCGAGATCAGCCTGGGCAATGTGTTGAAACTCTGTCTCTAGGCTGGGTACAGTGGCTCATGCCTGTAATTCCAGCACATTGGGAGGCCAAGGTGGGCAGATCACTTGAGGTCAGGAGTTCAAGACCAGCCTGGCCAACATGGTGAAATCCTGTCTCTACTAAAAATACAAAAATTACCCAGGCATGGTGGTGTGCACCTGTAGTCCCAGCTACTCTGGAGGCTGAGGCAGGAGAATCACTTGAACCTGGCAAGTGGAGGTCACAATGAGTGGAGATCATGCCACTGCACTCCAGCCTGGGTGACAGAGTGGGACTCCATCTTAAAAAAAAAAAAAAAAAAAAAAGAAGTAGAAACTCTGTCTCTACAAAAAATAAAAATAAAAATCTTAGCTGGGCTCACTGGAGCATGCCTGCGGTCCCATGTATGGGAGACGGGAGGATCACTTGAGCACAGGAGGTTGAGGCTTCAGTGAGCAATGATTATGCCTCTGCACTCCAGCCTGAGCGACAGGGTAAAACCCTGTCTCAAAAAAAAAAAAAAAAAAAAGGTAATTGCACATCCTCTGCCCTCCAGAAATCTGCAACCTACATCACATTACTCCTAAGGGGAGTTCTCCCTGCTGCACCCTAACAGACAATGTGAGCACTAAAAGGTTCCCTGACCAACCATGTGCAGCCACTGCAGACACACATGAGATGTCCTGTGTGTACCACAAGTGAGGCAGGACATGTGTCATGTTCAGAACTTTCTAGAAAAGAAAAGGAAAATTGCCATGAATGCTCTTTGGATGTTTTCCAGATAGATTTCCATGGAGAACTTGGGATCGTGTTGCCCCTGTTTGTTTCAAATCTCCATGGTTGTTATTACTATGAAAGAGTCACACATGCCCATTGTAACAGTTAACAGGTTTTTTTATTGCACCATACTGTTCTGCAAGCTAGGACTCTGAGCTTCATGTGACATGATGGAAGGAGGGGACCTTTGTGAGACGGGTGACGCAGAGCCAGTGCTGGGAGAGTGTCACGTGGCAGAGAACTCGGATTCTTCATCGGGCTTCGGAGAGTTGTGGGGAGTTGGGCAGGTCCCGGGGAGAGACGAGCAGAAGCCTGGTGGTCTGGGGAAGTTTAACCAGTGTCTTGA